>NC_000003.12:63343333-63646363 GCF_000001405.40 Homo sapiens | reverse complement strand
TCGGAGTAGTTTGATGGTCTGAAGCCTTCTTCTCTCAACTCGTCAAAGTCATTCTCCGTCCAGCTTTGTTCCGTTGCTGGTGAGGAGCTGCGTTTCTTTGGAGGAGGAGAGGCGCTCTGATTTTTAGAGTTTCCAGTTTTTCTGCTCTGTTTTTTTCCCATCTTTGTGGTTTTATCTACCTTTGGTCTTTGATGATGGTGACGTACAGATGGGTTTTTGGTGTGGATGTCCTTTCTGTTTCTTAGTTTTCCTTCTAACAGACAGGACCCTCAGCTGCAGGTCTGTTGGAGTTTGCTAGAGGTCCACTCCAGACACTGTTTGCCTGGGTATCAGAAGTAGTGGCTGCAGAACAGTGGATTTTGGTGAACTGCAAATGCTGCTGCCTGATCATTCCTCTGGAAGTTTTGTCTCAGAGGAGTACCCAGCCGTGTAAGGTGTCAGTCCGCCCCTACTGGGGGGTGCCTCCCAGTTAGGCTACTCGGGGGTCAGGGACCCACTTGAGGAGGCAGTCTGCCCGTTCTCAGATCTCAAGCTGCATGCTGGGAGAACCACTACTCTCTTCAAAGCTGTCAGACAGGGACATTTAAGTCTGCAGAGGTTACTGCTGTCTTTTTGTTTCTCTGTGCCCTGCCCGCAGAGGTGGAGCCTATAGAGGCAGGCAGGCCTCCTTGAGCTGTGGTGGGCTCCACCCAGTTCGAGCTTCCAGGCCGCTTTGTTTACCTAATCAAACAACTAACTAGGCAGTGTCGGGCGCCCCTCCCCCAGCCTCGCTGCCGCCTTGCAGTTTGATCTCGGACTGGTGTGCTAGCAATGAGGGAGACTCCGTGGGCATACAACCTTCTGAGCCAGGTGAGGGATATAATCTAGTGTGCCGTTTTTTAAGCCCATTGGAAAAGGGGAGTATTAGGGTGGGAGTGACCCGATTTTCCAGGTGCCGTCTGTCACCCCTTTCTTTGACTAGGAAAGGGAATTCCCTGACCCCTTGCGCTTCCCTGGTGAGGCGATGCCTCGCCCTGCTTCGGCTCGCGCACAGTGTGCTGCACCCACTGTCCTGCGCCTACTGTCTGGCACTCCCCAGTGAGAGGAACCCGGTACCTCAGTTGGAAATGCAGAAATCACCTGTCTTCTGCGTCACTCACGCTGGGAGCTGTAGACTGGAGCTGTTCCTATTCGGCCATCTTGGCTCCTCCCCCAAAATCTGGATTTTCAGCAAACACTTCGGGTGATTCTTATGTGGGCTGTGTTGCGGAGTTGTTGGCAGTGGTTAAATACAGACTTTGGAGTGGAAGAGCTGGCTTTGAATTCTGACTCTGACACTTCCTAGTTGTGTTACCTGGAATAAGATCCTTAAAACTGCTAAGTTGGCTTTCTCATCTGTGAAATACTTTCCCATTGGAATTTTTGTCAAGGCTAAATGAGTTTGTGTTTTGGGGCACTCAGTACAGTGAGGAGCAATCAATAAAATAACAGTCGTAGAGAAGATGATATTCGATATGATGGTATCAGAGACATTCACAGAAGGATGTGCAATGAGCAAGGTCAGGAAACTATGCAGAGGTGCTGCAGCATCCAGAGATTAGCAATAGTGGGAAGCTGTTACCAACCTTAGTTCTGAGGGGCAAGGAGAGAAAATATTATAGAGTCAAGTGAGAGCTGAATTCTTGGAGCAGGTCCGCTTCACAGCAGCTGTGATTGAAGGGACGCAGCTACTCTTAGAAATGCAAGCAAAGCAGGGAGGGAGGGAAAAGAAACACCCTAAGCTCTGAGCTGCAGCCTGTGCCTCCAATTGACTAAGCCAATCAGGAAACTGGCGGTGAGGGAGCCCGGGAGATGGGGTCTGTAGGAATCAGCCTCTGGGGGCATAGAGAAAGGCAGAGAGTGGAATGGGAGGGAGAGGTGAACAAATGGGTAAGAAGCAGAATGATGATACTAATGATGATGATAATGATGACAGAAGCAAAATACTGAGAATCTGAGATTTATTGATTATCTTCTTATTGTCAGGATTAAATTAAAGCTGACATTTTCAGAAAGATACAGCAGTTTTCACAGACATTTCAAGTGAAAATGCACCGTTTTTTCTACATCAGAATCTCATCTCTCAAAACATTCAGGCTGTTTACACACACTATCAAACTATCTGGGCAAACATTATTTTAAAAATCCCTCAGTCAACCTGGCCCTTTGGCAATGTGAGGGCAGGGCTTAAGTGTACTCAGTAGATATCCATTTGGGGGAAGGAAATGTGTTGAGGGCAGCAGGGGTTTGACAAACGACTCCATGTGGATTTACTGACAAGCACACAAGACCACCGACCTGAAGGTCACAGCAGCAGGGCTCTTGTCTGTGGGCTTGGCAGGCTGCAGGCAGCGGAAGATTAGGACAGTATTAATGGTGCATGAAATTTGGTCAGCTATCGGAGTGAGAAAAAAAATGCCATCACAGAGAAAAGTGTTTTTTTTTTTTTTACCAGGTTCGCTCTTTACACTTGAGTCTGCCAACTTGGTTCCTATTCAGTAAAAATTAATATCAGGTAATAGGAGTGAGAGTCTAAAAGACTTGCCTTTGAAGATTTGGCTCATGATTTTTTTTTTTTTTTTCTGGTGCTACATTATTTATTGAGGGTTCTGGAAACTCAGTAACTTCATGAATTGTGTTTCAGGGAGTGTTAGAACTACTGGAATGAATGCAAAAATTTTCATGTGTATGGGAATTTTCCTGGCTGAAAGGACAACTAGGTTCTCCTAGTGGCCTATAACCGCTGAAGAGTCATTGCTGGAGGTGAATGCCACCAGGTTGGTCATGAGGTTGCCTTTTTGAAAAGAACTGCCCCCTGCCCAAGCCTCACTCTCAGAGAAATAGTGTGTGGACCCTTAGTTTCATGGTCAGTTAATATGTTAAAATATATTATTTTTATATTTATATAACATTTATATAATATTGTTTAACAATGCATAATTGTTAAAATTTATGCATTGAGTAGCTGGTATTGTGTGAGGTGTTTGATAAATATTTCTTTTTCTTTTCAATAACCATTAGAAATAAGAATTGTCATCATTTGCAAATGATGAAAATGAAGTGTAGAAGAGTTAAATTACTTGTCCAAAATCCTCTGGCTAATTAATGAATAAGCCTCAATTTAAATCTAAGGCTGTGGGGTGTTTCAAACCTGATGCTATTTATTTTACGTCATTTCACCTCTTGCTGCACTTTTTGATCATGAAAATTAAAACCACAGTTCTTGTTTCCTAAGCTGACAAATCGTAACTCTCTATAAGTCTCATAGGAACTCACCAGAATTTTGCTAGTTCAAATTAGCCTCTTCTCCCTCTAAATATCCTCAAAGCATGTTTTACTTTTATTTGGCATCTCTTATCATTGCTTTATGTTTATAATTAGTTACTATTTGCCTTATCTCATCACTAGGTTGAGAACATTAATAATAATAATAATAATAAATTGCATTGATTTAAAACCTCCTAGGCACTGGACATCACTTCACATGTATCCTCTCATTAAATTCTTAGGACGCTCTTTTGGTGGGCACTATTGTGATTGTTTGCATTGTGCAGATGCCTTATACAGATTAGGAGACCTGGACTTGCCCAAGAGTACATAGCTAGTAAGACCTGGGATTCAAGCTCAAGTCTTTCTGAGTCCAAGTATCAACTTGTGAATCACTATCTTGTCATCAACAATCATGGCTTAATCATTTTTGTATCTTCTATTCAGGGTCTAGCATCATGAAATGTTTATGTAATTGGACATTTGTTGAATACAGTGTGCCCTAGAATCTAGAGTGTGATAGCCACTAGGGAAGTTGGGCTTGTGTCTGGTGCCAGGATATATTAATATATAGTGTTCCTGCTCCCTCCCTGCTTTCAGAGGAACCAGAGAAACAAACGGAATCCCCAAGGAAAGGGTGTCATGCCTGCTAAAGGAAGAGATGCTAAGGGTGAGGGGTGTGTTTTGCACATAGTAGAACTTCAAAAAATACTCATTTGAGGATACCACAGTTTATGTATCCATTCTTCTGCTGATAAATATTGGGTTTATTTTCAGTTTTGAATCATTATGAATAAAGCTTCTATGGACATCTTTCTACATGTATTTTTGTGTATCTAATCACTCATTTCTTTTGCATATAGACAGGGAATTGCTAGGTCACAGGGTAGGTTCTGTTTAATTTTCTCAGAAACTGACAAAGTTTTCCAAAGGAGTGTTCCATTTTACACTTTCACCAGTAATGCGTCAGAATTTTCTTTCTTTTTAAGGCCCAGTGCATGTATAAATGTATATGTCACATTTTGTTTGTCCATTCATCCATCAATGGACACGTGAGTTGCCCCCACCTTTTGTCTATATGAATAATACTTCTATGAACACATGTGTACCAATACCTGTTTGAGTTCCTGCTTTCAATTCTTTTGGGTATACACTTAGAAGTGAAATTGCTGGATCACATGGCAATGGTATTTTTAATTTTTGAGGGAACCACCATACTGTTTCCACAGTTGAAACATTCCTACCAGCAGGACACAAGGGTTCTGATATCTCCACATTCTTGACAATAGTTCTTTTAGGTTTTGCTTTGTTTCAGTTACAGCCTTTCTAATGAGGTGGTATCATTGTGGTCCTTTTTTTTTTTTTTTTTTTTTTTTTTTTTTGCATTTTCCTAATGATTAGTGATGTAGAGCATCTTTTCAAGTACTGTTTGGTTATTTGTAGATCTTCCTTGGGAAAATGTCTATTCACATCCTTTACCCAATTAGAAAAAAGTCAGGTTTTTTTTTTGTTTGTTTATTTTTATTTTTATTTTTTTGAGGTGGAGTCTTGCTCTGTTGCCAGGCTGGAGTGCAGTGGCACGATCTGGGCTCACTGCAACCTCCGCATCCTGGGTTCAAGCGATTCTCCTGCCTCAGCCTCCCAAGTAGCTGGGACTACAGGTGCATGCTACCATGCCCAGCTAATTCTTGTATTTTTAGTGGAGACGGGGTTTCACCATGTTGGACTGGATGATCTCAATGTCTTGACCTCGTGATCCACCCGCCTTGACCTCTCAAAGTGCTGGGATTACAGGCGTGAGCCACCGCGCCGGGCCTATTTTTTTTGTTTTTGAGTTGTAGAAATTCTTTATATATCCTGAGAAAGTTGTGTTTTTGAATATCTCATTTAGTGCTCATAATAACATGAAAAAGAAGTATCATTAACTCAACTTTACATATGAGGACCCTGTAACACACATACAGAAATTAATTTTAGCAATTCATTCACTAAATACATATTTATTGAGTGCTTACTATGGGTCCAACACTGTTAATAGCAATGAGAATGCAATGCTGAGACAAAACTGACAAAGATCCCTGCCCTCTTACAGCATACATTCTAGGAGGAAGACACAGAAACAAGATTAATAAATAAAATATAGAATGCATTAGAGGTGATAAGTTCTAAGGAGAAAAGAAAATTGATTAGGGATGGGGAATATGTAATACTGGTGGGGGATGGGGAAGCCTGCAATTTTATATAAGTTGGGCAAGGAAGGTCTCCTGACATGATTTTTGACTGAAGAGCTAAAGGAAGAGAGTGGGGGAAGCATGAGAGTGTCTGGGAGAATAACTTTCTAGACAATAAAGAAGTAGAAAAAGGCAAAAATGTATATCTCTCTGGCTCCAAATGTAATAATAATACACTAATAATCACTCTTCTAGCCACTGTTGTCACTAGTATTTTTCAGCAAATATGCTGTATAATTTAAATTTTTTTTAAATTTTGAGATAATTGCAGATTTAGATGCAGTTGCAAAAATGAATGCAGACATCCCATGTACCCTTTACTCAGTTTCGCCAATGATAACATCTTAGAAAATATTATGACCAAGATATTGACATTGATAGAGTCAAGAAGAGTATGCCTCCGCCAGGCCCAGTGGCTCACACCTGTAATCCCAGCACTCTGGGAGGCCGAGGTGGGTGGATCACCTGAGGTCAGGAGTTCCAAACCAGCCTGACCAACATGGTAAAACCCCATCTCTACTAAAAATTAAAAAAAATTAAAAAATTACCTGGGCATGGTGGCAGGCACCTATAATCCCAGCTACTTTGGGAGGCTGTGGCAGGAGAATCGCTTCAACCCAGCAGGCGGAGGTTGCAGTGAGCCGAGATTGTGCCATTGCACTCCAGCCTGGGCGACAAGAGTGAAACTCTATCTCAAAAAAAAAAAAAAAAAGAGTATGCCTCATGTTGGCCCTACTTTTCCACCCCCACTTCTCCTTAAACTCTGGCAACCACTAATTTATTCACCATTTCTATGACTGTGTCATTTCAAGAATGTTATATAGATGGAATCATGCAATATGTAACCTTTTGGGGTTGGAATTTTTTCATTCACATAATTCTCTGGAGATTCACCTAGGTTGTTGTATATTTGTTATTTGTTGTTGCTGAGTAGAATTCCATAGTATGTATGCACCACTATTTGACTAACCCATTGAAGGACCTCTAAGTTGTTACCAGTTTTAGGTTATTATGAGTAAATTGCTACAAATGTTAATGTAAGGTTTTTGTGTGAACTTTGGTTTTTATTTCTCTGAGACAAATGCTCAGAAGTGCAATTACTGGGTTGTATGGTAGTTTTACATTTAGTTTTGTAGGAAACTGCCATCAACTTTCCCAGATTGGTTGTGCCACTTTACATCACCACTAGCAATATATGAATGTCCAGTTTCCCAGAATCTTTGCCCACATTTGGTGTTATTATTATTTTCTATTTTAACCATTCTGATAGTTATGAGTGATATTTCACTTTGGTTTTAATGTGCATTTCTCTAATTACTAACAATATTGAACATCTTTTTTCTGTTTATTTGCCATTTGTAGATTTTTCAGTGATATGATTATTTCATGTGTTTTGCTAATTTTCTAATAGAATTTTTAAAAATTTTTACTGTTGAGTTTTGAAAGTTCTTTACATGTTCTAGTTATTTCTTTGTCAGATATGTGGTTTGTAATTATTTCTCCACTGTATAGCTTGTCTTTGCGTTCCCTTATGGGACTTTTTCACAAAGCAAAAATTTTAAAATTTTCATGAGATCTAATTTTTTTAAATTCTCCTTTTATGGACTATCCTCTGGTATCAAGTCTAAGAATTATTTGTGTAGCTCTCCCATGTATGTTCTAGAAGTTTCATAGTTTTTACATTTTACATTCAAATCTGTTATTCATTTTGATTTTTGTTAAAAGGTGTGAGACTTGGCCTGGCTTGGTGGCTCATGCCTGTAATCCCAGCATTTTGGGAGGCTGAGGCAGGCGGATCACATGAGGTCAGGAGCTTAAAACCAGCCTGGCCAACACAGTGAAACCCCGTCTCTACTAAAAATACAAAAATTAGCCAGGCGTGGTCTTGGCCACCTGTAATCCCAGTTACTTGGGAGGCTGAGGCAGGAGAATCACTTGAACCCAGGAGGTGGAGGTCATGCCATTGCACTCCAGCCTGGGTGACAGAGCAAGACTCTGTCTCAAAGAAAACAACAACAACAACATGAAAAAAACAAAGATGTGAGACTTAGGTAGAAATTTTTTTTTCATGCATGTCCAATAGCTCTAGGACTATTTGTTGTATAGGCTACCCTTTTTCCATGCAATTATTTTTGCATCTTTGTCAAAAATCAGTTTGACCTTTTCGTGCGGGTCTATTTTGAGTTTCTTAATTCTGTTCTGTTGATCTTCGTGTCTGTCCCTCCAATTTACTGCACAGTCTTGATAACTGTGTTATGTGTTTTGTAATTGTACACATTAATTCCTCCCACTCCATTTCTTTTTTTTTCAAAGTTGTTTTAGTTATGCCAATTCTTTTGTCTTTCCATATACATTTTAGAATAATCTTCTCTATATCTATTTAAAAAAACCCCTTCCTCATGAAATCTTTGCCTGTGATTATGTCTTGAATGGCATTGCTTAGGTTGTCTTCCAGGGTTTTTATAGTTTTGGGTTTTACATTTAAATCTTTAATCCATCTTGAGTTACTTTTGTATATTGTGTAAGAATGGAGCTCAGTTTCAATCTTCTGCACATGGTTAGCCAGTTATCCCAGCACCATTTATTGAGCGGGGATTCCTTTCTCCATAGATTATTTTTGTTAGGTTTGTCAAAGATACTAGATAAAGAAAATGTAATACATATTCACCATGGAATACTATGCAGCCATAAAAATGAATGAGATCATGTCCTTTGCAGGAACATAAATGGAGCTGGGGGCCATTACCTTTAGCAAACTAACTCAGGAACAGAAAACCAAATACTGCATGTTCTCATTTATTAGTGGTAACTAAATGATGAGAACACATGGACACATAGAGGGGAACACACACTGGGACTTTATGGGAGGTGGAGGGTGGGAGGTGGGAGAGAATCAGGAAAAATAATGAGTGGGTATTAGGCTTAATACCTGGGTGATTAAATAATCTGTACAACAAACCCCTACAACACAAATTCACATATGTAACAAACCTGCACTTGTACCCCTGAACTTAAAATAAAAGTTAAAAAAAAAACCTTAGGGGGAGTTTCATAGGAATTGAATTAAAATTTTTTAGGAATGGAAGGAAAGTCTATTGTAATTACCCATAGCTTTCCTTATTGTGTTCCTTTTTTCATCCTGATGTTCAAAATTCTTTCTCTTATAGTTTCCTTTATGTTTAGATAATGTCCTTTAATCATTCTGTTAGGGCAGGTCTGCCTGTTCATTAGTCTGTTTTCACATTGTTATAAAAATACTACCTGAGACTGGGTAATTTATAAACAAAGGAGGTTTAATTGACTCAGAGTTCTGCATGGCTGGGGAGGCCTCAGGAAACTTACAATCATGGCAGGAGTAGAAGCAGGCATGTTCTTCACAAGGCTGCAGGAGAGAGAGAAGAAAGCAGGCAAAACTGCCACTTATAAAACCATCAAATCTTGTGAGAACTCACTCACTGTCACTAGAACAGCAGGGGGAAACCATCCCCATGATCCAGTCACCTCCCACCAGGTCTCTCCCTTGACACGTGGGGATTACAATTCGAGATGAGATTTGGGTGGGGACACAGAGCCAAACCATGTCAGCTGGCGACAAATTCTTTTAGTTTTCCTTTCTCCAGGAATGTCTGCATTTCCCCTTCATTCTTGAACGTTATTACCACTGGGTATAGGATTTTGGGATAATAGTTGTTTTCTTTTAGTACTTGAAAAAGGTCCCATTTCCTCCTGGCCTCCATGGTTTCTGATGAGAAATCCAGTGACATTCTAACTGTTTTTGCCCTATGGGTAATATGCTGTTTCTCTCTCACTGCTTCCATTTTTAAAACATTGTCTTTAGTTTTTAACATTTGAGTATAATATGTCTTGCTGTGGATGTCTCCCCCAATTTGGAGTTCACTCAGCTTCTTGAATCTATAGATTTGTATCTTTTTCCAAATATGGGAAGTCTCCAGTCGTTATTTCTTCTTGTAGTTTTCAGTCTTCCACCTTCTTTTCCTCTCTCCTTCCAGGGCTTGGAAAACATGAATGTTAGATCTTTTGATATAGTGTCATAGGTACCTAAGGCTCTGTTGATTTTTTAAAGTTTATTTTCTCCCTATTGCTTAGATTTTATCATTTATGTTGTTTTATCTTAAAGTTCACTGGTCCTTTCGTCTGCTCTCTTAATTCTGCTTTTGAGGAAAATTTTCAGTTATTGTATTTTTCAGTTCTAAGATTTCCATTTGCTTCTTCTTTATAGCTTATGTTTCTTTACTAAGATTCTCTATTTTTAAAACATATTTCAAGTATGAAAACATTTTTTACTATGCCTTCTCTAAAATCTGTGTCAGATAATTCTCACATCTTTGTCATTTTGTGTTGGTATCTCTTGATGCTTTTCATTCAGTTTGAAATCTTTCTGGTACTTGATATGATGGGTGATTTTTAAAAATGGAAACCTGGATATTTTGGTTATTATGAGACTTCTAATTTTATTTAAACCTTCTATTTTAACTGGCCTCCTCTGTACTTCCTCAGCAAGGAAATGGGGAGGGTGTCACTTTCCTGCCAGGTACAGATAGATGTCTTAGTTGGGGGGCTTCTTGTTACTTCTGCTTGGGAGTAAGCGTTGTGACTTCCTCCTATGCCTCCATGGATGTTTTCCTGGCTGGGAGGTATAGGAGTGCCTTGTTACTGCTCCCCATGTGGCCCCCATTGATATCACTGGTGGGGTTGCTTCATTACTTCTAGGTGGGGGTGAAAGTCCCATCTCTTCACTAGGCCTCCTCTCACATCATGGTATCATCTGATACCATGGTGGGTGGGAAGACTTGGGGCTACAGTTGGAGGATGAAAGTCCTGGCCTTCTTCTTAGCTTTCTTTGGCAGCACTCTGATATGGTGATGATTGGGGGCTTGGAGAGGCTGAAAGTCTAGGCTCATCAGTTGATCTTTGCTGGTGTGGTGGGGGTGAAGCACAGTTGTTTGTAAAGGTGTTTAGCTGCAGTAGAGTACTTATTTTCTAAAAGTTTTTTGTCTTGCTAGGCCGCCCACCTCCTGTACCTTTGATTAGAGACAGCAGACTTCTGTTAAGGCTCTTTGTGTCTGTTTCTAGTGACTGGCTTCCCCCACACCCACTCTAGGTTATATGAGGAAAAAAGAAACCCCGGAACTCACTGCCATGAAGTTCTTGGCATCCTGAGGTCCCTAGCAGTCTGTCTCCTTTTCTCCCTGTTTAGATTTAGGTTTATTTTATATATAATATCCAGGAGCTTTTGATGTACCTTGTAGGAGGAATAAAGAAAATACGTTTACTCCATCTTCCTGGAAATAGAAGTCCCTGTATAATTTTTTAAATATTTCCTTATTTCAATACTTGCTATATGTTCATGAACAGGCTTAGAAAGGTTGAGCAACTTGCTCAAAAGCATGTTTTCTGACCTGGCCACATAACTTATACAAACCTACCCTGCTTCTTTGTCAGTAACAGTGCCCACATTTACGGAATGCCATTGCGCTTCTGTCACTGTCCCAGTTGTCTTCACATACTCTATAGCCAGGTCCTTACATATTTCTGTCTATCTATCTATCTATCTATCTATCTATCTATCTATCTATCTATCATCTATCTATCCTCTCTCCCTCTAATAAGTTTTGTGTCCACATTCTGCTGACCCCTTTCTGTACATCTAATGCTCTTGCTGTCTCGTAATGATCTGCATTGGGATGGTCTTGTCTTTATAATGGGGACTTGCTATTCAAATCCCATGCTATGTTCTCTCTTATAAGTGAGAGCTAAGCATTGGGTACTCATGGACAAAAAGAAGAGAACAATAGGCAATGGGGATTACATGGCGGGGCAGGGGGAAGAAGGAGGAGGGCATGGGCTGAAAAACTACCTATTGGGTACAATGCTTGCTGCCTGGGTGATGGGATCATTTGTATCTCCAACCTCCGCATCACGCAATATACCCATGTAATAAACCTGCACATGCACCCTCCCGAATCTAAAATAAAGGTTGAAATAAAAAGAAAGAACTCCTATGTTGACAGCCAGTTTACCCATACAAATGAGGACAGAGTCAGGCTTTATGGAAATAGTGCATATCAGAATTAGACCCTCTCATGTTCCATAGTTTATGTAACATTTTTTTTTTAGTGGTTTGTCTCTTTTCAATAAAACAGCTCTTTTGGATGTGTTACCCGGAGCCAGTAGGCACAAAGCAGAGGGTCCACTTGCCAGGCCTATTCCCTCTCTTTGGTTGGGCACTGGCAAAACAAGTTGGAAAGACTATGTCTTTATCATTGGCCCACCCAGTAAAGTTGCCAGCAGCTGGCCTAAAGCATTTAAATGCCTGTCTGATGTAGTGGAAATCAAATTTCTGAATAAAGATGTTCAACATTGTATTGGTCTGAGCTTTAATTATCTTGCAATGTAATGGGAGAAAAAGCAAGAACCTTTAATTTTCTGTTGGTGACTGTCATTATGCAGCCCTTTCTGATGCTCATTTGAGAGGGAGAAACTGGTTCTGATGATCACCAAGACAGTCTGCGGCCTCTCTCATGAATAAAACATGCCATGTAATTGCAGTGATGCAGCCAACACACCTATATATGTAGAATCAATGCTTATTATCCCATCAATTAAGACAGATAATTAAACAAGATTTTAGGCTTTGCTGCTATTGGTAACCCACCACACACTAAGAGGGTCTGGAATCTCTTTGGAAAAACATGGGTTCTTAATTTAGGATTTTAATGCCCACAGAGTGTAGAATCTAAGCAAGAATGCTCAGCTTAGCTTAAAGAGGTTTGACTGAAAAATGGAAGGAATTGTTTACCCTGACAAGGAAATGCTCACTTCCATTTTCCTGAAATGGTTTACTTTCAGAGTAATCTGAAAAGGTTTAACTGTATACATTCAAACTTTCAATTTTTGAAAAATAAAAAACACATTTACGTGCTTTATCTACATAAAGCGGTAGATAGTGAAACATTTCCATCCTATTCCTGTGCCCCACCTACCCAGCTCTGTTCTTCCAGTTATAGTCATGTTAGCCTAAATTGGTTATAAAGTCTGAATTTCCTTTTTTTTTTTTTGCAAGAATATTCCATGTGTGGTTTTCATACAGAATCAAGATTGTTTTAGTTTCTTCAGGGGATAAGGCACAGAATAAGTGAAGACATCCATTTATAACTATAAAACCAGGTATCCAATGGAGGCATGATGAAGTGATGGTTTCCCTTCCTTTCTCTTACAGAGAGGATCTTACAGAGGCCATGGCCCCACTGCCTGATTTCTAATGAGCCATTTTCTGTGCCTCTGAGAGTGGGAGAATTCACAGAGCTGCTTAGCTCCATATCTCGAGGTGTTTGGAGCCCTCACTATTGTCCTGGTGGAGGTCTCGGCTGTCCTCTCTTCTGACCCAACAGTTAGTCCTTTCCTCGCTGCTCTGTTGCACGTTTATTTGTATCTACTCCTGCCTTCCCCCAGGGAAATGAAGTGCCCCGCCTGCACTCAGACCTTTATTTTTCTCAGTTTATGTCTCTAGCACATGACTTTTCAAACCCAGTAGAAGCTTTTTCTATGCTGGTGTCAGAGTTTGACACTAATCCATACTGAAGAAGTAAAATACAATATGCTATAAATTTTTATTGGTGCTACTGTGTTGAAGAGAATGTGATTTAACCTGGAGAGATTTGGATTCCAGAATACCGGCAAGATGTATTTTTTTAGAGCTTTTGTTTCACTCTATTTTGGAACTCATTTCTGCCATAATGTGCATATGGGGTTTAAAAAATAGATATTGTGTTGATGAAATTGTCCTTTTAAAACTCAAAACAGCTGGCAATATGTCTTCCTTGTGGCATGTTTGAAATTGGACAGATACAAGTAGAGATAAACTAATTGTAAACCAAAATAGCCAGTCTTGAGCCCAACAGAGATATTAATACACTCAAGAATCTATTTGGGGGATTCTAATTTCCCTAACAAAATATGTTCTCCTGAGATCTGACTTAGGAAAGCAGGCATCAGCAAGTTCCCTTGAACTCCTCAGCACTTGTCATCATAATAAATTGTTACATGACTCGTCTACCTGTTCAAATTCCACCACAATTTTAAGTTGCTAAGCCCTTTGTAGGTTTCTGGGGACACAGGGTACCTAAAAATAACACCCAAATAAGAATTAATTGATACCTCAGATACCTCTACCTATCATTGACACTGTTGATCAGCAGGAATTCCCGTCTCTTTATAAACTCTGAGATTTCTTTTCAAATGCCTAACTTGGAACAGGTGTTACTTTTGGGAGGAATGCACTGGAACACACTTTGGAACCATTTCTTCATAGGTGCATGAGTTACAATAAGTCTTCGCTTTTTATTACGTTCATGCATACATCTGTTTCCTTCCTTCCTTCCTTCCTTCTTTCCTTCCTTCCTTCCTTCTTCCCTTCCTTCCTTCTTCCCTTTCTTCCTTCTTCCCTTTCTTCCATTCTTCCTTCCTTCCTTCTTTCCTTTCTTCCCTCCCTCCCTC
Source organism: Homo sapiens (assembly GCF_000001405.40). Classification (NCBI taxonomy): domain Eukaryota; kingdom Metazoa; phylum Chordata; class Mammalia; order Primates; family Hominidae; genus Homo; species Homo sapiens. Next base: position 63,632,330 of record NC_000003.12, on the reverse strand, counting down.
CCTACCTCTCTCCTTCCCTCCCTCCCTCCCTACCTCTCCTTCCCTCCCTCCCTCCTTCCCTCCCTCCCTCCCTTCCTTCCTTCCTTCTTCCCTTTCTTCCATTCTTCCTTCCTTCCTTCCTTCTTTCCTTCCTTCCTTCCCTCCCTCCCTCCTTCCCTCCCTCCCTCCCTTCCTTCCTTCCTTCCTTCTTCCCTTTCTTCCATTCTTCCTTCCTTCCTTCCTTCCTTCCTTCTTTCCTTCCTTCCTTCCCTCCCTCCCTCCCTTCCTTCCTTCCTTCCCTCCTTCCTATCTTCATTACCAGAGTCAGTCATCATTTGGCATTCAAACCAACACAGGTTAAGTGCCGATTGTGTGCCAGGCACTGTGCCAAGGCCTTGGGGCTACAGATAGGTCCCCGCCTTCGTGATGTTTCCATTTTAGTGGGGAGACAGACATGTAAACAAACATGGACATTACTGACTTTGATGACAGAATCTGACACATCGTGGATGGAGTAGCATGGGTTGACATGTTTAGACAGGGAGCCACTTTAGGTTGAGACATCAGGGAGGGCCTTTCTGATTACATTTGAGCTAAGTCCTGAACCATGGAAGAGTCAACCATGTGAAGTGCTGGGGGAAGGGCATTCTAGACAGAGAGAATGACATGTGCAAAGTTTTGAGGCATGGAAAGGAGGCCACTGGGGCTGTAGCAGAGTAACTGAGAAACTGAGGGCTGACTTTCTCTGTCATGCTTGGGAGACTTGCATTTATCCTGAGGGCAATGGAGAATTGTAGAAGTATTGTAGATATGTTTAGAAAGTTGAGAATGTATTACAGTGAAGGATGGATCAGGGTGGTATGGGAACATGTAGGGACTTAGGTTGCAGACTGCTAAAATAGTTGACCTGTGATGAGCATCAGAAATAAGGCATTTGTACCAGGGTTGGCCGGAGATTGAGGGAGAATAAGGGGACAGGTGGGGTATGGGAGAAGAAGAAACTAAAATGACCTCTGTGTTGTTGGCTCAGGTAACTAACTATGGAATTGTTAGAGGTTCTCTGTGACTTATACAAGTTGAGGAAACAGGAGGGGTAACAGGCTTTCTGAGAGATGGAAAGGCGAAGAGGAGGAAGATAGCAGGCAAGTGCAGACAGAACGGCTGCAGGGACTTTCACGGAAGCACCCAGGAGGCAGCTGAATAAGACCTCTTGATGGTTCCTCCTGATCCATATAGAAGGCCTGGGCTGGAGACAGAGATGTCAGAATTCATTCACTCAGAATTCATTCATCAGACCCTGTGCTAGGATTCAGGGATATTAAGGTGAATAAGATACTTCTTCTTCTGAATGAAAACATTGTCTGGAGTCCAGGAGTGAGAAAAACAAAAGGTGACAGAAGAGTTGGTAATGTTCTAAGTGCATATACAAGGACAAGCAGTTTCCTGGGTAGATCCAGGTGGTTTTGTGGAGGAAAGCCCTTTAACCAGACAGAAAAAAGCATTCCAGGTAAGAAGAACAGCATTTACAAAGGCACAGAGGTGCAGAAGTGCAAGATGTGACTGGCACGTGTGTATGTGCATGTGTACATGCATCTGGTAACATCCAGGGAAGTGGCTGGAGATGTACCAAAGCCTTAAAGCAGTGACTACAAGCTCACATGGCTTCTGGGGCCAAGCTTGCATGGGGTGAATGAATGAAGGTGGCTGGAGGGAAGACTATAGGGAATAGTGGCACCTTCATCACCGTGGAGAGTATACGCTCCCTCTGACAAGACCAGAAACCTGAACTTCAGCCAACTACTGCCAGGGAGAAAGATGTTGGGACTTCTGAATCTTCTACAGAAATCAGAAATATAAAATCACTTCAATTTTGAATGTTGACCCTTGATTCAAACTAACTTTAAAACACTGGGCCACATGAAACACATCTGTGAGCTGGGTGAGACTGATGTTTGGCAACCTCTGCACTATCGATAAAGGGGTTGCTTTCATACCATTCTGTGCTTTCTCAGCTGGGCAGTATAGAGCTAGTTATAGCCTTGCTGAAGTCGGTAAACCAAGACACTGGGGTACCAGGTAACATTTCCAGGGGCGCTAGAACACAGCAATTTACTTCCCCTAGTGTTAAATGAATACCTAATGTGGACTCAGTGACATTCTTTCTCAACTCTTGAAAATGTGCCCCAAATTTACATTCACCCATTAGAGTTATGCTGCTCAGTAGGGTACCCACGAGCTATATGTGGCAATTTAAATTTTGATTTAAATTAACTAAAATAAAAAATCCACCTCCTTAGTCCTACTGACCACATCTCAACTACTTAATAGCGACTTGTGACTAGTGGCTACCATACTGGACAGTGGAAGTCTTGAACATTTTTATCATTGTAGAAATTTCTATTGAACAGTACTGCACTAGATTTAAAATTCTATATGGATGTAGAGTGTGTCCACTTTATCCATTGCTATATTTGGGGTAATAGGTATATAGTATTGAGCACGTAGGTGCTCAACAAACATGAGCTGATTGATTATTAATCGGCTGAGGTGCTGTTCTATGAGAGCCAGCTCCATTCAAAAAGTGAACTCAGGCAATATATTTATGTGTTGACACAAAACATTTTTTAAAAAACTATTTTGTATGCATCTTTCTAAAATCTAATTCTGTACTGTCTGTGTTATTTCAGATGGGAATAATCTGAAACACTTGAAGGATTACATAGTTTTCATGTTTCCTCGTCAATCCTTACCCTGAATGGTTTGATGTTCCAAAATTTCTGAACAGTTATGACTAAGCAAGTGGAGACACGCTCAGGCTTGGGGGCCATCGTTCTGTATATTGTATGTTTGCAACAATGGATAGAGTTGGCATACTTCCTCAAAGCCTCCAAGAATGAGGAAAGATACAGCATTCATCCAGGGAATAGAAAATGTCTAACAATCGTACATTGCCACTAAGGGAAACAGCGATGTTTAGGAGCTTCTACTGTGGATCAGAAAAAAAGATTCAAAATGTGGCTTCACCACTTAAAACTGGTATCATCAAAGCCCTCCTTTATTTTCCCAAATCACACTATAGGATGAGTACTATTGTTAGTCTCATTAAACAAAAAAGGAAACCGAGGCATAGAGAGGTTAAATACTTTCCCAAGACCGCACAGCTGATACTTGGGGTGGAGTTGTGATGCAAACCCAAGTAGTCTGACTCCAAGGTCAGTTTTCTTAACCACAGTGCTACTATGTCTCTCATTTTTGCCAGGTTTACTTACCTTCTGTGTGCCTCAGTTTCCTCATATGTAAAACAGGGATAATGTTACATAGCTCACACAATTTGTTGCAAGGCATAGTATCTACGAGCCATTGTTTGATCTGTTTATTTTTAAATAAAGGAATTTACTAAAATACAAAATCATGCTCAATCTCATAAGATAAATGCATTTAAACAATAAGGCTATCATAGTTTTTTCACCTATCAGACTGGCAAAAACAAAAAAAAACTTAGATAATAATTCAGCAAAGGAAGTGGGTAAAGAGATATGCCTGTACACTGCTGCTGGTAGGAGAGTAATTGGTAAAACTCTAAAGAAGGTATGTTAGTCTGTTTGGGCTGCTGTAACAAAATACCACACGCTGGCCGCTTAACCAATAGAAATTTATTTTCTCACAGTTCTGGAAGCTGAAAGTCCAAGATCAAGGTGCCAGTAAACTTGGTTCCTGGTGATGTCTCTCTTATTAGCTTGCGGACAGCTACCTTCTTGTTGTGTCCTCATATGGCTTTTCCTCTGTGCTCAGGGTAGAGAGAGAGATCTCTGGAGTCTCTTTCTCTTCTTATAGGGGCCAGTCCTATTAGATTAGGGACCCATTTTTACATCTTCATTTCATCTTAATTACCTCCTTAAGGCCCTACCTGCAAAACACAGTCACATTGAGGGTTAGGGCTTTGACATCTGTATTTTGGGGAAATATAATTCAGTTTATAGCAGACAATTAGCAATATCTATCACAGTTAAGAATACATGTATCTTAAATTTGACCCGAGAAAGCCAGTCCTAAGAATTTGTCTTTAGAATATATTTGTTAATGTGTACAAAGACGTGTGTTCTAGAATAGTCACTGCTATGATATTTGCTGTAGCAGAAGATTGATCTGACAGTCTTGGTGCCTTTTAACAGAGGATTCACTGAACCAAGGGCCAGCAAACTTTCTATGAAGGGTCAGACAGTAGCTAATTTAGGCTTTGCAAGCCACACAGTCTTTGTCATTGTAACGCAAGAACAGCCATTGATAATATGAAAACAAATGGTCATGGCTGTGTTCCAAGAAAGCTTCATTTACAAAAACAGGTGGCTGACTGGATTTGGTTTTGGGGCCATAATTTGCTGATTTTTGGTCTAAATAAATTATGGTATATATATATATATGTATATATATATACATACACACACACACACACACACACACACACAAGGGAATACTATGTAGTCATCAAAAGGAACATCTCTAAGAGATATAACTAAGTGGTTGACTGGATTTGGCTTTGGGCCCATAATTTGCTGATTTTTGGTCTAAATAAATGATGGTATACACACACACACACACACACACACACACACAAGGGAATACTATGTCAAAAGGAACATCTCTAAGAGCTATAACTAAGTGGAATATCATAATGTTGAAAACACCTATAGAGTGTCTACCAGTGCTAGGTGCTATTCTAAGAGCTTTCTAGGTATTAACTTCATATTCACAGTTTCTCTAGGAAGTAGCTATAATTATTATACCCATTTAATAGTTGAGAAAACTAAAACACATTAAGGAACTTGGTCAACTTCCTATAATTCATAGGTGGTGGAGCCAGGATTCAAACCGGGTTTGAAGCCCAACCTAAGTTCTCACCCTCCCCTCATACTGCTTCCTGGAACAATGTATACCCAAGACAGTAAGCTACCACTTAGGTATATTAAAAAGTGGGCATATCAGTGTTTCTCAACAGATTTTTTTTAATACCTCCTCTAAGGAGCCTTTCAAGTTATTTTTTTCCCTATGGCCTCCCCCCAAAATTTTAGTATCACAGATATACAAGATATGTGTTTATGTATTGCTTTATACAGAAAGAGTAAGATTTTTCTGCTCCCCTTCATCTGAACCAATTTTCACTGTTTTGGAGTTGATTTTGCCTCCAGTTGAGAATTCACAAATTATATATGTACTTACATCTTCATGGGCCATCTCCAGAAAGATCTATAAGAAATGGAGAGCAATTCTGGGTGCAGTCTGGGAGCATCATTTAGAAGAGGAAGGTCTCAGATTGTATTACTTTCTTCAAGAAATAAGGAGAACGTAAAGGAAAGTCTCCAAGTTGCCAAAACAAATGACTATCTTGTGAAGGAGAGTGAGGCCCCACAAGAGAGCACCTACTGAGCTCCCCTCATTTGTCTCAGGCTGGCTGTGGTGCAGGAGCGCTAATAAGGCCTCTCTCCAGGAAGTCCTTGATTGGAGGAGGGCTGCCATTTCTCATATCTGCCGGGAGTGCTTGTTTGTCTGGCTTCAGTGGCTTAGTTGACAGCCTCTTCTTCCCTTTTCCATGAAAGAGACTTTTGGGATTCTCTCTTCCCCACAAACAACTCCAAATTGGAAGAAAGGGATTTTGAGTGAGTTCATGAACCCTTTGCTAGAATAAACCTAGCCTGCCTTCATCTCTTTTGGAACCCAGAAATCCCTTTTGAGGTTATGGCAATAAAACACGCTTCCCATTTATTCTTTCTTTCCCAACAAATGAAGACTCTATTGGATCCTGCAGTGCATTTTGGAAGAAAGAAGTGATGGCAGGGAGGACTGATAGAACCAGGATAAGAACTTTCTTCTACTAAGCTTTACCTTTATCTGCTAAACTGTATCCCTTATCTGGTGTCAAAAACTCTGTGTCACGGAGAGCTGGTATCCCTAATGGGTCAAATCACTAGTGGCCCCTTCATGCATATGAATCAGTCGGGAGAGTGGAGATCAGCATGTAAAACAAATGAAATACAATGGGATGTGGTGGGGTGCAGTGGCTCATGCCTGTAATTCCAGCACTTTGGGAGGCTGAGGCTGGCAGATCACTTGAAGTCAGGAGTTTGAGACCAGCCTGGCCAACATGGTGAAACCCCATCTCTACTAAAAGTACAAAAAATAGCCGTGTCGGGTGGAACATGCCTGTAATCCTGGCTATTTGGGAGGCTGAGGCAGGGGAATCCCTTGAAACGGGGAAGTGGAGGTTGCAGTGGGCCGAGATTGCACCACTGCACTCCAGCCTGGAGAAGAGTGAGTGAGACTCCGTCTCAAACAAACAAACAAACAATGGGATGGAACAGAATTGAATAAAGTAGAAAGAGTAGGTCCCATGTGGTAAACATAACATTTGTTTTTCAAAACTTTGAATGTAGTTCCTTGTGTGTACTGGGGCACATTCAAAATGTATTTTTTGTAATTATTATGTAGTAGTTTAATTATAATTATTGTTAAGAGTGCCTCTCCTCTTAAGAGATGACTCTAGCACTTTGATTAATCTTTGTGTGATCATTTGTAGCTTGTGAAAATTCTTACCCCTCCAGACATTCTTGATTACATCACTCTGTTTTATATCCTTCATAGGGTATCACTATCAAATTAGCATATTTCTTACTTACTGGGGGCAGCAGGGGTGCAGAGGGAGAGGGTGGGTGCAGTGGATAATCCTTAACATGGTATGCACAGGTGTGAACTTCACGTGATCCCTGTGTTATGATCTGGAGATGCTGCAGTTTGCAAACAGGGCAACAAAAAACAGTGAAGTGGAAATGAACCAATGAGGGGCAAGGTTTGCAGGCCCTGCACTGCAGGAAGCCCTTTCTGTGTGGGCACACAGTGAGCGCTATTTATAAACATGCTGGAAACTTTCCAAAGGAAAGTTCAGACTCTTTTCTTTCCGGCTAGTCAATGTTACGTACTCTATGTTATAATAGTTTGCATATTTTATGAACAATCTCTAATAATAGCTGGTATAATGTATCATACTGTATTCATTCAACAAATATTTGAGTGCCTAGCCTATTTCAGGCACTGTTCCAAGTGCTGGGGATACAGGCATGCATAATCCAGTCAAGTCTCAGCCCTTGATGGAATTTATGTTCGAGTGGGAGAGATAGAAAGGACAACTAAACAAATGAATACATAATGTAATTTCAGGTCTATACTTAATCTCTCCCATTGGACTATAAAAACGCTGAGGCAAGAATTGTGTCCCGTTTATCTGTTTTTCCAGCTGTGTGCTGAATAACTGTATGGCACCTCGAGGATCCCATCTGTACACAGTACGTTTTCATTTACTAGAACTCTTCAGCAGGAAATTGGATGAACATTGGCTCCTGATTGGGAGCATTGTCAAAGTTATCTCAGTATTTGATCATTGAAAAGCTACCTGCTGCCACACATTAGTGCTAAGGACTGGGTTACTTTCTAACAAAAGTTAATATAATTGGTTGGAACAACTATCAATTTTAAGAACATTATCAGCTACTGAGAACTTTAGGGAAATCTGCTACTAAATTTACTTATATTCATTTTTATATTACATTTATATAAAAGTATCATAATTATAGGATTTTATTTTTATCCTTTACTGGTGGGATAATGTGGTAGGCAGATTAATAGCCTCCCCAAAGATGTTCACATTCTAACCTCCAAACCCGTGGTTATGTTATGTTACATAGAGAATTATGGTCACAGATGGAATTGAGGTTGCTAATTAGCCAACCTTAAAATAGACAGATTATCCTGGGTTATCCAAGTGGACCCAATGTGGACACAAATGTCCTTAAAAGTGGAAGAGGGAGGCAGAAGAAGAGGCTGGAGTGATGCCTCTCTGAGATGAACTCAGCCTGCTCTTGCTGGCTTTGAAGATGGAGAAAGAGAACCATGATCTAAGGAATATAGGTAGCTTCTAAAAGTTGGAAATGATAGGGAAAAGGACCTCCAGACAGGAACAAATCCCTGCCAACCCCTTGATTTCAGCCCATTATATGCATGAAAAATCTAAGCCCCAGGGATGATGAGGCCCTCTCCCAGGATCACACAGCCTGGTTCCAAAATTTGAATCCAGGTCCATCTGATTCTAAGCTGGAGATTATACCGGGGGGGTTAGAAATGTATGTGATCACTTTACATTGTAAAGCCAATGACAACATCTTTTGATGCAAAAGATGCAATCTAGCTCTTACTCCCAAGACAAAGAGTGACCTCAGGTCTCATCTGAGGCAATTGTCTGTGCTGATAAAGGCAGTTTCCAGGAAATGCATGTGGCACCATGCTGCTAAGTCCAGTGGAATCATGTATCAATACTAACCGTGAAATTTTAATAGAATGTCTAGGAGCTTCGAGAGAGCAAGATTAAGAAAGGACTTATAAAAAGGGCAGTAATGCTCAGGGCAATGTGTCAGCTATGGAATCTATCAAAATTCTAGAAGGAATATGACAGTGAAGATCAATCAGAAGAGACTTAACTCTCTAAAGAGATCAGAAGAGAAAATATCTGGGAGAAATGTCACTTCACAGGAAAGGAGGGAAAATATCTGAAATAAGAAAAAACATTCAGTTTGTATTTTGCATTTCTTATGTTCACCAAATTGGCATGACAGCAGGTGACATGTTACATGAGATTGTCTCTAGTAAGTAGGGAGATGACTTTAAATTGATATGAGCCAGTGAGTCTTGTTCACAGCACAAGCCAATTAGACCCTCTTAAGTTCCAAGTGGCCAGGCAATCAATATATGAATAAAATAGCAGAGGCTCAAAGGCAAACTCTTTCTCAGCCACCAGGAAATCTATTAGACTTATTACAACCAACTTAAAGGGTTTTGTTCAATAAGCCAAGGCACACATAATGGTAACCTGCTTATTTAAAGGAAATACTCAACTAGACATAATATTTTCCGCACAAATAACGAGACTTCCAGGAAAATAGCTAAAGTTCACTAGTCTCATCTTGGCCTTTTTATACCCAAGGTGTATTATTCACAGAGGTGAGTTCCAGTTGGGACTGGAGGAGCCAGGACATTCTTGAAAGTGCTTGCTGCCAACAGGTTCTGAAGAGCATTCAGCTAACTCCTAAAATCCAGCAAAGCCTCAGCCTCTAAGCCAAGCATGTTAAGAAATTATTCTTAGTTCTGCCGGACTTTTAGCCATCTTAAAGACTTCATTAACTTATTCAGTGAATTGGGTCTGACTTTATTCATGTTGATAAATGATGCTGACAAAACAAATTCCTTCCAACTATCAGGGACTCAGCATCACTAGTGAAGATTAATTGAAGCACCTGATGGTCTGAGTCTGTGCCAATTGCACCCTAGGTGGACAGACAAAGCTCATCAGCTTAAAACATAGTAGGTAGTGTGGTAGCACTTTTGTGATCTGGCAAGGTGGTTTAGAGCAAGGAGTTTTGGATGCAGAGAAACCTAGATTTCTGCATCCGCTGGGCTCTGCCCACATCCAGCTCAATGATCTTCAACAAGTTATCTAATCTCTATGAATCTTAGTTTTCCCATTTGTTCAATTGGTACAACAATACATTTATCTTGCATTTCCTGTGAGCATTAAATAGGAAAGTGGATATAAATTGAGTAGCATAGTTCTCTGCGGAATAGAGGCTCAGTACCTGGTAGTAACTACGAACTATTTTTATTAGTGAAGTTGTTCACAGGTATTTTGTCATTATCTAATTTCTCTATACTTTGGTTTTCTAAACTGTTACACAAGGGTAATACTAGTATCTGTCACATAGTGTTGTGGTTAAATGCAAAGTGCTTAACTCAGTGGCTGACACATTGTAAGCACCCAATAAATGTTAGCTATTGGTTTATAGTTGCTATCAAAAATTATCTTTCGATGTCTAGATAAAATCACATGAAATATTGGGGTTAAAGTCATATTTATATGCTAAGTAGACTGAGGAGTTGATGGTTAAAACAAACAAACAAACAAACAGAAAACCTCTTAGGATTAAAAGAGATTTTTGGCAAGCTATTTAACACTCCCAAACCTCAATGTGGCATACATTATTGGTGGCCCACCCGTATCCTCTTGAGACTCACCATTGCATGCATACTGACCTAATAACCCCCAAATGCCAGCACTCGCACCACTCCTCATGCTTTCTCCATCTGCTCTAGCCCATAGACAGGGTGATCGGAAAGAGCTAGGGAATTGCCACTCTCTTAGAGCAGCCCTTATTCAATGACTGACAGGAGCGAGCAGGTAAATATCACAGCTCCTTTTGGCCCAGGTTGGGCTGACTGGTGTTCTGCCCTGGGTTTCATATTCTCTAGCGGGACTGAGCCCCCGTTGCCCATAGCAATAATCTTCTCCATAACCCAAGATTTATTGTTTTCCTTCTCTTCTTTGGTTCACTTCCCCACCCTCCTACTTGTACTTGAATTCTTATCTCAGACAGAGTTGGCTTCTGGGTTAACTCGGTTTAGGACACTTTTTTCAAATGGGGACAATAGCACTTACCCTTTCACTGGGCTGATGAGAGACCACATGAAATTATAGATGTTATGAACTTTGAACAGTACAAAGCACTTTCTATAAAGTGAAGATTTATTATTCTTTGGCCAGTGTTTAAGATTTCCCCCAACCAATATTTAAGACCCAAGAACCAGCTGGAGCTGTTGCTGAGCATGAATGGGGCCCCCATCCTAACTCAGGCTGCCATATCCTCATCCAGGGCTTCTGGCAACTCATCCTGTACCCATCTTCCTCCAACCCTATTGCTCTCCGTCATGTCATCCTGGTTTATTTCCTCTTTAACATTGATCACTATTTGAATTTATCTTATTTTTCTCCCAGCACCTAGAACAAAGCTTAGCACATGGCAGGTGCTCCATAAATAGCTGTTGAATGAATTGATGACTTCATTAATCCATTCGCAGCATCATCCTTTATAGGAAGTTGCAAAAATAGTACAAAGTCCCACGAACCCTTCACCCAGCTTCCCGCAAAGGTGACGTCTTGTCTTATAATAGTACAATATCAAAGCCAAGAATTTGATAGAGGGATTTCTTTGAAGAGAAAATTAAATCATGTCATTTTCCTGTTTATTTGCCCACTGGCTTCCCACTTCTCTTAGAATAAAATCTGTTTCCATGTCCTCCAAGGGCCTTTATAACCTGGCTCTTTCAAACTCTGTAGCCCCAACTCCCGCCCCACTCCTTGCATGTCCAGCCCTAGTAGCTTTTTTCTCCTATGAGTCATTTGAAGGCACCTAGCAGTCTCCCCTCATTAGGTCCTTGGATGTACTCTCCCCTCTGCCTAAAATATTCTACACATAACTGGTTCCTTCCTATTCTTCATGTCCCAACTTACATGTTCCCTCCTCAGAGAGGCCTTTGTTGACCACTCTAGGCCACTCCTCCCCACCCTGTCCCTTGTTTCTTTTCCTTACAACATTAATCACAGTTCATTCTTACATGTCTGGTTAATTTACTTGTCTGCTATTTGAATCTTCCAATCTTGAGTGTAAGCTCAAAAGATGCCAGGTACTGTATTTTGCTTAATTCAGTACAATCAGAAGTTTGACTTATAAAAACTCAGGCTTCAAAAAAACCACAAGGAGATACCATCTTACTCCATTCAGAATGGCTATTATTAAAAAGTCAAGAAATAACAAATGCTGGTAAGAAGGGAAGGCTGGCCGGGCGCGGTGGCTCACACCTGTAATCCCAGCCCTTTGGGTGGCCCAGGCGGGCAGATTGCTTATGCTTAGGAATTTGAGACCAGCCTGGGCAACATGGTGAAACCCCATCTCTACCAAAAATACAAAAAATCAGCCAGGTGTGGTGGCGTGAGCCTGTGTCCCATCTACTGGGGGGACTGAGGTGGGGGAATCGCTTTGAGCCCAGGAGGCGGAAGTTGCAGTGAGCCAAGATCACGCCACTGCACTCTAGCCTGGGTGGTAGAGCCAGAGCCTATCTCAAAAAAAAAAGAAAGAAAGAAGGAAAGAAAGAAAGAGAGAGAGAGAAAAAAAAAGAAAGAAAGAAAGAAAGAAAAAGAGAAAGAAAAAGAAAAGAAAAGGGAATGCTTACACACTGCTGTTGGGAGTGTCAGTTAGTTCAGCCATTGTGGAAAGTAGTGTGGCGATTCCTCAAAAAACTAAAAATAGAATTATCAATTGATCCAACAATCCCATTATTCCACATATACCCAAAGGAATATAAATCATTCTATCACAAAGACACATGCATGCATATGTTCGTTGCAGCACTATTCACAATAGCACAGACATGGAATCAGCTTAAATGCCCATCAACAGTAGACTGGATAAAGAAAATGTGGTACATACACACCATGGAATACTATGCAGCCATAAAAAATAACAAGATCATGTACTTTGCAGCAACATGGATAGAGCTGGAGGCCGTTATCCTAAGTGAACTTATAAGTGGGAGCTAAACAACAAGAACACATGGACACAAATAGGGGAACAGCAGACACTGAAGTCTCCTGGAGGGTGCAGGGTGGGAGGGAGAGGATCAGAAAAAACACCTATTTGGTACTATGCTTAGTACCTGAGTGACAAAATAATATGTACATCAAACTTCCATGACATGAGTTTACCTATATAATGAACGTGAACATGTATCCCTGAACCTTAAATAAAAGTTAAAAAAAAATCCCCAAAACTCAGATTTTTGTGAGTGTGGATTAGGTTTATACCTCAACATTCAATAACAAGCTAACTACACCCGGTAGTGTACAGTTCATAAACCTCTTCCACACACAACCAACTCAGCTCCTATGAGGTGGGACTATCTGCAGCCCCCTTTGACAGACTAAGTGAGAATAGTAATGTGATACAGTAATCATTGATCACTGTAGTGGGTGATTTGCATGCCAAGTGTTGCTTTCCTTTGGTCAGCCTCTAATTTCAGCCATAGCTTGAAGAATTGTTCTGGTTCGTATTGATAGTGGCCCCCTCCCCACCTCACGCATGCACCTCCCAGGGCTTACCCTTTATCTTTCCTCAAGGTCCCTGTCCCCAGGAATGGGGGAGGGGATGGTGGTGATAGGACCCATACCAGTGCCTCTCCCCTTTCCCCCAGCCCACTGCTTGAGATGTTAGCACTCAAAGCTTGTTTCTCTGAAGTCCTAGGAACCTGCTCAGTCTCCTGGCAAGTGTAACCTGGAAACGTGGAAAAGTTACCACTGTTCTGGGCAACTCTCAACCAATAAGGGCCGGGGATTGGTAGGTGAACACTCCAGCTCCTGCTCCTTGATGGACAATTGCTGGAGCTGCTCAGAGAATTGCTGGAGCTGCTCAGAGACCCTGATGAAACTGAGCTCCTGCTGCCTTACCAGCAACAACATGAACACATCCTTTTATTGGCTTTGCCTCCTTTCCTGTCTCATTCTCCCCACTTTGTCACTCCTGACTCCTGGAATCAACTCCTTGCACCCAGCTCTTGTCTTAGTCTTAGTTTCAGGAAAACCCAAACCCAGAGGGTGCTTACTGTCTGCGAGAAGCTGTTCTAATTCCGTCACATGGCTAGATGGTTTATCTTTCTCATCTACCAGGCAGATATTGCTGTTATCCCCACTGTAGAGATGGGGAAACTGAATGAATGAGATATTAAGTATCTTACCAAAGGCATTTATTGATCTGCCCATATCCCCTAGTGTTTGAAGTTGCTCCCTGGGGTGTTAACTCTCCAGCATTTCCAGGCTGCACTTGCCTGTAGGCTGTGGCTTCAGAAAAGTCCCAGGGCTTTGAAGAAGGCTTTGAGAAAGAAAAAGGAGAGTTGAGGAAATGGCAGTGAGTGATTCTCACCCAGACAGTCTGATATCAGGGCCCACCCTTTACCTCCTCCTAAAAAATCAAAGGTGCAGGAAGGTGAAGTCACACCCTGAAACACAGCTAGTGAGCACTGAAGCTGAGATTCCAAATTAGTCTTATTGGATACATAGACTCAAACTCACCTGCCATTCTCTTTTTATGGCTCACACCTGTAATCCCAGCACTTTGGGAGGCCGAGGCGGGCGGATCACGAAGTCAGGAGATCGAGACCATCCTGGCTAACACGGTGAAACCCCATCTCTACTAAAAATACAAAAAATTAGCACAGCGTGGTGGTGAGCACCTGTAGTCTCAGCTGCTCTGGAAGCTGAGGCAGGAGAATGGCGTGAACCCGGAAGGCGGAGCTTGCAGTGAGCCGAGATCGCGCCACCGCACTCCAGCCTGGGCGACAGAGCGAGACTCCATCTTAAATAAATAAATAACAAATCTACTGCTCTTTTCTTGAAACCTGAAGGAATAAATCAGTTTAGCAAAATCCCCATTGGGTTAGAGCAGGTCTTTATTGCGAATCTGCGGTGGACCGTGGAAGCATGTCTCTATCTCAACCTGGGCAGGTAGTGTTTTCCATTTATCAGTGCCCAGAGTGCTTTGGAACTGCTAAGGCTGGTAAAAATCACTGCTGGTTAGGAGGATTTCTCCACTTTGCTGAGTTCATGACAGCTTATAAAGCAGAGGACACTTTCTTCTCCTGCGCAGTGCTGAAGGAAGCAGTCAAATCCAGCCATCGTCCCAGGAAATAAGGGGGAATTGGGAGTGGGGGTGGGAGCGGGGAGAACTCATACCACATCCCCTCCTCCCACTCCCAGCCTACTGCCTCCTAGATGCTAGGAGTTAAGGCCTATTTCCTTATCCTCAGGATGTTTTTCTCGCTTGTCCTCTAATCCACTCTACTCTGTAGCCATTGAGATCCTTTCAACATGCTAATCTCATCACATCCCTCCCCTGCTCAAAAATCCTTCAATGCTTTCCCTTAGCTTCTTTAGGATAAAGACAGAATTCCTGATTAGGCCTTCAGACAGATTTCACCCATGTCCCCATCAGCAGTCACACTTCCCAAAAAGCCTCTTGTTCATTAAACTCTGGCAACCCTATATATCCATCCTGTCTCCTACCATCCAAGAGCTTTGTCAGGATGTTCTCTGCCTGGGACACGCATCTCTCCCACCTTGTCCTTGCTAAACCATGTGTAGTCTTGAGGTCTGAAGCTTCTTGACTTCTCCCTAACTAGTTCAAACCTCTCTGACAGATGTACCTGTGGAATCCTGTGCCTCTGTTTGTTGCACTCAGCTTAACTGGGGTGTGATTATTTTAATGCCTGTCTCTCCTAATAGAGTGTAAGCTTCTTAACATACTGCCTGTTTTTGTTTTTTACTACTGCATTACCAGTGGCATGCACAGTGACAGGTGCATAGAATGGTGGAATGAATGAACAAACCTCACTGGGCTCATGAAACAAGGACAGGGTGACAGATTGGAGACACTGTGCATTTAACCCTTGTTTGTCATTGTTAAAGCCAACCAGGTTCTACTGTTGTAATTGTTCACTGTCCAGCCAGCACTGTATGCAATAACTTTATTAACATCAAATAGATATCACAATACAGTTTTATCCAACGGGATTCAGAAACTGGTTACAGATATCATCTAAGACACAAGGCTGTTTTGTGCTAAAATGCTTCCAACATCACTAATCACGCAACGAGTTTATACATCAATAACAACTTTTATCTGGAAATACAGATGCTCAGCTTGCCCTCTCTATTGGGTCCTGGTGTTTCAGCTGAGTTAAAACGAGGAAGTGACGATTGACATTTTCTTGATAATGAATACATTCTGGAGAATATTTCATGAGAACTCTCTTTGGGGTACAGAGTGGCATATGGAAGCCATTTTTAATTTAGGGGCTACACTAAAATCAGAATTAGTAAGTTTAGCTGTGACTTGAGAATTTTTAATAATTACATTGAGGAGCATATTAGCTTTACAAATAAACAGGATTTAAAAATATAGCTGGTAGTAGAGGTTCTACAGAATATTCTTTATAAATAAATACTTCAGCAAGGCGGTACCTTGACTATGGTATCTATATCTGCATCTCCATTATTCTAAGAAAACAACACTCCATAAACACAAAGAGTTATTGGGCCGTGTTATTTATGGTCCACAAGATAAGAGCCACAAAACACCATAGAAGGTTACAAGAATGCAAATATTTAGCTAAGTAAATAGAATAAATATTGGGCAGTTATCATATGTAGCACTAAATGTTTACTAATGGGGGAAAAGAAAAACTTAAATTTTAATTACAATGCATTCAGAACTTGGGTAAAGCCAGAGAGACAAATTTGCAAAGTATACAAAGTAGTGAATATATTCCTATAAATATCCATTTGACAAATTCATGGTGCAAACCAGAAAATTTTCATAAACACAGTTCAAATGTTCATTGTGTGGGAAAATGCTTATTCATGCACTTAAATCATATGATTTATCACATAAAAAAAGAATAATTTTCTGAAACAAATAACTTAGAGACTCATAGTCCTATAGGACTTAAAACTAAAAAAAAATAAGACATGCATGTTGTGATACACCAAATTGTCTTCTAGAAATTATTATAACATCTTTCACATCAAAATGCATAAGAAAACTCAACGCTATTTGATTTACTTTATGCATATTACATACTAGAGACTTTAAGCTACAAAATACTTCTACTACTTTAACATACATACAAAATGACCATGAAAGTATCTGTATATATAACAAGGTACTCTCCAATTAGCCATCTATGATGAATAATATATCTCCTCATGTCGCCTCATCTCTAAGTATCATTTTTCACAACCCAGGACTTGCTGCCTTAATGAAGACTAGAGAGCTCTGATTTACATTCAATACTCTCTGCATTAATAATTGATTGAAACCCTTAAAAAATTCTTCTGCCACTGAAATGGAAGATGGTGAGGCGACTGCAGAAGAATGCAAATGCTACTCTGTTAAATCTGATTGGTAAAGGAAGTGGGGCCAGTAGGCTGTTGGCCAAACTCATCTGAGGTTGGCCCCAAACTCGCCTGCTGACTGTACCCACTGCTTGATCCATAGCTGTCTTGGTTGTAACCACCTTGATTATAGCTGCTGGAGTGCTTCTCCATTGGATCTGAAAGATATCTCTGTCCCGAAGAATGCCAGCCGGTCTCCTTGAAAACAAACCATATGTTTCCAGCCCAGAGAATAAAGTTCAAGAATCCAAAGACCTGAAGGAGAATCAAAGCCAATGAATTGATAGACTAGACAAAAACCCAAGAAAAATTTCAATTTTGGAAAAATCCTTCACAATACAAAAGATCACTTTTCACTTTAATGTTGAGTCCGCTTCCAAGTTTTCCATTTGGAACCGGTATTTCATTTAGAATATTTGACCTTTATTAGACGCACTACATGTCAGGCACTACATAAAGGGCTTTATGTGTATCAATTCACTTGCTCTAAGAATCAGTCTAGGAAAAAGTTGCTATTGTCATACCCACATTAAAGATGTGGAAAGCTTGTCTAAGGTCGCGTGGCTTGCTGAGTAGTAGATCTGTGATCCAAACTCTCTTCTGGTTCCATAACTGGAAACCTTACTTAAGGCATCACTTATTCTCCAAATAAAGTATCCTTCATGGTGTGTAAGATTATTTCCAGATGGCACAGGGTTGAGAATTTTCACTTTAATAATGGTGCATTCATTTATAAGGCTATCTTCTCTTTATGGTTAGAGATACTGCTTTTGCTTTTCCATTTGTTGTAATCATATAAAGAAAGTGAGTCAATTAAAAATATAGGGTAAGCAATGGTACAGGTGATATGCAAATAAGCATATGCATGATAGCATATTGAGAGGTTGACTGTTCGAATAATTGCACTTTCTGTGCCTCTCACAGGGATAAGTGAATGTTGAAACCAGACTGTGAATAAAGTGCAGGTTTCAGAGAAGTATAAAATATTTTCTTAAGAACTGGATGTGAAACTTTCCTATGGAAATTCCTCTTACTCTCCAGGAGGGTGTCAGTGAGCCAGAGGACTGGGTGTCGCCTCCCCAGGGCCTCAGGTTTGATGGAAGCAGAACGGTTTGCTATTGCATGAGGCCCGAACAGAAGTCCTCATTCCATGACTTGTTCTGCAGCCTTTTCCAAGGCTGGTTGATTGACTTGGGAATTAACTACAGGCAGTCTGTTTTAACAGCCCCCTAATGGAGACAGGTAACAGTAGTATAACGCAAAGCTGTGATAACATTAAAGTATATTTAGTCATCACCCCCTAGCGTGACGCTGACCAATCAAAATGGACTTGGGCAGTGGCCACGGTCCTGGAGTAGGGTGCTGGAAGTCCTTTGCTGGGTCAATATCTATCCCTTAGTTTCTGGACAGTGAGATGATCCACAGTGGCCTGTGGGTAGTGGTGGCAGAGGGGGCACTGGTGTAGTCAAGAAGCTGGGCCTTGGAGACTTGGATCTGAGACTATCAAAATATTTCAATATTTTAGCAGCACATGAATGGAATCTTAGGCTTGGAGAAATCTCTATAGGCTTTGAAATCAAAGGCACCCTGGGGACTGTACTTTCTTGCCCTGCTACCTGGGACAAGGCATTTAGTCTGTAGACTTCATTTTTGTTTTTGTTTTGTTTCTTGTATGGAATGGAGACAAGAATTCCTTTCTTGGAAGGTAGTTGGGAGGATTAAAGAGGATGTGTGTAAAGTAGCTGGACAGTGCTGGACACATTAGCAAATACTTACTAAATGGTAAACTATGCTCTGAATCATTTTCTAAAACATTTCTGTGAATTGTACTTTGCAGACTTTTTTTTTTTTTTTTTTTTTTTTTTTTTGCTGCAGCATAAATTGAACTGAGGCACAAACAGTGAGACGATGTTCTTGAGACAATAGCCAAAATCAAGACTCTAGGCCCCCAACTGATCTAATTAAAGACTGGTTTGTACAGACCTCCCTCCTTCTTCCTTCTCTCCTCTTGCATCCTCTTTCCTTACTTTTTACACTAATTGAGAACCTATTTTGTGCCATGCTCTAGGCTACCTGCTGAGGGAGATACAAAACGTAAATAAGGTATAATAGTTGCTTGAACAAAATAAATTAGTTAACTACTGACAAAACTCTAATTTGCATACAGGACCATTTTACCATGTGCATGGTAACCAGAATATTTTCCGTTAAAAGGGGGATCTTGATTAAATTGCACCTTTACAAGTGTATGTCAATATAAGAGTATAAAAAATTATTGAGGTGCCTGGGCAACATAGCAAGACCTTGTCTCTTAAAAAAAAAAAAATTAGCTGAGCATGGCAGCACATGCCTGTAGTCCCAGGTACTCAGAAGGGGTACTTGGAAGGCTGAGGCAGCAGTATCCCTTGAGCCCAAGAGTTCCAGGTTATAGTGAGCTATGATTGCACCACTGCACCTCCCACCTGGGTGACAGAGCAAAACCCTGTCTCAAAAAAAAAAAGAAAAAAGGAAACAAAAGGAAAGGAAAACAGAAAAGGAGAGGAGAAGAGAGGAGAAGAGAAGAGAGGAGAGGAGAGGAGGGGAGTGGAGGGGAGGGTGGGGGAGGGGAGGAAAAATTATCAAGGGATCTTTTCAGTCATGGCTCTGTCCAGGGATGTAATTTTAGCTATTTCCTATCTATTGATCTTTCTCTTTTCCCTGTTACTATTTGGATTTTAAAAAAGAAAAACTTAGACATCAAGGAAATGCTACTTAAAAGTAAGAACGTAAACAAGGCATTTCAATGGGCATATTTAAGGAGTACTGATTTTTTACTCTAGCATCACAGATCTCTTGGCTGGCACATTTTAGGGTCACTTGGGCCCTTGAACTCTTTTTTGCTATTTTGTTGGAACTGAAATTGGGGTAAGAATGTGATTCAAGCTCAGACTTGGGGACAACAGAAAGAGAGATTGAAAGAGACTGTACATAACATGCAAACAATGGGGAGACAAGATCTAGATCGTCTAAAAAGATGTACTAAGATTTGTCTGGAGTGAAGCTGGAGAAGCAGAAGTTGAAATTATGGCCAAACTATTTGTGCTCAGTGAAACTTTGAAAGAAATTGAGAGACTAAAAACATTATTTCTTCCTTCTGTATTTAGGCTCTAACACTGTATGACATTTGGGAATGACCGTATTTTAGTAGCCATTTTCAGTTGACATGTATTGACCATTTGCCATAAGCTGGGCATGATGCTAAGTATTTTTTTTATAGATTATCTCACTGAATTGTTTCAACAGTATTGAGGTCTGTTGTACAATTATCCCCACTTTACAGATGATAAAACTAAGGATTAGAGAGTTTACCTTAGCTCCCAGTATTTGTAGTATCTGGATATCTTACCTACATTTTAGTGTTACTGTAAAATTATAGGTGCCAAAAAGTGCTTTGAAGATAGTAAATTTGTTACCAAGGTAGAGAATATGACTATTATTTCCTGACTCATTTACTTGTAGAGGTCATTTATTGTGGTATGGGTATGCCTCCTACTCCAAAACCTATGTTTGCCCAGTAAAGTGTGTTCTCTGAGTCACGTTTCTACTACATCATCCTCCAAACCCTCTATTCATAACTGATGAGACTGAGGTGGGCATCTGGCCTAAGGTGGGCAAAAGAGATTCTCTCTACCAGAAATTTGCAACTGGACCTGAGTGATTTTCATTCAGTCCAAGCCGTTCAGTCTTTAAAAAATACATATAAACTTAGAAACTGCAGAGTGGCTATCTTCTGCTGTGTGGATGAAAAAAAAGAAATAAAGTTTCACCTGAAAAGAGAGAATAATGTAACAAACATGCAGAAAGGGACAGGGACACAGAAAGAAAGAGAGATGAGAGATGGAGGATGAGAACTGTCCAGCTTCCTGGCAGCCTTCCAGTTCTTGGCTGTTGGGTTTTGCCCTGGGAAGACACACTTTTAATGTCTTTCCAACTATTTTCAGTTTTTGCATAAGCTAGCTCAGTATGATTTGAAGCCAAACAATTTGTAATAAAAATATTGTGTTTTGGTTCATTAATGTCCTTTCCCCTGCTTTTGGTAATAGAAATCTGATTTTCTTTGCAGAGCCAAGTTTCGGTCAAATGGCTTGAGCTCTCTCCTGGAACTTTGCATTTTGAGCAGAGCAATGCAAGGTTAGGTAAAACTTTCCACTAATGGCAACTCTAAGAAACAATTATTTGGTACTGAACATCTAGAACTCTCATTCTGCTCTAGATTCTGCTCTTTCTAGAACCTGTTTCTTCAGGTTTCATCAAGTTGTATGAGCGACTTAATATCCTTCCAAATACTTTTTTCCTGTTGTAGTTAAAATCAGCTTTGATTATTCTAATGCATACAAACATTGGTACCAGAAGTGGACTGCAAAAACAGATTTTAGGGATATGAGGATTGGTTTGCCTTAGCCAGTTTGAATTGAGTTTTCTGTCACTAGGAACTAGAAGACTGTTAACTGATATGGATACATCACTACAGCACCACTGGACCTGTCCTTTCACACACATCACATTATTTGGTTTCAATTCATTCTTTATTTTGGTTTTAGGAGACACATCACATTGTTTTTCATTCATAATTTCCATCTTTTAGTCTAAAAATTATTAGATATATCAGAAGTGGAATTAGAAGAACCATGCAGAACGTCATAATTTATTGGGAGATTAGTTATTAAACTAACAAACATATCAAGCAATTTTATTTTTGTCCTGTTAGATTTTGAGATCAGGGTTTTAATAGCTTTCATTAAATACTGTCTATAAACAAACTACAGAAGTATAAGTAAATATGGTAACGTATACCTCAAAGTGTTCATTTACAAGTGTGGTCAGCAATGAATAAAAATTATTGTGAGACCCTAATGCAGAGCTTATTTTCATGGTTACTATCTCACCAAAGCAGAAATCACAGTCCAGTCAGAGTAGCAACCCTTTCTCTCTTCTTAAGTGCCTTCGCAGATTGAATTTCAGAAAGCTGTAGAAACACAGGTTAATCTTGAAGCAAAGATAATTATTTCTAGGATGTGCTAAAGAATGTTCTTTCAGCAAACACTGCTGAGCCTTCTATTCTTCGATAACCGCTGCTTTTTGCTGCCATTATAGCTTATGTATTTCTCAGATACAGCTTCTTTCTTTGGAATAATAACAAATTCTTACACTTATAAATTAAAAATCCAATTTAGTGTCCCTGCTAACTGTCAGATTTTCTCTTTTCTTGTAAGAGCCATAACTCTTGATGATAACATTTGACTTTGTTCAACTAATACAGTGCAGCTTTTCCGAAGTTATAAAGTAACTAAACCGGAAGCATGGAGAAAATTCAAAAATTACCATAGCTATTATAAGTACTTTTTTACATTCTGAATTTATTTTTTCACCCTACTAGGTCTGTGTATTTTTCTCTAATCAGTTGGGTGTATTCCAGCTACATGTGGCTTGAACAGTGTTTTCTCCCCAGGAACTTGTATGCCCTCAAATATTCCTTTTAACTTTTGTCTGACTTCAACCTTAAAGTTCAGGTTTTTTTGTTTTTGTTTTTGAGACCGAGTCTCACTCTGTTGCTCAGGCTGGGGTGCAGTGGCCTGATCTTGGCTCACTGCAACCTCCGCCTCCTGGGTTCAAGCGATTCTCATGCCTCAGCCTTCCGAGTAGCTGGGACTATAGGCATGAGCCACCGTGCCTGGCTAGTTTTTTTTGTATTTTTAGTAGAGACAGGGTTTCACCATGTTGGCCAGTCTGGTCTTGAACTCCTGATCTCAGGTGATCCTCCCACCTTGGCCTCCTAAATTGCTGGGATTATAGGCGTGAGCCATTGCGTCCGGCCAAAGTTCAGATTTTATATTTGCTTCTGGCTTAGAGTTTCAACTGGACTGTCACCTAAGCAGCAGCTGCCAATACCTGCGGGGTTCTTAAGAAAAACTCCTTAATCGGCAACATTACAAATGATGGATTCTGACAATAAGAAACCTGAGGGCCAAGTGATCATCCTGTACCTGAGGTGAAGTATCTCACCTTTTGATTGGCCTAGTTTTGTAGGCAACAATTTTCAAGATGACTTCTGAGATGTTTTTCTTATTATTTTGACTGGCAAACAAAGATATGAACAGTAAAGCATAGATGAAAAATACTTACCACAGAAGTGTTTAAGCTTGACATAACAGGGCTGTGGATAGCCATGCATTTGTTGGATGGCTGTTTGCAAGCTGACATTAGTAGCAATACTTCCTTGGGATCCGTTGCAACTTTGACGTCAGACAGTCCTTTTGCCCAAGCTGATGAACCCACCAACCACAAGAACGAAAAGACTACAGTGACAATGAAGTCCTACAGAAACAAATCAGAATAGAAAATGGTAAAAGAAAATGTGAGTTCTAGAAACAAGTTGATTTGTTTATATAACTATTTGGTTTGCCTTTTGGAAAATTTTAAGATCCCATAGCACTGGAAACAAGGAAAACATTTAGAAAAACAAATAAAAGAAAGCCTTATGATATTATATTTATCTTTCTATAAAATAAATAATAATAGTAATATTTATTAAATGCTTACTATATCCCAGGAATGATGCTAAGGACTTTATAACCCACACCTAATTGTTCCTACAACATCCCTGTAAGGAATGGTACATCATCCTATTTGCAGATGTCAAACTAACATAGAGAATGGTTGAATAGCTTGTCTGAGATTTCACAGATAATTCATGATGGCATCAGGATTCAAACCCAGGCAACCTGAATATTGAGTCCAAGTTCTTAACCACCAAGCTGTCATGATTCCAAACCTTTAGACAGATCTGCTAATGGTTTAAGATTCTTTGATGGCAATGTTCACTCATTCATTCATTCATTCATTCGTTTGTTCACTTAACAAACCAATGTGTTATCTATATGTTATTGGTTAACCAATATGTTAACCAATGTGGAACTATGTTATGTGGAAGACAATAAGAGCTGTAATGTTTTTGAGTGCCTGCTATGGGTGAGAGGTTTTGTATAAAATTATTCTTACAATAATCATATTAGACAGTATTCTTATGCCCATTTTAAAGAGGAGAAAACTGAAACTCACAGATAAAAGGTAACACATAGAAAGTTGCAGAGCCAGAATTCAAATCTAGGTCTGTCTGACCCTGAAAATCATCTGCTGTTCGCAGGGGAAAGAAGCTTTTATCCATATCAAACGAAATTTCTAGGATGTAACAGGATGAGTATTGTAGAGACCATCTCCAAACTTCTGATGATGAGGGCTACGTCTCTCATCCTCCCTCATGACTCGGGTGGGGTGGCAGGCAGGAGAGACTGTCTAAGATTTAGACTATTAGAACATAGTATTAAAAAAATTCAGATTGACTATATATATGTTTGACTATTGTAAAAATGTTACATGCTGCTTACCTAAAATAATAAAAATGCCGACCAGGAAAGAAAAAAAGTATATTTGATATGCCAACAGAAACAGTTTGCCCTTTTGTTCTTAATAATAACCTCCTCAAGTAGAAAATTTGGCATGTGTTTCTTTCCTGCCCGAGGGCATAGTGCATCTGACTTGCTCTGTATCTTGCTCTCATGGTGTGGCTGAATTACTTTTCATCACGATCCCATGATCTACACTGAGGGAACTTTTACACTCTATAGATGCTGTGGTGCCAGACATTTGTTAGGTGTGATCTTTGTGGAGAATGTTCTGGAGGGTCTCACTACTAAGAGTAGCTGAATCTTCTGCAAGTCACTCCATCCAGTGGCTGTTGTGAATTACGTAACTGACCAGTTTACCTTTTTTCATGTTGGCTCTAGAAAACTAAGGGCCAATGTGTGACCCATTCATAGGGTTTTGATGGCATGGGTATTTTAACCTGATTCTTTGTTTTGTTTTATATTCCCTTTCTTCTTTTTACTTTTCATTTTCATTCAATTACACCTTGGTTTTTAAATGTCCTTATGAGCCTTTCTGAGATGAGGTAGAGGTATAAACAAGCAAACAAATACAATATCTACAGCTGTTTCAACAGTAATACAAACATTTGGAATAAAGAAACTCAAGTGTTTGGGTCTGAATTTGAAATTGGAGGAATAGTTACAAATAAATAAGCCAGACTGACTGTGTCAAATCATGACTTTCTGTTCATGTTCAATCTGGTACCTTCATTCATTCATGCTTTTATTCAAATAGTAATTTTTGAGTAATGTGCTGAGTATTGAGGAAGGTCTTACAGAGGATTAAAAAATGCAAAATATGGGCTCTGTTCTCTTGACAGTACATATTTGTTAGGGCCCACAGTTACCTTAAAGCATTACCTATAGTATGATGGTTTTCATTATTTATATTCATCATAATTAGAAATAGACTTGTAGAAAGGCCCATAGAATGGGGAAACACTTAAAAAAGAATAGTCATGTGAAGACCTTTCAATTGGAAATTGGAGAAAACTGTTAGATTTCTTTGTTCAAATAATAATATTCATATGTAACATTTATTGAGTGCTTATGATGTGTCAAGTATTATTCCAAGTTTATATGTTTTGACTCATTTAATCCTGACAACTGCACCATGAAATAGATACCAATCCTGACCCCATTTTACAGTTGAGGAAATGGAGACACCAAAGGTTAAACAAATTGGTTGAAGTCATGAATGAATAAGTGGAGGAGCAAGGATTCTAAGCCTGGCCATCTGCCTTATGGAATACTGATCTTCCTATTTAAAATGAAGACACTAAAAAGTTTTTTTAAGTTGGTTTTGACTATAATCCCAGCATTTTGGGAGGCCAAGGCAGGATGATTGTTTGAACCCAGGAGTTCAAGACCAGCCTAGGCAACACAGTGAGACTTCATCACTACAGAAAATTAAAAATTTAGCTGGACATGGTGGGGCATGACTGTAGTCCTATCAACCTGTGAGCCTGAGGTGGGAGATCGCCTGATCCCAGGAGTTTGAAGTTGCAGTGAGCTATGATTGCATCACTGCACTCCAGCCAGTTCAGCCTGGGCAACAGGATGAGATCTCATTGCTAAAAAAAAAAAAAAAAAAAAAAGAAAGGATTTGAGGTCCTGCTTAATTTAAATATAAAAAATAGTAAGAAGTCCTTTTCCATAAACAAGCTTCTGATTGAAGTCAAGGATCTATATCTTCAGAATAAACATGGTATTTTAAGAAGCTGGTTCAACCTTTTATCCCTTAGTGCCATTTTGTAAAGAGGCATCAGTAATATAACTAAGTTTCTCTTATCTGAGTTAAAAGTTCAGACTTTGTCATTAGGCAGACCTGGGTTTTAGTCCTTACTTTGACACTTACTACCTGTTACCCGTGTGTCCATTTGCTAGACTACTTGAGGCCTCAGTTTACCTCTCTGTAAGTTGAAATAATAACAGTAACCCTCTTGTAGGATGATAGTGAGGATAAAATAAGTTAGTATAAATCAAATGTTTAGCACAATGCCTGGTAAATAGTGAGTGACAAATAAATGTAAACTTTTATATCACGAATAAAAGCAATAATGACAGCAACAACAATAATACAAATCATATAAGGCTATGGAGCGGGAACATACATGCCCCATAGCAGGGACCTGTGATCACTCCAGCGGCATAGGCCCTCTGTCTGCTGCTCAGACTCACCAAGAGCATGTGTAGCTTAAAGCTTTAACCTGGGCACTCCCATCTCTTGGGACCCACATGGCTCCTTCTTCTTTCTTTCTTCAAATCAATGCTCAAATTTCATTGTATCATGATGCTTTCTTTCCCACCACATATAAATAGCATCCTATGTTAAATTCCCTATGTTCCTTTTCCAGTTTCATTTTTCTCAGTTTCATGTTCACCAACTGGTACATTATATATTTACTTGCTTGTATCTTGTGGGCAGATTTTTGCCTATGATGTTCATTACTGCCTGCCCATCACAAAGAATGGTGCCTGACGCATAGCAGCTGCTCAATAAATATTTCTGAAATGAATGGCTGTAAGAGGAAATGTTTCTGATAGACTGAAGTAGAAATAGCAGTGTGGAAACCTTTGCACACAGGCCAGGGCCTTTGCACTTGCTGTTCCCTCTGTCCAGAATTCCTTTCCTATCCCTTAGGGCCATCGTGTAGAAGGGCAAATTCCTGTCTTGGGGACTTCACACTTGCTATTCCCTTGGCCCAGAATTCCTTTCTTATCCTTTATAGCCATATGACCTGCTTTATCACCTTAATTGGTCCTCATTAATGGTCCCCTCCCCAGATAGTCTTTCCTGAGCCCTGCAATTAAAATGTACACCTTTCTCTCTATCCCCTTATTCTTTTTTGCTCAGCACTTTTCACAATTTGGAACAGTTTATTTGCCTACTTCTTCCCATAAGATGTCAGTTCCATGGATGCAAGCATTTTGACTACCTAGCTCATTTCTGGTTCTTGGCAGAGAGGTGCCATCAACATTTGTTGAGTGAAAGAATGAATGAAGGAATATATAAAATGATCGCAATTTTGTTAAAAAATATATTGATGTATATAACATTACATAAGAATATATCAAGTGGCAATGGTAGAATTAGAGATTTCTTTTACATAAGCTTATGTATGTAAAAACTCATTTTATAATTAGAGCAAATAATCAAGGCACTGGCCAATGGTTTTCCCAAACAAAACTTCACATGGCAAAATTTGCCCTTACAACAGCAACAAGATTTTAATTAGATCAAATAATAATGTAATTAAAATTGAAATTTTTACCATCCTCAGTAAATTTTTGAAAATCATATCAACAATGTTCATGTACCACAGAGCAATAAAAATAGAAATCAGTGCTAAGAAAATCACTCAAAATAATACAATTGGATGGAAATTAAACAGCCTGCTCCTGGATAACTTCTAGGTAAATAATGGAATCTAGGCAGACATCAATAAATTATTCAAAGATTAGAACAAAGACACAACATACCAGAATCTCTGGGACACAGCGAAAGCAGTGTTAAGAGGGAAGTTTATAGCACTAAACACCCACATCAAAAAGTTACAAAGATCTCAAATTAACAACCTAATATCACAACTAGAGGAACTAAGGAAACAAGAGCAAACCATCTCCAAGCCAGCAGAAGATAAGAAATAATCCAAACCAGAGCTGAACTGAAGGAAATGGGATGTGAAAAACCATACAAAAGATCAATGAATCTTAAAGTTGGTTTTTTGAAAGAATTAATAAGACAGATAGACTGGTAGCTAGACTTGTAAAGAACAAAATAGAAGTTCCAAATAAACACAATCAGAAATGACAAAGGGGATATTACCACTGACTCCACAAAGATGGAGTGGAGAAACTACTCAGAAACTACTATGAAAACCTCTATACGCACAAACTAGAAAACCTAGAAGACATGGACAAATTCCTGGAAATTTCCCAAGATTGAACCAGGAGGAAGATGAATCCCTGAACAGACTAATAATGACTTCTGAAATTGACTCAGTAATAAAAGGCCTGCCAATCAGTAAAAGCCCAGGACCAGATGGAATCACAGCCAAACTCTACCAGATGTATAAAGAATTGGGACCATTCCTACCAAAACTATTTCAAAAAATTGAGGAGGAAGGACTATTTCCCAGCTCATCCTATGAGGCCAACATCATCCTGATAACAAAACCAGGCAGAGACACAATTAAAAAAGAAAACACTGTTCATCAGGCCAATATCCTTGATGAACATAGATGTAAAAATCCTCAACAAAATACTAGCAAACTGAATCCAGCAGCACATCAAAAAGCTAATTCACCATGATCAAGCAGGCTTTATCCCTGGGATGCAAGGTTGGTGCTACATACACAAATCAATAAATGTGATTTACCAAATTAACAGAACTAAAAATAAAAACCACATGATCATCTCATTAGATGCAGAAAATGCTTCCAATAAAATTCAACTTCCCTTCATGTTAAGAACCCTCAACAAACTAGGCATTGAAGAAACATACTTCAAAGTAATAAGAGCTATCTATGACAAACCCACAGCCAACATCATACTGAATATACAAAAGCTAGAAGTATTCCCCTTGAAAACCAGAACAAGACAGGAATGCCCTCTCTAACCACTCCTATTCAACATTGTGTGGGAAGTCCTAGCCGGAGCAATCAGGCAAGAGAAAGAAATGAAAGGCATCCAAATAGGAAGAGAGGAAGTCAAACTATCCCCTTTGCAGATGATATGATTCTGTACCTGGAAAATCTCATAGTCTCTGCCCAGAAGCTCCTTTATCTGACAGACAACTTCGGCAAAGTTTTAGGATACAAAATCAGTGTACAAATATCAGTAGCATTTCCATACACCAATAACATCCAGGCTGAAAGTCAAACCAAGAACACAAGCTCACTCACAATAATCACAAAAAGAATAAAATACTTAGGAATACAGCAAATCAGGGAGATGAAAAATCTCTACAATGAGAATTACAAAACACTGCTGAAATAAATCAGAGATGACACAAACAAATGGAAAAACATTCCATGCTCATGGAGAGGAAGAATCCATATTGTTAAAATAGCAATACTGCCCAAAGCAATTTATAGATTCAATGCTATTCCTATCAAACTATCAATGACATTCTTTACAAGATTAAAACAAAACTATTTTAAAATTAATATGGAAAAAATGAGCCTGAATGACCAAGGCAATTCTAACCAAAAAGAACAAAGCTGGAGGTATTACTTTACCCAACTTCAAGCTATACTATAAGGCTACAGTAACCAAAACAACATGGTACTGTTATAAAAACAGACACATAAACCAATGGAACAGAATAGAAAGCCTAGAAATAATTTCACACACCTACAACCATCTGATCTTTGACAAAATTGTGAAAAGCAAGGAATGAGGAAAGAACTCCCTCTTCAATAAATGGTGCTAGGATAACTGGCTAGCCCTATGCAGAAGATTAAAACTGGACCCTTTTCTTACACCATATACAAAAACAACTCAAGATGGATTAAAGACTTAAATTTAAACCCAAAACTATAAAAACCCTAGAAGATAACCTAGGAAATGCATCCTGGACATAAGAGCTGGCAGAGATTTCATGATGAAAACACCAAAAGCAATTGTGATAAAAACAAAAACTGACAAATGGGAACTAGTTAAACTAAAGAGCTTTTTTTGGACAGCAGAAGAAACTATCAACAGAGTAAACAGAAAACTTACAAAATGGGAGAAAATATTTGCAGACTGTGCATCTGTCAAAAGTCTAATATCCAGCATCTATAAGGAACTTAAACAAATCAACAATCAAAAAACAAAGAACCCCGTTAAAAAGTGGGCAAAGGACATGAACAGACGCTTTCAAAAGAAGACATACATATGGCCAAGAAGCATATGAAAAAGTGCCCAACATCACTAATCATTAGAGAAATGCAAATCAAAACCACAAAGAGATACCATCTCACACTGGTCAGAATGGCTATTATTAAAAAGTAAAAACAAAACAAAACAAAAAAACAGATGCTGGCAAGGTTGCAGAGAAAAAGGAATGCTAATACACTGTTGGTAGGAGCGTAAACTAGTTCAACCATTGTGGAAAGCAGTGTGGTGATTCCTCAAAGAGCTAAAAACAGAACTACCATTCAACCCAGCAATCTCATTATTGGGTATATACCCAAAGGAGTATAAATCACTCTACCATAAGGACACATGTATGTGTATGTTTACTGCCACACTATTCACAATAGCAAAGACATGGAATCAACCTACACTAGCTAAAGAAAATGTGGTACATATACAGGACAGAATACTATACAGCCATAAAAAAAGAATGAGATCATGTCCTTTGTAGCAACATAGATGGAGCTGGAGACCATAATCCTAAGCAAACTAACACAGGAACAGAAAACCAAGTACTGCATGTTCTCACTTAAAAGTGGGAGCTAAAAATTAAAGTACACGTGGACACAAGGAAGGGAACAACAGAAACCAGGGTCTACTTGAGAGTGGAGGGTGGGAGGAAGGTGAGGATCAAAAAACTACCTTTTGGGTTCTGTTACCTAGATGACGAAATAATTGGTACACCAAGCCCCCGTGACATGCAATTTACCTATACGATGAATCTGCACATGTACCTCTGAACATAAAATAAAAGTTTAAAAAAAGAATTGAGAATTTTTACATCAAAGGGTTTCAGACAGCAACCTCACAACAGGTTTTCTTTTCTTTTTTTTTTTTTGAGATGGCGTTTTGCTCTTGTTGCCCAGGCTGGAGTGCAATGGCACGATCTCGGCTCACCACAACCTCCACCTCCCAGGTTCAAGCGATTCTCCTCCCTCAGCCTTCCCAAGTAGCTGAGATTATAGCCATGTGCCACCAAGCCCGGCTAATTTTGTATTTTTAGTAGAGATGGGGTTTCTCCATGTGGGTCAGGCTGGTCTCAAACTCCCGACCTCAGGTGATCTGCCCACCTCGGCCTCCCAAAGTGCTGGGATTATAGGCGTGAGCCACTGCACCCAGCCATGGCAGGTTTTCTTTAACTAAGCAAAGTATGGTGATGGGGAGACTAGGTCAAAAATTCTGAAGAATATATAAGCCTGAACTTCTGTATTTTTTGGCTTTGGGCATTGTATTAGTCCTTTCTTATGTTGCTATGAAGAACTGCCAGAGACTGGGTGATTTATAAAGGAAAGAGGTTAAATGGACTCAGAGTTCTGCATTGCTGGGGAGGCCTCAAGAAACTTACAATCATGGCAGAAGGTGAAGGGGAAGCAAGGCATCTTCTTCACAAGGCAGTAGGAAGGAGAAGTGAAAGCAGGGGAAATGCCAGTTGCTTATAAAACCATCAGATCTCATAAGACTCACTCATTAACATGAGAACAGCATGGAGAAACTGCCCCCATGATCCAATTACCTCCATCTGGTCCTGTCCTTGACACATGGGGATTATGGCAGTTAGGGGATTAAAATTCAAGATGAGATTTTGGGTGGGGACACAGCCAAACCATATTAAGCATAAACCTGAGTTTGAGGATACCTTGCAGAAAGTGAGATGTGGGAACAAATAACCTGACACCACTTCCCTACATTGTCCCACCTCCTGCTGAGGCTCCCCACTGGCCAAACCCAGCTGGTATCCAGAGGGCAGGGAGCCCATTGATTTGACCCATGCCTGTCCCCTCCTGGCACAGAGCATGATGTAGAAGGGCAGAGAGGAGATCAGAAGCTCTCCAGAACTGGTGGCTGTTTTAGGAGCAGCAGCAGTAGCTGCTGTCCGTATTTACTGAGTGCTTCCTATACGCCAGCACTCTGCTAAGTGCTTACCAACATCATTCATCTTATGACGTAGGTACTACATTATCCCCATTTTACTTATGAGGAAACTAAAGCATAGACAGCTTAAATACTTTCCTTATAATTGATGGCTGGCTTGTCTACCACAGCGTATCACAAGCTTTCCAAAAATTTGGGAGAAAGATGATTTTTGGTATATTTTATGTGAATAATAACTTTAAGTGATGTTCTCTAAATTTTAGTCAGTTTGGTACTACCTAAACAATTTTGATTTTGTCCACATATCTCCTGTGTTATTGCTTAATATTTCATTTAAAGCAAATTATGCTTTTTACATAGCTATCTTAGAAATTATATGTACTACTTAGAAATTATATGTGTACTATAAATGTTAAACCAATATAGCTTCTCACTGATAGAAGAAAATTGCAAGCATAAATACTATACAGTAAAAATAAAATATCTTAAATTCTAGCTGGAGATGGTTGTCCAAGGCTTTGGAGCCTAGAATTTTTATACTGGGAGATTAACATGTGTTAGAGGAGTATTAATGAAATACCGTCATCTGTCACTTAACCGACAGGGATACGTTCTGAAAAAAAGGTGATTTCATCATTGTGTGAACATCATAGAGTGCACTTACCCAAATCTAGATGGTCTAGCCTACCATATGCTTAGGCTATGTGGTATGGCTTATGCTCCCAGGCTACAAACCTCTACAGCATGTGAATGTTCTGATTACTGCAGGCAATTGTAACATGATGATGATAAGTATTTGTGTATGTAAACACATCTACACATAAAAAAGGTACAGTAAAAATATAGTATAAAGGATAAAAAATAGTACACTTAGATAGGGCAGTTACCATGAACGGAGCTTGCAGCACTGGAAGTTGAATGTGAAGGCCTAGGACAGACATTATTGTGCACTACTGTAGACTTTATAAATTCTGTATGATTAGACTACACTAAATTAATTTTTAAAATAGAGTGATTATGCTACCATAACATTATGATGGCTATGATGTCACCAGGGGATAAGACTTTTTCAGCTTCATTATAATCTAATGGGACCACCATCATATATTGTTGGTGATCCATTGCTGACCAAAACATCCATAATGGGGTACATGACTGTACTAGCATGATCTAAGCAGAAGGCTTGCAGTTAAATTGAATATGGGATAACTTTCTCATTTGTGTTATTTAATGCTATGTAATGGTCTGCCTGAGTAGTATCAGGAGAAGTAAATGGCTCACACTTGAGAAGTGGATTTCTTCTGATGGTTCAAACAAGAATCCAATTGTTTACAAATATGATCCCTGTCAGTCTAAAAGAGATAGTGTGGATATGGAAGACACATTTTTAACATTTACTGCTAGGTTATCATACATACATTAGGCCTTTGAAGACCTTTTCTGCTCACTTTTCATGTGTTATTTATTCCCATAGAGTGAAGAGGCTGCCCTTCAAAATGTGCTTCAGTGCTTCCAAAAGGTGCTCATACTTTTGTTCTATGTGGTCCCCATAAAACCCCAAAAATAGTCAGAGGAGGCATCACTGGCCTTATACTACAGATGAAGAAACTGCGGCCAGGAGTATTAAGAGATTTATTTGCCCATAGTTCATAACATGGTTCATAAATATACTCTGAGCTATTCATCTCAATCGGTACCCAAAGAACTTTGACAGGAAACCTGGATGTGTTTCTGCAATATGTTTTAAGTATCTGTTCAGTGAACCAAGAAACAGCTTCCTCAATCAAGGAAGCAGCCTGGTTTAATGTTGGCTGGGTGGTTTGTTTCCATTCAGTTTGTTGCCCTCACTTTTCATAAGTTGCTGTTAGCAAATATATTTTTTTCTAAATGTAATTAATAGTATGAATCTTGGTGTCTGGGATCACCCTGGGGTATAGAAAAGGGAGTCATCTTTGGTGACAGAAAATTTAGCATTTCAGACCAGGTAAACCTGTCTCCATCTCTTTCTAATAGTGGCACAAGCAACTCCACTGGATATTGATAAAAAATAAACAAATATTCAATTTCTACCTATTAGTACATATAACCAATATTTTAATCCAATGACTTTATTGTCTGTTTTGGCTACTTGATGGCTTTGTTATTTATTTCTGTTGCTGACACTTTTATACAGAGAGACTACACTAGAAATTGGACAGTTCAGAGAGTCACTCTCATCCACACTGTAAATGGATCACTTTGCTAATTCAGCCTCCAAGAATTTTAGAATGACACTATGGATCAGGAAACACAGAAAGCAAATAGCAAGATGGCAGCTCAGCTGGGGGCAGAGCTTTGGACTTGTCTTGGAAGGGAGCTAAAAAATGGATAGACAGGACAAGTTTCTGTTCTATCCACTTATGGGATTGTTTCCTTATTTCATTTGAAGTGTTAATAATAATGACAACTGACTTCCAGGGAGCACCTACAGTTTTCAACGAAGATCGTATGACCTTCACAACAGCTGTGTGAGGGAGATTAGATTCAGTGATGTGTCCAAGTTGTCACAGGTAACTGAGATTTGAATTGAGGACATTGGGTTCCCTGTTTAGTGAGTGTTTTTTCATTATGCCCAGGTTTTCTGAAGTTTGGGTTGCCTATCCTGGTGGGAACGAGCAATAAACAATATTGCTACATCCCTACATAGAGAGAAAGGCATTCTCCTTCCCAATTTCCTTTCAATCTGACTAGTAAAGTCTCAGTTGGGTGCTACACCATTTTCAATGCTTAGTTAACAAGTGCTCATCTTTTCATGTTTTTTCGTCAAAGAAAACTGGCTCCAGGCTCAGATCCTTCAAGTAAGCAATGGTATACCTATGTAGCTAGAATACAGCACTGTTTATTTTCTATTGATTCATTTGTATGTTTGTCTTCTAACTATGTTAATAATGCTGGATTTCTATATTCAATAGTGGTCCAGGGTCTTATTCAAAAACACATTTATTTAAATTTTAAAAATGACTTAATTTAAAGAATAATAATTGTGGCCCTGGTGGTAAGAGCAGGGAATGAGGACGCCTGAAGAAATCTAATGCAAGCCACAAATAGGAGCGGCATATGTAATTTTAAGCTTTAAAGTAGCCACAGTTAAAGCAAAGAGAAATTGATGCAATTGATTATATTAATATATAACATATTAATACAACAAACCCCAATACATCAAAATTATTATTTCATATAATCAATCTAAAATTATTAGTATGCCATTTTACTTTTTTGATACTAAGTCTTTGAAACGTGATGTGTATTTTACACTTACAGTACATCTTAATTCATAATAACCACATTTCAGTGCTCAATAACCACATGTTACTAGTGCTATCCTATTGGACAGCATAGTTCTAATCCACAATTAACAAATGGAAGCACATTTATATCCATGGTCAAGTGACAGTGATGCCCCTTTTCCTGTTTGGGTTCATTAATGCCACACTTTCTTTTGGTAGTTTGGTCTGAGATGGTCCAAAGCTAAGCCATCCCACAGCTCAGCTTTGACAAGGCCAGCATGCCTCCCACATTCCTCTTGGCCTGTAGAGTCCCATAGTTGGGTTTATATGATCACCCAATTCATTGCCTCAGTGGTCTGGTCTGAAAGCAAATCAGTGTGACCAAAGGGAGGCTTGGGCCCTCTGTGTTGGCAGCCCAAAGAAGGAGGTGGGCGGCCCACAGGGGCAATCCTGCCAAGCATGAGCTGCATTTTGTTAGGTGTTGGGGGAAAGGCTGGCTTGACCACTCTGTTAACAAGACATGGCAGGCTGGTGGCTGGTAGATGATGAAATAAGGAGGATGAGAGAGGGGAGGAGCAGAACAGGGAAGAGAAAAAGGGAGAGGGGGAGACAGGAGGAGGATAGGGAAGAGAAAGTGGAGGGGGAAGGGGGAGCATTGGGGAAGGAGAAGGGGGAGGAGGGGGAAGGAAGTAAAGAAAGGGAAGAGAAGAAGGGGGGAAGGAATTGAGGATGAGGAGAGTGAGGAGAGGGGAGCACGAAGAAGGGAGAAGGAAGAGAAAAAATAGGAGGAGGAGGCAGCGGCAGTGTCTGAGAGCAGGAAGAGAGCTCCCTCTTTCCTCCAAAGGAGGGAGATATACCTAATGCTAAATGACGAGTTAATGGGTGCAACACACCAGCATGGCACATGTATACATACGTAACTAACCTGCACATTGTGCACATGTACCCTATAACTTAAAGTATAATTATATATATATATAAAACTATATATATATAAAACTATATATAAAACTATATATATAAAACTATATATATAAAACTATATATATATAAAACTATATATATATAACTATATATATAAAACTATATATATATAAAATTATATATATATAACTATATATATATAAAACTATATATATAACTATATATATATAAAACTATATATATATATAACTATATATATATAACTATATATATATAAAATTATATATATATATATATATATATATATATATATATATATATATATATATATAAAATAAGATTCAGAAGTCCCACCACCATCAGGCACTTATCACACACTAGGTACCGTGCAAAATGCTCTATATGCACCATTTCTTTTACTTTACAACAACTCTATGAAGCAGATATTACTACTGTTTGTATTTTATGAGTAAGAACACAAACCCAGTTTCTGGAGGTAAATGAAATGAGCTTAGACCAGATTTGGAGTTTTTGGTCCCAGGAGACCAGTCCCTCTTCTTCCTGACATTGAGTGTGCTTAGACAAATCCCACTAATCCCCTAGACTTTGTAATCTTTAATGACAAATCCATTGGCAAAATGGCTTAAACCTGCTGGGTGAGCTCTAGACCCCACTGAAAGCCAGGCCTGCTCAGGGCTGGTGTTTTAAATAAGCAAAAGGAATTCTGGGGTAAGAGTGGTCAAGCCATCAAGTTTGCTTATCTTTACTAGAGAGGAGAAATTGAAGTCAGAAAGTCTCTAATCATGTGCAAATGGCCAGCTCCAAGGAGCTTGGCATGTGAGTTAGGACTTTTCCATTTTGGATGAGAACTTCCCACCCTGTTTGTCTTTTTGATGGTTATCACCCATCTAATAAGCCAAGGACTCAGGGTAGCAGCCACTTCATTTGCAAAACACTTACTTGGAAAAGTGCCTCTGAATTGCCTCTGGTTCACACCCTACCTCAGTTTTTCTTTCCGACATCCAAGAGCTGGAGGCTCCACATTTATCCCTTACTTGGGGTCTGTGTGTTTTCTCCAAGCATGGTTTTCTCTGAGCTCAGGCAGAGCTCTCTGCAGGAAGAGGCCCACAGAAGTGGTAAGGGACAGAAGACCAGGCTGCCTATATTTTCAATATTGTCATAGCCGGAATAAATTTCAATTAATATTATTGCTGTTATATTTTTAATTGGGAGGTAGCAGTTTCTAAGGAGATGATTTTGTGACCCCTTCAAGAGATGATCATGATGATAATGATGATAGTGTTAATGGTGGTGTTGGTAATGGTGATGATGATGAGAGCTGCCAACACTTAGAGAACACTTATTGAAGTTTTACATATATTTGCTTCTTTAATTTCCTAACAACCCTTTTGGGGTAGATACTATTGTAATCCCATTTTATAGTTGGGATAAATTACTTAAACCCAGTTTGAAAGGTGCACAGCCAGGATTTCAACCGAGGGAGTTTGGCTCCACAGTCTATATTCTTAATCTTATAAAAACACGATTGCTTTTAGAAGGCCATGATTGTTTAGGCTCATAACAAAAATTAAGCAATGATATAAACATGGCTATCATTTATCTGTTACTATGTATCAGACACTGAACATTCCACGCATTACTCATTTAATTCTCATAATGACACTTTGAGGTGACTATTATTGACTGTATTTTACAGGTGAGAAAGTCAAAATTCAGAAAGATTAAGTGATTTGCTAGACATCTCAGAGTTACTAAGCTGCTAAACTTTGGTTGCAACATAGGTTTGCTAAGCTCCAAAGTCTGTGTCATTCACTGGAAGGTGAACCTCATTATATTGAATGAAGGTCTACCATATGTAAGGTATGATGCCTTACCTGTTCCACCTCATTTCATCTTCACCACAACCCTGCGAAGTAGCTGTTAGTTTTTCTATTTTACAAATGAAGAAGGAAAAGATCAGAGAAGTTAAGTAAATAGAGAGGTTGGGTACCAAACTCAGGTCTGTTTGACTCCAAATCCCATTGATTTTTTTGTTTGTCCATTGTTGTTTCTGTCTCTTTTCCAAGTCGTCTGTTTACACTTTATTATCTTCCCTGCTATGGGCTGGGTACTGTTCTAAAAATGGAAGAGAGTGGGGGAGACCAGCCAAGGGAGATCTGTTCTCCTCCCTCCAGTGGCCTATACTCTGCCTGAGTTGTTTCATGTAAGAACTGCAAGATACACTATTGTCACACTGCCAATTAATCAGGATTTTGCAAAAAGAGAGATGTAGTGGATGCTGATGTTCTTCTGTTACAAGGTCTGGGTAATAGTCAATCATCTTGTTTTATGCGTGAAGAATCTGGCTGATGCTTGAGAATTAATGTAGGGTTTCATTGCTTTTTCCCCGAAGTTAAATTTCATTATGATTGACATACTGCACTTTTTCTTTTCTAGACTGTTCCCAGAAAACTTTATCAATTAATCTGTGGTGGCTTAGCTGTAGAACAGATACCTTCTATTTCTTGTTCTTAACTTTTCTTGTGAAAAGAAGATTTTTAGATCCCCTGCATCTCTCTCTTTATTTCAGTTACAGGCAATTGATTTTATAATCTTGGTGCAAGAGGGAGGTATTCCTGGATGTTTGGTGAACTCAGAATAGATGCAAAGTCTTCAATAGCTTTCTGCAATACTGTCGTAAATCATATGTTAAAAACACTCCTCAAAACATGATTTAATTTTCCATTGATCCTGCCTAATCTTTTTATTACAACTAGCACAGACCTTTCAAAGAAAGTTAATAGTAACATTAGCAAATTAAGAGCTGTTCAAAATAAATTAATAATATTAGTAGTAGCATTAATATTAATAGCTCTATTGATTCTATGTTTACTATGGGTCAGGTGCTGTGCTAAGCCCTCTACATTCATTATTCTGCTTGATCTTCATTGAGAATTTTTTATGTTGGTCTTATTATATACAGGTTTTTAGAATAGGAATTATCACATAGTGGTTAAGTCTGCCGTCTTTGAAATCAGGCAGTCCTGAGGTCGAATTTCAATTCTTTCTAAGTAGCCCTAGAACCCAATGAAGCCTCAGTTTCCAACTGTAAAAAGGGGCAATAATGAGATACATTTTCATAGTATTTTTGACAAGGACAAAAGAAGTAATGCAATAAAATGCTTAGCCCAGCTCCTGAAAGTTCACTCTATTAATTAGTCTTGATACAGGAAATTCAGTGACATATTATAGCTAAAAATACAATATAGAAAAGTATATAGGCATTATCCAGTAGGTTTTGATGGCCAAATACATTAGGTGGGTTTACTCATTTATTTATTTATTTATTTTTTAATTTGTGTCGTATTTATTTAACTCAGTAGAACATAAAGTAGCATTCTTATTCCTGATAATTCCTTAAACATCCTAATAATTCCTTAACTACTATTTATTAGTTATATTACAATAGAATAGAGACAATATTTATTATCTCCTTCCTACAGGTTCCTAACCATCCACTTAACTTAGTTTCTCCCTTGCCCTTTTAATTCAGCATTCCCATATTCACCTGCCTTTATTTTCTGATTTTATTGTATCCTCAGTTTTTTTGTCATCTTTTCCTCGGTCATTTTGCAATTGGGTTTGATATGATCTAATTTTATTCTGGTAATTTAAATATTTGTTTTAATCTCGTTATATTGGTTTCCTAGTACTGCTATAAAATTATCATGAACCAAGTGGCTTAAAACAACAGAAGTTTACTCTCTCACCCTTCTGGAGGCCAGAAGTTGAAAACCGAAGTGTTAGCAGGGCTAATTCTTCCTGGAGGCTCTGAGGGAGAATCCCTCCCATGCTCCTCTCCCAGTTTCTACTGGCAGTCCTTGGCATGGCTTGGTTTATAGATGCACCGCTCCAGTCTCTGCTGGTCTTCACGTCACCTTCTGTGTGTATCATTGTCTCTTCTTTTCTCTTATGGACACCTGTCATTGGATTTAGGGCCCACCCAAATACAGCTTGATCTCATTATGAGATCCTTAACTGAATTACATCTGCAAAGACCCCTGTTTCAAATAAAGTCACATTCACAGGTTCACAGGTCCTGGGTGGGCATATCTTTTTTTTTTTTTTATTATACTTTAAGTTTTAGGGTACATGTGCCATGCTGGTGCGCTGCACCCACTAACGCGTCATCTAGCATTAGGTATATCTCCCAATGCTATCCCTCCCCCCCTCCCCCCACCCCACCACAGTCCCCAGAGTGTGATATTCCCCTTCCTGTGTCCATGTGATCTCATTGTTCAATTCCCACCTATGAGTGAGAATATGCGGTGTTTGGTTTTTTGTTCTTGCGATAGTTTACTGAGAATGATGGTTTCCAATTTCATCCATGTCCCTACAAAGGACATGAACTCATCATTTTTTAGGGCTGCATAGTATTCCATGGTGTATATGTGCCACATTTTCTTAATCCAGTCTATCATTGTTGGACATTTGGGTTGGTTCCAAGTCTTTGCTATTGTGAATAATGCTGCAATAAACATACGTGTGCATGTGTCTTTATAGCAGCATGATTTATAGTCATTTGGGTATATACCCAGTAATGGGATGGCTGGGTCAAATGGTATTTCTAGTTCTAGATCCCTGAGGAATCGCCACACTGACTTCCACAATGGTTGAACTAGTTTACAGTCCCACCAACATGTAAAAGTGTTCCTATTTCTCCACATCCTCTCCAGCACCTGTTGTTTCCTGACTTTTTAATGATCGCCATTCTAACTGGTGTGAGATGATATCTCATAGTGGTTTTGATTTGCATTTCTCTGATGGCCAGTGATGATGAGCATTTTTTCATGTGTTTTTTGGCTGCATAAATGTCTTCTTTAGAGAAGTGTCTGTTCATGTCCTTCGCCCACTTTTTGATGGGGTTGTTTGTTTTTTTCTCGTAAATTTGTTTGAGTTCATTGTAGATTCTGGATATTAGCCCTTTGTCAGATGAGTAGGTTGCGAAAATTTTCTCCCATGTTGTAGGTTGCCTGTTCACTCTGATGGTAGTTTCTTTTGCTATGCAGAAGCTCTTTAGTTTAATTAGATCCCATTTGTCAATTTTGGCTTTTGTTGCCATTGCTTTTGGTGTTTTGGACATGAAGTCCTTGCCCATGCCTATGTCCTGAATGGTAATGCCTAGGTTTTCTTCTAGGGTTTTTATGGTTTTAGGTCTAACCTTTAAATCTTTAATCCATCTTGAATTGATTTTTGTATAAGGTGTAAGGAAGGGATCCAGTTTCAGCTTTCTACATATGGCTAGCCAGTTTTCCCAGCACCATTTATTAAATAGGGAATCCTTTCCCCATTGCTTGTTTTTCTCAGGTTTGTCAAAGATCAGATAGTTGTAGGTATGCAGCGTTATTTCTGAGGGCTCTGTTCTGTTCCATTGATCTATATCTCTGTTTTGGTACCAGTACCATGCTGTTTTGGTTACTGTAGCCTTGTAGTATAGTTTGAAGTCAGGTAGTGTGATGCCTCCAGCTTTGTTCTTTTGGCTTAGGATTGACTTGGCGATGCGGGCTCGTTTTTGGTTCCATATGAACTTTAAAGTAGTTTTTTCCAATTCTGTGAAGAAAGTCATTGGTAGCTTGATGGGGATGGCATTGAATCTGTAAATTACCTTGGGCAGTATGGCCATTTTCACGATATTGATTCTTCCTACCCATGAGCATGGAATGTTCTTCCATTTGTTTGTGTCCTCTTTTATTTCCTTGAGCAGTGGTTTGTAGTTCTCCTTGAAGAGGTCCTTCACATCCCTTGTAAGTTGGATTCCTAGGTATTTTATTCTCTTTGAAGCAGTTGTGAATGGGAGTTCACTCATGATTTGGCTCTCTGTTTGTCTGTTGTTGGTGTATAAGAATGCTTGTGATTTTTGTACA
Source organism: Homo sapiens (assembly GCF_000001405.40). Lineage (NCBI taxonomy): Eukaryota > Metazoa > Chordata > Mammalia > Primates > Hominidae > Homo > Homo sapiens. The sequence continues at coordinate 63,590,125 of NC_000003.12, read as the reverse complement.
TTGATTTTGTATCCTGAGACTTTGCTGAAGTTGCTTATCAGCTTAAGGAGATTTTGGGCTGAGATGATGGGGTTTTCTAGATAAACAATCATGTCGTCTGCAAACAGGGACAATTTGACTTCCTCTTTTCCTAATTGAATACCCTTTATTTCCTTCTCCTGCCTGATTGCCCTGGCCAGAACTTCCAACACTATGTTGAATAGGAGTGGTGAGAGAGGGCATCCCTGTCTTGTGCCAGTTTTCAAAGGGAATGCTTCCAGTTTTTGCCCATTCAGTATGATATTGGCTGTGGGTTTGTCATAGATAGCTCTTATTATTTTGAAATACGTCCCATCAATACCTAATTTATTGAGAGTTTTTAGCATGAAGGGTTGTTGAATTTTGTCAAAGGCTTTTTCTGCATCTATTGAGATAATCATGTGGTTTTTGTCTTTGGCTCGTTTATATGCTGGATTACATTTATTGATTTGTGTATATTGAACCAGCCTTGCATCCCAGGGATGAAGCCCACTTGATCATGGTGGATAAGCTTTTTGATGTGCTGCTGGATTCGGTTTGCCAGTATTTTATTGAGGATTTTTGCATCAATGTTCATCAAGGATATTGGTCTAAAATTCTCTTTTTTGGTTGTGTCTCTGCCCGGCTTTGGGGTTTACTCATTTATTTAGCAAATCTCTATTGAGAATCTACCAGGTGCCAGGTCTTGGAAATATGGTAGTTAATAGAAACAGACATGGTCCTAGTACTCATTCTGGTAGAAGAGAGAGCTGTTAATCAATCACAAAAGAATGCATAATTGCATATAGTGATAATAGCTTTGTAGGAAAAGTCCTTGGTGTTTTGGAAATTTAAAAAAACAATATCTGGGGAGTACTGAACAGCCTAGGGAGACAGAAAGTGACACAGATCTGGTTGCATCCAGGATCTTTTTAGGTTTTGTCCTTGGATGGTTCTCAAAGCAGTCTCAGGACTCACGGTGAATAATGAATACAACACAAAATGGCTTATCTGGAAGGCCTATGAATTGGCCTCTAGAGGGAGTGTTGGACTCTTCTTTACTACCTGCTTGTTCCTTTCCTAGGAAAAATGCATGTTGATACTGGGTTGGCCAGGACCAAAGACTCCTTGGGCTATTTGCTGGAGAGGTAGGTATTAGCATGAGGAGAAGACTGCTTGTTTCTTGGGAATTTGGGTGTCTCACATGGCTGCTGAGACTATTGTCTCTCTATACTTCCCCACCTGCAACCCTATCCCTCTTAGAAAGATAAGCTTGAGTGCAAGGGGTAAAGAGGTTTGGGGTGGATCAGTTCACACAATTAAATGTTAGTAGAAGAGTACTCCTGCCTTTCTGGACCCTGGTACCCTAGCAATTTGCTAGGAAAGCTTAGGAAAGCAACGAGGGTTGTTGAGTGTTTCTAAATGAATTACTATGTCATATAGAAAATAGCATCCTTTCCAAAAAATTGATTATTGGTTTTGACATAACTGGGAAAAGAATAAATTTGTATAGTTAGTCAAAAGTGAATCTGGAAATTTGGGGATGCTTATTGAACACCATATCAATCTTTCTTATGTTTATGCATTTTTTTTAGCACTTCTGAAATATTTTGGGGACTGCCATTGAATCAGCTAGATGAAAATGCTAAGATTTAGTTAATTAACAACTAGCCGTATCTACTTGACACAAAACATCTGGGCATTATAAATATAGCTGGAAAACACCAGATGTCAGGCAGCATATAGATGAAACATCTGGAGGAAGTGTAGCTTACAGGAGACACAGTGGAAGGTTGGAGTCAGAAGCAACCAGACTTGAACTTCATCTCTCACATGTACTCTAGACTACAATGTTTTCTCATCAACCGAACAAAACTACCCCCTCACAATTTGTTCTTTTGTATCTATACAAACCATCTGTGAAGGTGTATTCCAAGACGTATGTATTGAAATTCATATATGTATATATGTGATATCACACAAACAGACACAAACTGATTTTTTTAAAAAACAGATAACACAACAAAGTTTTTTTCTCCATACAATGGCAGATAATAGAAGCATGGATAATTAAAATATTATACAATTCAAAGTAATTTTTAAATTTTTCTAAGTATGTTGAACTTACCCCACCAGTAACCTATATTTGAAAATGGATTATGTTCTATGGGAAATTTTTTCAAACAACCACACTGGGAAATTTTGAGAAAATGACTGTGCATGGTTGCAGTTGCACCCGTCTGTAGTCCCAGCTACTCAGAAAGCTGAGACGGGAGGATCCCCTGAGGCCTGGAGTTTGAGGCCATAGTGTGCTATGATTGCACCTGTGAATAGGCACTGCTCCGAGGTAATCCAACAATTACCTCAAGGATACCTAAATTACCTCAAGGATACCCCATCTCCAAATTAAAAAATAAAACAAAACAATAATCAATAAATAAATTGCTAGCAGGCCTTTCAAGTGCCACCTTCTGAATCAAGTAAGATCCTCTCTGAACTTTGCTTTATGTTCTTTGCAAACGCCTTCCCGGAAACCAGAAAAAATTGCACATCTTTCTCCACCAGAATTACATAATATTAAAATGGGAAGAAACTGCTGATATAAATTCAGGCTGTCAAATACTCCTTTGAAAACATAATCCTATTATTAACTTACTATTCTACACTACTGGTAATCTCCCAGATAGGACATGGAATAGTTGGTATCTGTGGCTGGAAATAATGCAATGAAGAAGCAAACCTGATGATGGATTTTAAAGTTCTCTGGTCTTTGGTGTTCAAATCTGTAACATGGGACAGGAGTACTTCCCTTACAGGGTCGTTGTGAGGATTAAAATTAAATACAAATGTTAAGCATGGAGACTGGAATATTTTAGCTGTTGCATTAATGATCGTGATGATGATGGTGAAGACAGTGCAATCATCAAGTGACATGGCCTTATTTAGTCACGGCCAATGACATTTGACCATGAATTCAACTGAAATAACTCAATTTTTTTTTTCAAACTGGATTCTGACGTTAATTTGAAAATAGGATCACTCTGTTGAGGTTAAATAATTATGGCCCAAACTTTTCCAACCTAAAGTGTTAAGTTACTGGTTCTTCATAGGTAGAGCTTCAAACCTATTTGGCAATAACCAGGCATTTAAGGGTATAGGTGGAGTCTTCGCATGTGTGAATATTTCTTTTGGTTGCAATACGTGATTGGAAAAGAACTTGTGTGACAGTGTAAAGACATGCAGGGCCATCTGAAGTTTTGCGTAGGAGAATGAGCCATTAATATGATCAAGGAATGCCTTGATCATGTTGCTACATTGCAAAAAGCACTGTGAGGTCCTTGCGCATAGGACTATCTTAATCACCTGTGTCCCTAGAGCCTAGCCAGATATCTGCTGTTAGTAACTTATTAGTATATATATATTATACTTATATATATATATACTTACACACACACACACACACACACACACACATTGAATCTGCAAGAAGAAAGGGAAGACATTTTACATTTGGTAGAGACGCTTAAAGGAAAAATCATTAGGCCTCAAATATCGGCATGTTTCTTAAATTCCCTCAAGGATACAAGAAACTCATAATAAAGATAATTCAATGGCTGGGGATAGGGATGGAAGAAGGTTTTTTAAAAAGTTGTTTTTATTATTTTTTCTTTGTGTATGGGCTTTCCCTGGTATGACTTTTTAAGTGACTAAATTTGAAAATTCTGGCATGATTTTAGAATAGGCATTTTTTTTCTGCATTTGACCTTTGGCAATTACGAAAAATTTTCTGTTTGGGGGAAGGATTGTGACTACATTTCACACTTGCTCCCACCAATTTTTCTTTTTTTTTTGCAAATGAGCAAGCGGCATTTACACAGTTAGGTTCATGAAAAGAGCTGCTATTTTTCAAGCATTCCTTATGCCTTTCTAGAATTGAAGACCCATTATTCTGTCATATATCAACCCATCTGTCAGCCTGCAACAGATGGTTAAGATGAAGAACTTCTCAAATACCAAGGAGGAAATTATCCTGTGCTTTACCATCTACAGCTTAAATTCAGTCTGACTTCAAAATATTCCTTTGCCACTTCCCCACTTATCATGTGAAGTGGAAAGTGAGAAAAAAATATTGCATTTGAATTACAAATTAGAAGCCATTCCTCAAGAAGATGACTAGTGGATTCATAGATGTTTTTATTCTGACAGATGGAAGGAGAAGATAGACCTGGGTTCTAGGCTCAGTTATGTTACTTCTTAGGCACATAGCCTTTGGCAATATATTTGACTTCATAGGCTTTTATTTCCTCAGTTGAAATAATAAAGAATTTATACCTTGTCTTAGAGGGTTATTGCAAGAATTAAAAAGTAATAATCTTCTGGGACGATATCTTGCACAACTAGGCATCGGATAAATGACAGATATTATTATTTTCCCCATCAGTTCTCCCCTTTTGTTCTTGTCCACTATTTCCTAAAAATTATTCCAGATAAAAGATTCTGTGTCTCTGGTATGCAAGATTTGAACAGGTGCTTAAAGAAAAGTGGGAAGTTGTGGATAAAGCTTACGTGTATGTGTCTGTTTCTCTGCAATGTGTAGTGTTATACAGTGCAACCCCCCAAAATGTTGTGTTGTTATTTGGTGTGTGTGTGTGTGGTGGGTGCGGGGCGGAGGGGGGGGGCATGGATATACAGAAGGAAACATGTGACTGAAATGCCATTGCCTTCCAGGGGCATGCATGCTTTTCGTAAATCTGAGAGTACCAGGGACTTCTGTCCAATCCCTCCCAAAGAAAGTGATCATATATTTCCTTGGTTTTCATTTCATCCTGGATGAAAAAAATTTGTAATTTTTACTCTGCCTAGGCATAAATAGTAATTGAATCAAAGCTTATGTTGCATGCTTTATTTAGGTGATTTGACTTATTTTTGCCAGTTCTATCATATTTCCAATATATAACTGTTAGAATTTCACATTCACAGTTTTTTTGCAGTGGGAATTTTTAGGAGTGTAGGCTCCCTGCCCCCAGAATTATTCTTTTGTAAATGCTGCTGTGTGTAATGGGAGATAATGGCAGGCCTGAACATTTTAAGAAGCAAGATGTGTCCTAGAGAAGGGCTCTTCAACTTTATGCACGACAAAGCTTCTGGACATCTTGTTGAAATGCAGATTCTAATTCAGTAAGTCTGGAAGAGGGTCTGAGAGTCTGCATTTCTAACAAGCTTCCAAGAGATGCCAGTGCTGTCACTGGACATACTTTGAGAAGCAAGTCTTAGCCTATGAGGAAACCTCCTCCATAAATACTTCCCAGTCTACTCCAGAATCCACTACAATCTGTGGCCCCATTTGCATACATTGCCATTCTGTCTCATTTGCATTTAAGTAGGTCTCATTCTGCCAGTTCAACTTGAAAATAACTCTATTCCTACTTTCCCTCTTTTAACATTTATTGGGTAATTTTTCTATACCAGGCATTGTGCTAAATATTACCCACGGACCCGATTTCAACCCAGCTTCTCACTTAGCACCCAACGTAAATCCTGAGCCACATGACTGTATCTCCCTAATACACATAGCATCTTCCCCCTTTCCTCATATTTCTATTTTTCCAATCCCAAACCCAGACCACACTTGGTTTATTGATGGCAGTTCCTGTATACCCAGCCAAATCTCGCCAGCTAAATCTGGTTATGCTGTCGTGTCCCATACCTCTATTATTGAGGCTGCTGCACTTCCTCCCTCCACTACTTCCCAAAAAGCTGAACTCATTGCTTTAACTCGTGTGTTCTCTCTTGCCAAAGGAATGCACATTAACATTTACAGTGACTCCACATATGCTTTCCACATCTACCATAACCATGCTGCCATTTGGGCTGAAAGAGGTTTTCTCACCACACAAGGCTCTTCCATTATCAATGCCTCTCTAATGAAGGCCCTCCTTAAGGCTGCTCTCCTGCCGGCCAAGGCTGGAGTCATTCATTGTAAAGGACACCAGAAACTAACTGATCTCATTGCTAAAGGAAATGCCTATGCCGACAGGACAGCAAAAGAAATAGCAAATGCCTCCACACCCGCAAATATTCCAGCCCTCACTCCAAAAGGCCAGTATTTTTCTTTCTCCTCTATCACCCCCATCTACTCCTCCTCTGTAAGCCTGCTCTACCAGTCTTTTCCAACCCAGGGCAAGTGGTTCTTAGATCATGGAAAATTCATTCTTCCTCACCTTAATCCAGGAGACAAAGATTCTTTTACTTATTATCTCTCCTGAATAGGATCTGCAGTCAGAACTATTGAGCTTTTCCAATCAGACCACCACTCACACCTATGGGAAAAGGGTAATATAATAGATCATTGACTTAACAACAGGGAATCCTATTCATATGTTGGAAAATGGGGATGAAAGCCTTTGGTACGTAAAACATTATTCCTTCCTTGGCCTAAAAACTCATCTCCGCCTACATTAAAAGCTAATATGCCTGATTACTGTTTTTAGAGAACTTATTTTATTAGGGCAGTTCCAAGCTCAAAAATATGCCAACTGGCACCTTGTTAGCTACATAAAAATGCACCCTAGACCCGAAACTTACTGGACTAACTCATTATAAAATTTTCTTTAAGATGTCCACACAGTCCCTGGTCACGCTTGAAGCAGTCCTGAGAAACATCGCCTCTACCCCAATAATCCCCAGAAGAAACTTATATTTTCTTTATCTTTTCTTATAACCTTATATTTTATAAATAAAAAGACAGGAATGTCAGGCCTCTTAGCCAAAGCTCAGCCATTGTAACCCCTGTGGCCTGCACATATATGTCCACATGGCCTACAGGAGCCAAGAAGTCTGGAGCAGCTGAAAAACCACAGAAGAAGTGAAACAGCCATCTCCTGCCTTAACTGATTGACCAACCTTATGACATTCCACCATTATGACTTGTTCCTGCCCTGCCCCAACTGATCAACTGACCTTGTGACATTCTTCTTCTGGACAATGAGTCTTATGATCTCCCCACCATGCACTTTGTGACCTTCTCTGCTAACAATAGATAACCACCTCAGTCTGTAACTTTCCACTGCCTACCCCAGTCCTATAAAGCTGCCCCTTTCCTGTCTCCCCTCGCTGACTTCTTTTTGGACTCAGCCCACATGCACCCAAGTGAATCAACAGCCTTGTTGCTCACACAAAGCCTGTTTAGGTGGTCTTCTATACGGACACGCGTGACACTTACATGAGCTAATCTCATCAAATTCTCAGTGATAGGATAGGTACTATTATTATCATCAATGAACAGGTGAAAATACAGAGGCACAGAGAGGTTTAGTAAATTATCCAGGGTTAACCAGCTAGTAAGTGGTAGAACCGGGGCACAAATGCAGTCCGATTCCAGAGCCTGGGTCCCTAACCATTAAGGATTTGCTGAGATTATGCCTTACTGTGACTGTGTCAAATGTATTTTTGTAAATCCTGTAGCACCTATTCCTGTGTCATATCTTATCAATATAAGCAGATAAAGTAAAAATCCTTTACCAAAATAAAGAAGAAATACATATATGCTGCTTTTCTCTTTTTTCCTAATTGACTGCTTAATGAAACCATGGAGCTGAATATCAGCGGATCAAGACCAACATTATCAGACAAAAGTCCAATAATATGCACTTAGCTAAATTTGCATATTATTAGAATCTGGTCATGAGTAGTTATGCTATGGGGACACCATATGATCTATGGTATATTAAAATCTGTTATGATGAAATCTGATTATATGCCATATTGTGTCCTGTTGATGAGAAAAAGGAATTAGCTACTAAAAAAAGCGAAGGTTCTTCATAAGATATTCTTACTCATAAAGAGGACCCCTGATTCCCCACAAATTTGCAGAACTTAGCTAAAGAAGTAATAATCTTCTACCAGTTTTCAGAGCTCCCCCGTTAAGTGCTTCTCATAATATTATTCCAGTTTTTGATCTTTTTCACTGTTACTAAAATGAAGCCAAATAGAAAGTGTTTTCCAGAGCACAAACCAAAGCCGCACTCAATTCTGGAGGTAAGTATGCAACATCTTGATTCCGTATTTCACAGACCACTCTCATTCAGTTTATGCACCATGGCAAATAGTATTGAATCTATTGGAAAACACCTGGGAAGCAAACATTTTGCAAGTACTGTTTTGATGATTTTGAGAGAATGTGAAAGCCAAATTATGGTACCTGTTAAAGTAATTGTGTCTAGCTTAAGTTAAAAAGAAATCCACACTTGAAATCACAATAACCTTTTAAAATGTGTTGGAAATATGGGAGAGTTCAATCATACATGAGGGGAGATGAGTTTTAATTTTTTTTTTTGTAATAAGAAAACCAGCAAGAGTCAAAGTAAACTTTAATAAACCTTTCAAGTCTCCTGGAGTGAGTGGTGCCCTTGCTTTTGTGCATGCATAAAGGTGTTGGTTTGTATTTAGGACCGTGTTGTACAAAAATACATATCTTTGAACACTGGAATTGCTTCAGTTCAGAAAGAGCTCTCACTGTGGGGATCATGAGGGAGCTGAGATGGACGCATACTCGTGCTTATGCTTTTTGATGAGATGGCAGGTTGCCTGTAGGTTGGAAATGCTTCATTTTCTTTCTCAGCATCTTTCTTATGTGTGCGTGTGTTTGTTTGTTTGCTTTACGTTTTGATAAATGCATGTTTTTGAATGATTGTATGACTGATGACTATACAATGCAATCTACTATGTTACTGTTACTGATTTGGAATGAGCAGGAACTTTCTTTTGTTTGGTGTTGCTTTAGTGCTACAACCACCTACCCCTGTCCCCAACATACAACCTCCCTCCTCCACCAACCTTCCCGAAGGGTTTCAAGGTAATGGTTCTCAACGCAGTGCTCCCTTGATGCAGTTTATGAAGTATCGCTTTGGAACAGAGACTGGTTGAGTTTGTTTTTCTGATTTAGTATGGAGCTTTTCTGATTGTGTTCAGGACAGTGGTGGAAAACACCCCTGAGGGATCCTTTCTTTACCATTTCTCTGTCTCTTCACTTTTCATTCTTTACAAAGGCAGTAGAGTGTAGAGTACAGGGGTTAATTGTTACAGTTCTGAAGTCAGTTCTGGATTCATCTTCACTGACTCATTGTATGGCTTTAGCCAAGATCCCTATACCGCCTATGCTTTATTTTCCAAATCTGTGAAATGGGCAATACTACCTACCTCACAAAACTGTTGTGAAGATTAAATGACATGTAACATATGAAACATTCATTATATGCCTGACATATGGTAAATACACAATATATGTAAACCGTTAACGTTATTTCCAGATGTAGTTACCACAGGCCAGAACTGTATAATGAGACTAATTTGCCAGAACTGTATAAGGAGACTAACTTGTCAAGGATGAATTCCCAAAGCAGATCACGAGTGACAGAAGTGAAGCCTTTCTGGAAATGAGACCATGCATGCTGAATGCCAACCCATTTGACCACAATTGGAAAAATACACTAGGTTTCATAACCAGAGACTCACTAACTGGGAACTGTATCTGTATCTGACTAGCTTGGCACTGTGTTAAAAAAGGCTGATGTTCATATTAGGTTAATGCTTCCACGTCCTGGAGACTACACAATAGCTACCCAGCTGAATGTCTCCCTTGAGACACTTGTACTGCATCATGGGTCTGGCTTTTGTTGGTATTATCTCTACCTTATTCTGAAGTCTACATTGCCATTTAACTCCCCACAGGTCATGCCTGACTTTGGATTTGTATTGCTATGAGGAAAGAATAGTTTTTAAAGTATTTTTCTGAGTCACATTTTTATTTGCCCCAGGGCACTTAATTCTGTGCATTTTGGCAAAGGAACGCAATCATTCCCACAGATACTGTTGTGTTTGCTAAATCACCTGAGTATTATCAATAAACATACATTTTCTGCAAGACTAACAGGACTTTCTCAAAACTCTGAGTTCTATTCTACAGTGGTTTTGATGAACTTTGCTCATAAAAAAGTGATGAATACAGGGATTTCTTTTTTCTAATATTCACCAACTTCTTTGGTTCTCAATATGAAATGGCTGCGAGGATGAATTTCTCCTTAGCTATTAGAGACCTCCTAGCTCAATTGGGTCATATAATGGCTATTTATAAGCATGAATGAGAAAATCTTTCAAATGAAAATTCATAATTCATTTTTAATATTTTTAAAATGAACAGTCCTCCCCCCATTTTGCCCCCTAATACTTGGCATTCAAGACTAAGGAGAAACACTAGAGTGTTCTTTCTTAAAATGACAGATAACAGCATATTTGTGTGTGTGTGCGTGTGTGTGTGTGTGTGTGTGTGTGTGTGTGTGTGTTTTAGTTAAATATGAGGAACCAACCTCAGAAACCATTTGAAATTACTTATTCACTTTAAATGAGAACTGGGAAAATTAGCCAGATAATCCAGGACCATATAAAAACACCAACAGAAACAACAAAAAGTCAATAAACATCATTGATCATTCACTTTGCACCTCATGTTGAGCATCTTTCTAAACACTGGAAATATAGTCTTGGACAAAAGCAGACACAAACCCCTGCCCTTGCCAAATATATGTTCTTGTGTAGGGGACAGACAATGAACAAGGTAAATTAGTGAAGTATGTGGTAGTTTGGATAGTGGTAAATATTTTGGAGAAACGATAATTCAGGAAAGAAAGATAAAAGTGAAGTATGTTGGGGAAATGGGTGCTGAAGTTCTAGATGAGGTGGCCAGGGAAACTTTATTGAGAAGGTGGGTTTTGCATAAACACTTGAAGAAAATATGGGAGCCAGCCATGTGAATATCTGGGGAAGAGCCTTCCAGGCAGAAGGAAGGGGAGGCAGGGAGCCCCTGAGATGGGAGCAAGCCTGGTAAGTTTATCAACCTAGGAAATGAAGACCTTAATTTATTTGCCTAAAATGGGTTTGAACAGCGGTTCTTCACCTTTAAGAGATCCTTAAAGGATGTGATAACAAATATACATATATTGCCCCATGGAAATTGGATTTGAGGGAAGGAGAAAACCAGTAGGAAATTGCAGTTGAACTTTAAACGAGAGGTGACAACAGTCTGGATTAGGGAAGTGGCAGCTGGACTCAAGGAAGAGATAAGAAGATGGATTTAATGGAGTTTAGTGGGGGATTTGATTTAAGGGTGTAGAGGAAGTGTCATAGGAAACACCCAGGTTTCTGGCTGGGAAGATGGTAGTTGGGGGCCCAACTCTGAGAATGTGTGATTCCAGGATTCCTAGCAAAGCAAACTCTACCAGTTGAGCATATTGGCTGGGTGTATCTGCCTTGCTGAACTCTACAAGTTCTGCCATGCAGGCAAGTCAGGCTCTTGGATGGCTATTTCATTGAGATACAGGTTCTGGGCTCTATTTACCTTGTTAAAATTATACAGAAGAAAAAACTACCACTGTCTTTCTCTTTGGTTAGGGATGGTTAAGGAAAACCTCCATTTACTCATTTCAAAATCTTTTAGATGGGAGATCTGATGGTCAGTATTGCCAGCTATTAAGTTCATGAAAGTTGTCTTTGAGAGCCCTTTTTCTATTTATCCGTAAAATATGAGTCTTGAAGTCATAGCTTCCACTCTCACACCTCCTCTCTCTTCCTGTTCTTATCCCTCACGAGAATTTCAGATCCACCCCTCAACTCTTTGCTACTATCCACACATGGAAGACCTATGCTCCTTTGATTTGACTTGTCTAAACCTAACTCACTCTCTCCTTACACCTACTTCTTCACCTGCATGTATCAGCTTGGCTGATGACAAAATCTCATGCCACATGCTGAATTGCCAACAGCCTTCTTTAGCACCTCCTCCCTACCTATTTCAAGTGAGGCCCAAGGTAAGTAACATGGCTTGTAAATGGTTGAGCCAGAAGTGAAGTGAGAACTGTGAGGTCCAGGACCTACGCTGGTAATCACCACCTTACACTATCCCAAGGGAAGACAGGAGGTGGTGATTCCCAGCTTGAGCCTTGGATTGCACACATCTTGGGCCTTACTTGCAATGGGAATAAAAACACTTCGCTTCTAGGAGTTCTGTGACTTTTAAATGACATAGTGCATGTGAAGCACTTAGTTTGTGTCTGTCATGTAGTAAGCCTTCAAGAAAGAGTTCACATTGTGATTAGACTCTATTGCTCTCTCTAATCTGTTGCCATTACCTCGTAATAAACATCCCCCTCCTTGCCTCTATTACCAGCAGATTATTTAATTGTTAACAAAAGCTTTTAAAAACGCAGGCTTGCTAATACCCGTCTCCTACGTAACCCTTCCAGTTGTATACATAAGTGACTTAGAATTCATCATGCCTTGGAAACACGTACTTTTTTGAGGAGGGGTGAGAAATCCTTTACAGAATGTATCCATGCACTACAATTAGGCCCATCCTACTTTTAATAGCTTTATTTCTTACTAAGTCCTCCAACTTTAAATAATTTACTCAGCTTCACAAGCATTCACATACCCCCACTCACACATACCTACATTCATACACCTACACACGACCTCTTCCCTCTCCTGTTTCTGATCCATTACTCTAGTTCTCTTCTCACAGAAAAAGCTCCCCACTGTATTTGCCCCTAGAAGCCCACATTTTTTTCTCACATTTGACCTTCTCCTGTCCCTCCCTTCCAAAAAAACAGTTCCCAAGTTGCTCTGGTTGGAATCAATTCAATTCCTTGTCCTTTCTTCATATATAGCTATTGGCTTTCCTCTCCATGTGGGTCTTGGTGAACCAAATATCCCTAAATTCAGGGTACTCTATAATTCAACTTTCTCTGGGCCTCAGGGCCTAGCGCAGTATTTTGCACATAAATCATTTCTCAATTCAATTGTTTGTTGAATTCAATTAGGAAGATTTCAGTTTCTAAGATCTGAATGTAAACATGCAGACAGCATTTAAGCATTGCGTTTACCCAGCCACATGCTGCTCCCTGGTTCACAGTTTACCTTACAACTGAGTCTGAGAATTGTATTTGCATAGCCATCTGTTTTTCAGATTGCCAACAGGCCCAGATCTGCCCAGTCCTTTCATCGCTACACCTTACATTTAGCTGTCACTAATGAATCTTTTCAGTGAGATTTGCCCCCTCACAGTATAGACCAGAGATTAAAAACTGGTTCAGCCAGTTTGACTAGGTTAAAAAAAAATGTATCCTGTAGGGGTAGAGTGAATGTGCAAATGGCTCTTCAAGGATCACAGGTTTCTGAGGTCCACCTTTGTCCTGGTCAACATGTTTACTAATGATTGGGAAGAAGGCTTAGATAACATGTTTTCTTTTTTCTTTTTCTTTTTCTTTCTTTCTTTTTTTTTTTTTTGAGACGTATTCTTGCTCTGTTGCCCAGGCTGGAGTGTAGTTGTGCAATCTCAGCTCACTGCAACCTCCAGCTCCTGGGTTCAAGTGATTCTCCTGCCTCAACTTCCCGAGTAGCTGGGACTACAGGCACGTGCTACCATGCCCAGCTAATTTTTTGTATTTTTAGTAGAGACGGGGTTTCACCATATTAGCCAGGATGTTCTCGATCTCCTGACCTCGTGATCCGCCTGCCTCAGCCTCCCAAAGTGTTGGGATTACAGGTGTGAGTCACCGCGCCCAGCCCCAGATAACGTGTTTTCTATGCATGGAAAACTGTGGACTGGCTTGACATACTGTTAAGAACAATGATGATACAGTTTTAAGAAAAACTTGGAAAGTCATTCCAACTGGGAATTCCTTTGCTAACTTTGGGTGAGGGAAATGGCTAGGAACTTTCTAAAATTAGCAACAATTCTCTTGTGCTCATATAAATTATCATTTGGTATTTGTTTCACGTACTCAGAGGAAGCCAATTGGAATAGAATATGTTAAATACCAAGTAACATTTTATTCTGACAGGTTAACTTGATATCAACCTCACATACAAAGTTGTGAAATCTCAAAGGCTATACAGGGATGATGGACGCTGCTGATCTTGTGTCAAGGAGGGTCTTTTTAAAATCTAGTAAAAGAAAGCACAGTATATTACAGTGTCATTTGGGGATTTCTTTGTAGCTGTAGTGTCAGAAGGGACTACAAAATGAAGGAAGTTATTCTACCTAAAGTTAAAGATAGTAACTTTATTGTCTCTAGTATTTGCTCATAATAAAAAAATGACACTTGGATCATGAAGAAATGTTTATTTGCACAATAACTGCATTAAAGATTATAAACAGTTGGTTTAGTTTTTACTGAAATAGAGTTTAGCATAAAAGGAAAAAGTTAATGTGAAGCCTCAGTATCTTTCTTCCAAAGTGTGTAGGCTTGGAAAAGCCATAAACCACACTCTTCTTATTCACTTCACCCTTTCGCAAGTTTCCACTTGAGATCTTTGTTTCCGACCCCTAACAAAGTATGCTCCTGGTGAAGGCAACTCTTTCTATCCACTGAGAAAACATGAGGTCCAGACCTTTTGTGATTTTCCATGTTTTTTTGATTAAATTTCCTTTGAGTAAACTGACATTTTCTCTGAGTAAGCAGAGTCTGTTGGAATATTATTTTCTCTATAAAGCTTTTCCCCACAATCCCAGCCACTGCATTGAAGAAACCTTCACTACAGCTTGGAGCCATGAGAAGCGTATCTGGGAAAAGTTATTTTTATTTACAATCTCTAATTGGTTCCTAAGCAGGGAGACCCCTTGGTGACTGAGGGGGGCTAATGGATGTGGGAATAGGAGCTGAGAGTGTGCCACATCTTTATGATGAGAAAGAGGAACAGGGGATCATGGAAGAAGAAAAATCTGGAAGGCCAGAGAGGCTGGTAGGAAGAGGTTCAAGAAGCAGAGGAGAAAATTGCTGTTGGCAGAGGGTGGGTATGAAACGAGGGCCTGGAATAAAGAACAAGTCATTTAATAAGCTTCTATTTATTTCTTTTCATTAACTTTTTGCTGTGTAACACGCAATGTCAACTTTTCTGGGTCCTGTTAACTCTGCTATACATCTAATACTCAGCTCATGCTTGTGGGGGTGGATTCTGTGAAGTGCTTGCACCTGCTTCAATGCGGGTGCTTAGGAACATGTGGGCTATATAGGTAGGTTTGACTGTGTGTGTGCCCTTATGTGGCACATACACAGTCATGTGTATGTGGGAGAGGCCTGTTACAGGGATTCACTCATGGCCCTGACTTAATTATTTGAAAGTGCTCGCCCACACTTTCAAAAATTTATCTACTTGGATGATAAATTATAAAGTCACAGAAAAATAGCTTTTATCTGACTGTACTTTGAAGACTGAACACATTTTATCCTTAAATTGCCTGCTTATCTATCTATCTCTACCCCTGAGATTGTGGGTTCCCTGAGGGATAGGACACCACCTTCATTAATTCATTCAACACTATGTATTGAGTTCTGTATATGTGTTGTGTGCTGGGATACAGTGAAGAATAAGATAAGATCTCTGCACTCAAAGATCTTATGATATGGTGGTAGAGGCTGATATGTAACCAACAAGTATAAACCAGAAAGATGGGCTTACAGTATGGTTTTCCCACCTCGGCACTATTGACATTTTGGACCAGATAATTCATTGTTGTTTTAGAGTATCCTTTGCCTCATGGGATGTTTAGCAGTATCCCATTGCCAGATTCCACTTCTCCTCACTTTGCCCCCACTTCACCACTGAGAATTACTCATTCTCTTATGGCTAGACACAAGGCATCATGGGAAGAGCACTTAACCCATACTTGGGTGGAGTTTTATTAATCCTTCATCCTCAACATCTAGTTGATGCTTACTAAATGCTTGATGAATAAATGCAACACATAGTAATCACGCTACCTGTCAGGATTTTTGGAATGAAGTTTAGTAAACTATGGGAAAGTTTAAATGTGAGGCCACAGGCAAAATGTGGGAAATAAATTTCACTCTGTATCATTGGCCTGAATATTGTTCCCCAAAACACTCTCTCTAGCTTCAAAGGGACTTGCTCCCCAAATATTACAGGGCAGATTTTCTAGTAGTTACTTTCCTGTTAGTAAACACTGACTGTCAAGCATTTTGGCAAATACCAGGTGCCTGTAAATGTTAAATAGTCATTATAAAGCCACATAAATATTTTAGATTCCATCATCCACAGCAGGGAAAGAAAAGAGTCCAGATTCTAAGGGTGGAAAAGAAGCCCTGACATTCAGCTAATGGCTTTTACCCACCAGTGGGCCCACCTGGTAGCTTGAAATTTAGAATGTCTTAGAAATAAATATTCTTTGCAAAAGCTCATTAAATCTGACTCAATTTGGCGGCGGCATCCTGTCCCCAAGTTGGCTTTTGTATTTATGTAAATGATGACAAGAAAATTCACAACACAACCCACACATTCCTTTCACACATCCTCTGTCCTGAACCAGGTTGACATAGAACAATGAGATGGCAGAACTAACTGGCAAGATGGACCTGAACTACATGATGGTGTTTCTTGGACATCCTGAGAAATAATGAAGGGTTCAGTGAACCAACTGTGTGACTTTGGCAATTGATAACTTCTCTAGGCTTCCACTGATAAAACAGAGGGAGGACGTAGAAAGTGATGATGACTTCAAAGCTGCTCCCAGCATTCATTCTGATCCCTTTCACTCTAGTATTATATCCTTAAAGCTTCAAGAAATTGAGGGGCCGCAGCATTAATATTTATTTTGGAGATGGGAGAAAATGGAGTACAAAAATCAGCCTCTTAACGGTCTTGACATCTTTCCTTAATAGACTTCTTATCTTGAGTGTGATGAAACCTCACAATGTTCTGAGGTTGGCTCCCATGTAGAATGGACAGGTGCAAGTTAGCTGCTCAGTTTGAGCTAATTCTCAATTGTCCCTTCACCTGCGTTGTCCACTATGATGTTCTGTTGATGGAAACATGACCCAACTGATAGCCCTGGGTTTTAGATTACTAAATCTTCTGGTAATTCTCTGAAATTCTCTCCTTTTACAAAGATAAATATTCTCAGTGACTTCAGAGAGACTCATTCATGTTCTTTAGAAGCTGCAATTAATAAGATATTTTCCCTGATGGATCCGTTGTCCCCCTAATTGGAAAACTATAATTTCTTTGCTGACTCCCTGAGGTTCATTTTATTTGCAACACTCTTAAAACACACACAAAACCCAGCAGAATAGCTACATTTTTGTCTTAATATTACTGCTAAACTAAGGGAGGAAAAAAATCACACACACACACACAAACCTCCTCCCTCCTTTAATCCCATCAGGGCATGCCTTATTCTAATACTTATTAAAAATGAGAAAGCAGTCTAGGAGGCTTCTGGAGGTCTAAGTTCATAAAGTGAATATGCATAAAGTAGCAGAATATCAAGTTTTCATAATTACACCTTTTTATGCATACAGTTCCTGGAGTGAAATCGGCTTTGACTTCGGTTGATTTAATAGAACCTTTCTAATTTAAATCTATCCTGTCACTTCTACTTAGCTGTTGTTCAATTTTAAATGGCAAAAAGAGTTATTATTTTCCACTTTCACAAACCAATAAAGATTCTATACTTCTAAACAAGAGTGATGAGACAGCATTTAATTTCTGACCTCTTTCCCTAATTCAAGAGCTTTGGGAAGGGAAAGTATTTCTGTTTTGGAGAGATAAACTTTAAAATGAGAGGGCAAGCGAGGATAGAGAGACTCAGGCTTAGGCGACTATACCTAGCATAATGCCTTACTCAGAGTCAGCAGGTGTTGGATCCTTGTTGCAAGAACAATGCTTTAGACAGGACAGAAGACTTTGAATAATCTCATAGCAAAAGAGATAGTTCAGAGAGCATACAAAAAGAAGAAGAATAAGAATAAGAAGAGGAAGGAGGAGGAGGAGGAGGAGAAGGAGAAGAAAGCACAGTTAAAGGTGGAATTTTGGTGAAAATGGAGGCCTTTGGAACAATTTGATTTAGTAGGTAGCAAGACTCAATTAGAAAGATTTCGAGTTAAATCACAACT
Organism: Homo sapiens; assembly: GCF_000001405.40. Lineage (NCBI taxonomy): Eukaryota > Metazoa > Chordata > Mammalia > Primates > Hominidae > Homo > Homo sapiens. Next base: position 63,572,162 of record NC_000003.12, on the reverse strand, counting down.
GAAAGTGCCACTTGTTTTGCTGTCCCAGGACACCCAAGAAGAACACTCACACAGATGTATGGTTGCTTTGGACTGAAAGTCAAGTGGATGTGAGGGTTTGAATTTTAGTTAAAGAGCCATGTACACACACATTGGAGCTTGGAGTTCATTCCTTTGATAAGCACTTACTGAATGTCTGCTCTGTGTTGGGCTCTGTCCTGCTTAGAGCTGGTTCTTCAGGGATAGCAAAACCAGTCCTACCTTCAACGAGCTCATTTTGCTGGACAGGAAACTGATGTCTAAGCAGGAAACTGAAAGGGTGGCATTGTCCTAGGATCATAGATCTAGGCGGGGTCACCTTTGTCCAGCCAGACAATTTTTTTCTTCTGGAAAAATTTCATTAGTTTTACTTAACACTAAGCACCTTAGGAATACGTTCATGTATCATCAAATTATTATATATCAATCAAATTACTTTATATAAGCAAGAGTATAAAGTCTGGGTGAATTAGCTTTCTTTTATTCCACGTGGTAGAAAAGAAATACTGTCTTTTTATGAGCATTTAGAAATTTTCTGAATTTTGAATACAGAATATTACTAATTCCTTCCTTCTCTTTGAGGGTAATTCATAACTGAGTCTTTAAAAGGTTGGCTGTTATTCAAGAGTAAATCTCTAGTTTTCGGATTACCTATTTATCAAGTAACCTCCCTCAACCAGAAAACAGATAAGCGTTAGTAACCAGTGACTGAAAGGATGTTTTGGAAGTTTATAAATTTGAATTTGCCTTGAAAAAACACAATGATTAATACCTATTTTAAAGAGAAAGGCAAAAGTAAGGCCAAATTCCACCTTTTCAGAGAGGAACAAAGACTGCAGGGACAGCAGGTATACTATTTTTAATTTCATTTTCCTCTTACAAAATGATTAATGAGAACAAAGTGCACAACAGTAAAACTTTAAGATCCCATGGTTAGGTAGATTTCCCATACATTTTAGTACGCATGTGGAAGGGAGTATTTGAGAAGAATTAGACTCCACCATTTTAAAATAGCAAGCTGAGTCTCTTCTGAGATGAGGCGTGGTCTTGATAACATTGATGCTTATTGTGATTTTCAAAACCCTGATGTTAAACTGTAACAGTCATGATGGGTACCTCCAATATTATAGACCCAGATGTTGGAGAGTGCGTAGTCTATATTTTGGGGGGTTCTTTTATATGTTTCTATGTTTCCCTTAGAATATATATTTTCAGGAACCCAACAAATGTGTGTTGAGTAGATGAGCAAACTCAGACCCTATCCTTGATGAAGATCATTAATTTCATTTTAAATACTGCCTTTAGGGGACAATAGCTGTGTTGGAAATAATCCTTGTCCTTCAGATATTTGATATCTAGCAGGGGGGATCAGACAAAACCACATCCAATGAAAGTGCAAGGTAATAATGGATTTGCACAAAGAATGATTTTTACACAGAGCTGGGAGGTTTAGAAGAGGGAGAAATCACATATCTTTGGGGATAAGGACATGGGTAGTGAAGAAATACTTCGTGGAACAGATAGCCTGTGAGATGGGTCTTTGAAGATGAGTTGAATTTTGATAGGCTGGGAGGGAGAAGGGAGGAGGACCTTCCAGGTGGCAGGTAGCAGCTCAGTAGCTATGCAGAATAGGAATTTTTACAGTGTGATTAGGGAATGGCAAATTGTACAGTTTGACTAAAACATGGAATACCGGGGATGACGGGAGATAGCTCTGAAGAGCATGTGAACGCTTAGGAGGGCCTTGAATGCTGATGTGAGGAGAGACGTTTTATTTCTATAAGCCAGAGATACAATGGTGTAAACACAGCTCTATTTGAAATAACAGATTGGAAGAATGGAAGACTGGAGGTCGGAGACCATTCCACAGGGAGTGTCCATGAATATGCCCTAATGTCATCAATTCTTTCCTTTCCCTGGCCCCCTCACCCGCCCTGTTCCCCTAAGTGTGCCAACTCTTAATGCATGAGGGTTTCATAAAGCCCAGAATCAGCCTTCTACCAGCTATATCTTCTAATCAGGAACACAAATCCCATGTAGTTTGGTCTTAGTTTTTTCAATCTTGAATCAACTATTTACAGAATGAGTGAAACAAACAAACAAACAAACAAAGCCAATGAAAGCTGCGGAAGATGGCTTAACTTTGGGTTTGAAAGGAGCCACCAGATTTATTTAGAAGCTCCCCAAGGCCGACTGCAGCAGGCAGAGTTGGATAGACTATTACCACTTTTGCTGCTCCCTGACCATCTGCTGGGTTGCCACATACAGAACTGCGGGCATTGCAGATACCCCAGGATGCAACTTATAAAGAATTCCATTATGCTAAAAAAAAATCACATGGGATTTCTGTATGTTTGTTTTTTCTTCCATTTTTGGCCAGAGGAGCTGTTAATGGTTTTGAACTTCACTTTTTGAGTCTCAATGAGAAAGGATACTGCCAAAGCTGAGGGCATGCAGAGCCCAGCACTGGGCCTACGCTTGCGTGGCTATGCAAATTCATGCCTGTCTTGGGGATTTCTCCCTGATAATTAAAGCCTGACTTCTGCGTACTTAAACACAGCTTGAATTTAATTTGTGATGTTTCCTTAGTATCTCAAGTTTCAAAGCAAATGTTTTAATGTCAGGCTCCTTAGAACAAGTTATTTTTATTTTAGTTTTTTTATTCTCTGGGAAGAAAATTATCTTTGTAGGTCTTTTTTGGGAGATCTCTTCTACAACAGCATAAGATTTCAGGGCCTGGGGTGTAGTCAAAAGTTGGAATTCAAAATTTTCACTCAGATAAGAGGTCACAGGTTAGGGATGTATTTAATGTGGAAAAAATTAGAAACTTCTGCCTTCAAAATCAGGAAGATAATCAACTTCTGGGTTTTTATCTTAAGGAAATAATTTAAAATATGTGTAAAGTGCAAGGCTAATTGCTTATGAGAGAGAAAAATTCAAAGCCATGTAAAATTCGAAGTCCAACAATAAGAGATTGGTGAAATAATTCATTTTATCTCAATATAATGGAATATTATGCAGTCATTACAAAGGGAAACAGAGTTAAATAATACTGAATATAAAAATACTAGTAGAGTTACTTCGTCTTACTCTTTCTTGGTCCTATGAATAGATAAATAAACTGTTACTAAGCATCTACCATCTGCTTAACACCTAACCATTACACTAGACATTTGTTATTTAATCTCCATTAATACTATTTTGATGCATAGGTGCTTATAACATTTTACAGAAGAGATAGAAATTATTTAGGTCAGGATTATTTGGCGAGTATCAGAAACCTAAATCAAACCAGCAATCACATGAGGAAATTCAGCCACTGACAACCGGAAAGTCTAGAATGTGCTGGCTTCAGCTGTGGCTGAATTCAGGGCCTCAATTTCTTCTTGGTAAGCCTTTCTCTCTCCCTCTATCTTTTTCTCTCCCCTTGAGGATCTGCTTGTCTCTGCCCAGCTTTATTCTTTAAATAGACTCCTTCTACATCATGGGCAATGTGGTCACTATCAACTAGGCCCACATATACCTAGCTTAGTAACTCCATAGAAATAAGAAATTCACTTCATAGAGAAATTCAAGAGGGGACTTTGATTCCTGGCTTGAGTCACTTGACCTTATAGGTATCAAGTGAGGCACCATGATTGACCATCCGCCAGGACTATATAAGTGGGAGAGGGTGGTTCTCCCAAAGAAGGGACTTGTGTATGTCTTGCTACTGTGTCCCCCACCTGTCTTGTGCACAGCAGATGCTCAATAAGCTAATAGATATTCTTGGCTTTTTTCTCCACTTCCAGGTAAAAAATGGGGTGGCAATACAGCACTGTGGTGAAGAGCATGTCTCTGGATCACACTCAATATACAGCACTATTTAAATTACTTAACCTCTGTAAATTGGATTCAACATCTGTAAAATGGGAATAACAATAAGTGCCTTAATGGTATTTGGAGAATTAACCAATATAACTTCTATTTTATTTAATTCTTGGCCTGTGGAGTAAGTGGCAGCTCAATGGCATTTAACCTCACTTTTCCCTAGCCTCAACTGCACTTTTTTCTAAGTTCTTTTTTCCATGGTAATAATTTCACTTTTTTCAGTCTTGCAATTTCTAGATTGTCAATAGTCTACATTATTTTCTGCCCATAATGGTAACTAGCCAATTGGCTAGTGGGCCAATAGGCCACAAATAAGAAACTCATTGCAATTCAAGCTTAGCTGTCTATTTCTTGAGATAGCATATAAATTGATTAGATGTTTCTTAGATATTTGAGAACAACGTGGAAGAGCATTCTAAGTTGCAGATCTCAGACAGGTGGTGGAACAAAGGTGCGATCACTCCTTGGCCAATCACTCAAGTGTTTTCAATAACCTTGTCCCTCATAAGGGATTCAGATCAGTTTTACCTGCTATCTCTTCCTACCTGTTCCCAGGGCAAATTCTGAAGCATTTCTTTGCATGCATCTGTAACTTTGATTAGGATCCTGCTAATCAGCAATGGAAATGAAGATGTCCCCCTGCGGAAAGGGCTAACTTTGTGCCAACTGTTTGAAAGTCTAATGAACTGTGAGTATTAGAGCAAGACATTCTTAAGCTGCTGAGACCCCAATGAAGCTAAAGCTGTGTGTGTGAGTGTGTGCTTGTTCTGGATTCAAGGAAATAAATTCAGCAACTAGTAAGGATGTTTGCCATCTTGGGGGATGGGGAGGGGAAGATCTCACAACTTTCAAAAAATGATAGGAGGATGAAAGTCTGAGACTAGTTTCTCAGCTGGATGCCCCAATCAAATTTCCAAGTTTCATCCTGTTACGCTATTGTGTTCTTTACACCCTTCCACTTTTTTTCAGACTTGCCAGCTGGTGAGAGATTCAAACTTCTGTTCTCTGGAGGCTGGTTGGCTGATTTAATGGGGTAGTGCTCTCTCCCCTCTTTCCCTAAACCATGAGATCTGAGTGCCAGAGTGGTAGTGGGATAGCTGAAGGGAGGGGAACAGAGTGATGGGGAAAAGAGTGAAGCTATACATTAGGGCTGATTGCATTTGTCTATAATGACAGCAGCTTATGCTGAGTTGGGAGGCTCAGAGAACAAAAAATAATATAGAAGAACATTTGATGTAAACAGGACAATAAGAAGCCTTCCAAGCATTTCTCAAGATGAGAAAGTCAATAGAGTGTGTACCCATCCACTTGTGTTTCAGCTGATCAGTCCAATGAGATTTAATCAACACCAGTTACAGAGAAAGCAGAGTATGGATATGATGGTAGATAATCATAAAGCTGATAAAAATAATGGCTTGCATTAGTTAGCACCTGCTGAGTGCCTGGTGTTGTTCTAGTGGCTTTATGGGTAATAACCCATTTACTCTGACCAACTACTTTATAAATTAGGAAACGTTAGTCTCTTCATTTGATAGATGAAGACTCAGAAGTATAGAGAGGTTCTATAACCATCAGTCCAAAGTCATACAGATGGTAGATGGTGGTACTGAGATTTGGGCCCAGGCAGTCTGAGTCCAGAGCCCAAAATTATAACCCCTCCCTGCTAATGTCTCCCCATCACAGATTTTGCCCTCAAGGGTAATAGGAATAAAGCAGGTAGTTTGAGGCTAGGACCTAGGTTTTATTTGACTTCATGTCCCTAGCGACTGTAAGAGGGTCTGGGATCCAGTGAGGCCTACACAGCCATGATCATTATTCTTGAATCTGAAAAAGAGCTTTACCTCACCATCAAAAAGGAAACATAACATGAAATTTTGTTTCATTGAAAAACAAAAAGTAAAACCCAGCAGTATCTGAGGGCACACAAGGAAAAATCAATACAAGATGAATTAGCAAAAATAATTATGGATAGTTGTTCTTTAAATAGTAAAATATTTTTACTCCCATTTTTCCCAGATCTTTACCACTTTGGGAGTCTACCAAAATTACTTGTGGTAGCCGTAAAAGTTAAACTAGTGCCCAAGTTGCTAGGAAATATTTAATTGGCTCAAATTCCATAATTAGATATGGAGTCAGGAGCAATATAAATGCTCCTGAAGTATTCTAGAAAAACGCAAGAGTTCTTTGATGAGTAACATCTAAAACTGGATAGGGAAATGAGGTTGACAGCATTTTTCTCTCTAGGATGTCAGCTAGATCAGAAAGCAGAGCTTAGAGGAAAGAGACTATGAAGCTGAAATGTTTAGGTTGGGCTGAAGAGTGTGTTTGTGTGTGTGTTGGAGGTAGCTAAGAGAGGGGACACAAGAGGATAGAAGACAATATGACAGCCAAAAGCTAGCAGTGAGGTTCCTGGACCCAGAGGAATGAACACGGTGACAGGTAGAGAGTTCCCCATAAGTAGAATTATTCAGAGAAAAATGAAGCAACGTCTAAGCTAAAGTCAAGTGGACCTGAATTGCCTCTAGGACAGGTAACCTCCAAGATGGTGCCTCATTGCAGCATCCTCTGAAAGGGAGGAATGCTGTGTCCTCACATGGCAACACATGGATATTGGGGGTCATGGGCAGAATGCTAGGATTTGAATTTGTCCTCTTGAAAAGCCTTGTGTTGTCAATGTGATAATATTAAGAAGTAGGGCACTTAAGAGGTCATTAGACCATGAGGGCCCCTCCCTCATGAATGGGATTAAGGCCTTTTTAAAAGAGGCTTCCCACATGTTCTGCTCCGTTTCTCTTCTGCCTTCTACCACGTGAGGACGCAGTATTCCATCCTTCCAGACGATGCTGCAACAACGCACCATCTTGGAGGCAGAGGGCAGCCCTCACCAAGCAATAGAACCTGCTGGAAACTTGATCTTGGACTTTCCAGCCTCCAGAACTGTGAGAAGATTAATTTCTGTTCTTTAAAAATTACCCAGTCTCAGGTATTTTATTGTAGCAAGACAAACTTAAGACAGCGGCAGGGGGTTGAGTCAGGGGCAAAATTGTCACCTCCCTCCTCCCTCTCCATAGGACAGGAGTTGAAAACCCCTGGTCTGTCTGAGAAAGGAAGCCAAGTTTTCTCTGGGTATGCCAGGCTATGGAGTAGAAACATTTCACATTTCATTTTGTTTTAAATGAAAAAGAAAACATATAGGAAAGACACACTGGGGCTTTGCTAAGTTTCTGCAAGATCTTGATTTTCTAACTGAATGAGGAATTCCCTGGAATGTAAGGAAATGTGACAAACGTGGATGGGGTTGGGACAGACATTTTCCACCAGCCCACCAAAGGCACAGACTCCAGCAAAGGACAAGAAAAGCTGTGGGCTCTGGAAGAAGCATGAATTCTTTAAGCAGTTCACTGCCTTTATTAAGGCTACAGAACTACAGCTCATCTTTTTATTAAAGTAGCTAATTCGAGAAATGTGGTACCAAATACAGTGGGAATGAACCTTCATTTAAATTGTAATTAAGAATTCACTAATCGTTAAAAAGCTGAAAAAGAGCTGAGGATGTGAGATCCGATAAAACATCTAGAAAGCACACCGGGAAAATTTTGAATGGATTAATGTATTTGCCTTCATCTGTGCTGCCAATTCTGAGAGAAATGTACTTGATGCAAAATTTATAGTGGTTTAGATTATGAGTTCATTTAAGGTGAAGTCCATACATTTTTGCATTATCGACACTTCTTATCTCAGAGAGTGAGGAGGTGAGACACACACACACACACACACACCGGCTGGGCACGGTGGCTCACACCTGCAATCCCAGCACTTTGGGAGGCTGAGGCAGGTGGATCGCAAGGTCAGGAGTTTGGGACCAGCCTGGCCAACATGGTGAAACCCCGTCTCTACTAAAAATACAAAAATTAGCTGGGCATGGTGGTGCACCCCTGTAATCTCAGCTACTGGGGAGGCTGAGGCAGGAGAATGGCTTGAATCCAGGAGGCAGTGGTTGCAGTGAGCCGAGATCGACTGTGCCACTGCACTCCAGGCTGGATGACAGAGCAAGACTCTGTCTCAAAAAAAAAAAAAAAGAAAGACACACACACACCCCACCCACCCCACAAATCAGTGTCAGATTCTGATAGGTGTGTCTATGACTAACAACATACATACACACTTTTGGGGCTTCAAATGATATTATGTTTATCATCAAATACACTGTTCCTGGGGTAGAACTTCAAAAACAAGGTCCTTCATTTGCCTTGCTCACCAACCTCAAGATGCTCTCGAGTTGTCTTTTTTTTTTTTTTTTCCATATTTGAGAGTATTTATTAAAATGCAGTTTATAGGAGTTTTCTAGCAGTAAATATTTGTTTTTATTTTTATTTTTTATTTTTTTATTATACTTTATGACAAGTCCACAGCACAGAGACCTGAAAAGGGCATGCCCTCACTTCTAGGCAAGATTATGCACCTCCTCCTCTAGGTTACCAAAGCCTGTCTACATACCCCTAGCAAGCCATTTGTAGGAGAGTTATAATGATTTAATGATTCAATAATGTTCCTCAGCAGACTAAATGCTTTTAATTCACCCATAAATACATGTTTCTTGGCCTGTTGAAGACACTTATTACCTATTAAAATAAAATAGACATGAAATGGAACTGACATAAACAGGAGAGAGGAGAATGGGGAGAGAAAAGAGGAGAGAAGAGGAAAGGAGAAGAAGACAGAGGGGAATTGGGGAGAGGGAGAGAGGGAAGGGGAGAAGAGAGAGCACTTTCTCAGCAATTTCTGTATAGCTCAGAGACTGCAAAATCTGATTTCTGTATCTAATTATACTCAAACAAAGGTGTAGCTGGTGGGAAAGAGCATTTGATTATTTGAGCATCCAGCTCCATATCTCTTTGTTATTTTCTTCCCTTAGTGATGGCCCCAGCCTGTAGTTCAAAACAAGAAACCTTATTTTGTTTGGGGAAATTTAAAGTCTACCTCCCAGTCATCTAATGGAGTGGGATTCAAGAAACACAAAGGTTAATTGGATGGTTCAACCTAGCAATTGTGATCTTACAAGTAGTCCTGAGTTAAGCTCTATCCTTGGCGACTTGGGGATAAGAAGGTGCATGGGATAGAAGGACTGGAGGAAGACAGAACTGTGAAAGCAGCAGTCAATCAAAGGAAAGTGCCTCCAATTTTCCTTTGTGGGACTAAGGAACTACCCAGTAATGGACAGGAGAATAATTAAAATTAATGATAATAATAGTGCTACAATCAGATACCATTAATTTATCACTTACTGTGTGCCTTTCCCTGTGTAAAGTGCTTTTCAGGCATTAACTCTTCCTTTCCTTACTGCACTCATGTGATGTGCACATTATTATTAACACTATTCTATACGTGAAGTAACAGCTTCCACCTGTTAAATAATATTTCACACAAGAAGATTAAAATCCAGCACCCCATAAATTAGCCACTACCCTGAAGATCACTGGACTAAGAGTTTGTGTCTTTGTTCTGCTATTAACTTCTTCTCTGATACAAGCAAGGTTTCTAATATCCTGGACTTATTTTCCAATGTCTAGCGCTCACTAAAGAGGAATTAAATTGAATCTGTAGAATAGGGTTAATTCTCATTGCACTACGTCTCTCCCAGGATTGTTTTGAGGCTAGATGGGGAAATAGGAAAATATTTGGAAGGCACTGGTCATGAAACCAAGGTGAGCCGTGATACCACTGTTTGCCTGCCATCAGTAAACACTCCTGGTCCCATAAACTGCCTTGGGTCAACCTGGTCTCCTTTATGGGAGGAGAGTTTGAATAACATAGCCTCTGTCTTTTACACAAAATCTTAAGGTGGATATCAAGCTTCTTCCTAATTCCCAGAGAAGTTATTTTAAGCCAAACGTCTTGCAATACAGATTCACTGAAACATGAGATGGTATTTATTAATGTACTCATTCTTAGAGCATTCAAGCATTCTGTCAGTCTTGTAAGATAAGTTGCTTTTAAAAATCTGCTTTACATTAATATTGGAAGAAAACTAAATCCTCATTATTTGACTTGAGATCTGAAAATGGCTCAGAACATCCTGTCACAGTAACCTAGGCAGGAGATTGGCTTTTAAAACTATAAGGAACATGACAAAATGATATAACCTGATATGACATTTCAATTTCACAATTATGCACCATTCACACGGACATTTCTGCTTTCTGAGAGCTGATATTTATTTATCTGTACATGAAGACACTTACTGTAGTGACATACAGTAGCTGGCTGATTTCTTTGGCCCAATTTTCTAACTATTATATCATTCAGCATCATTAACAATTGTGTTACTTCTAAAGGCATTCAGATTCTCATTTTTACTTAAAGGTGGGCAATCTTGTCATACATATTCAGTAGAAAAAATTTTTTCAGTAGCCATTGATAAACTTGGCTCAAGTCTGTCTGAAATTGCTCACAACTGCTTGGAAATGCATAGGAACAAATCCTGGTAATCTGTGATTCACAATACACATTTATCCTGGCCATTTTAAAATTTGTTTTCTCTCATTGGTATCTTCTATTTGCAAGTCAGATAAATGGCACTTAGAAGCAGAACCCTCTAGTAGTTCTAGTACGACAGATGCATGGCTGTCATTCCATATCTCCAGATGGATTCTGGAGGCAAATAAAATAAAATCCTCTATGACAGTCAAATGAGCAAAAGAGCCTAGGGATTATGAGCTTGATTTATTTGCTTCTAGAGTAAAACAATACCAATTTGTCTTACCTATCTCCACCTCTCTAACTTCTGTAGCACATTGGCTATCAGGATCTTGGGCCTCTTGCATGGTGATTATGAATTGAGCTCTGGATTTCAACCCACACTCTGAACCTTCTGCCTATAAGTGATGCAACCAGGGAGAGAGAGTTGGTAACTGCTCTAAGCTTCCCTTCTCTCATCTATAAATGTGAATAATAATATAAACTAGGGTTGTCTTGAGTATTAAATTAGCTCATCACATAGTAGAAACCCAATCAATATCGGTTGATGTTATTGTTATTATCGTCCTTGTCACTTCCCTACAACATTAACTTTATTTGTGCAGGATGTATAATGTCATGTCCCAGAGGACTATAAATTGAGATGAAAATTTGTTAATTTTTTGGATGTGAACTACCTTGGAAGGGTATCGGATTTCTTAAACTGCTTGAATTAGTTTATGTTCACCTGATACAGCAATTTTGTAGTTTCATGTTCAAAGTTTGACTTGAAGAATCACAAATTACATAAATTTTTTTTAAAGTGTGTGTTTGGTTAGAAACAAAATAATGACAAAAAATAGATGGCAACCAAAATGAAGTTGCCCAAATAATGATCAGTAGTTGATATGGTTAGGCTTTGTGTCCCCACCCAAATCTCATCTTGAATTGTAATCCCCAGGTCTTGAGGGAGAGACCTGGTGGGAGGTGATTGGATCATGGGGGTGGTTCCCCCCCTGCTGTTCTCATGATAGTGAGTGAGTTCTCATGAGATCTGACGGTTTTATAAGTGTTTGGTAGTTCCTCACTTGCTCACTTCTTCTCTCTTTGTCTGCCCTATGAAGAGGTGCCTTCCACCATGATCGTAAATTTCCTGAGGCCTCCCCAGCCATACGGAACTGTGAGTTAATTAAACCTCTTTTCTTTAGAAATTACCTAATCTCAGGCCATTCTTTAAAGCAGTGTGAGAATGGACTAATACAGTAGCCATCTTTGTGAATAAAGAGGATGGGTTTTAAACAAGCAAAATTATTGTGAACACTTGAACAAATGCTTTTCTAGTATTTGAAAGTTTTCTTAAGTAGGCACTACCCTCTTGAGACCTTGCTCCTACTGTGAATTCGCTTAAACCTGCTCTTCACAAATGGTGTCATAGCACCCCTTACTTCCCCAATCACAGCTTCATCATGGTGGGATTTGAATCGATGTGGTTTGCTCTTTGCAGTTATAATGGCATCCTGCTGATCTACATGCAATCTGCCTCTGTGACTCCTATGATTCAGGCTCATCTTTAAATTAACTTTATCTGCCAAGTAATGAGCACTTCAGTTTTTTAATATTAAAGAAGTTTCATCTAGGAGACTTTTCTTTTTTGATTACTAGAATTATCTCTCTCTGTTCCTTCCTCCCACGACATAATGAAACAAAACCTACCATTGTATTATACAATTCAGGATTTCATCATATCTTGCTTGATGGGAAAGACTGTTTACACAGAGATAAAGCAGCATGCCTTTACAAGATCATTTTATATGAGTAGAATGTGGTTTTATATAACGAAATAGTTTTTTTCCCACTTTATGTGTGGATTAGCTGTATCAACTTTTTCTGTTTAGAAGTCAGGATATTTCCTCAGGCTTAAAAGTCCTGTGAGCATGTTTACATGGATCCAGAAATAAACATGCATGCTGGATTTATGGTATATGCATTACAATCTCTTAGGTATGTCCATCTGTACATCATGGTGGGGATAAGCCCAAGTTTGGTGACTCTGTTAAAGATATTTTGAAATCATTTAGACTATTAACTGAAATTTGAGATAGAAAAAAAAAAAAACACTTGCCCAAAGTTTCAAATTCTGTTTTGTTACTCTTTTTTTAAGTTAACATATTAAAGTGTTGCACACCTGAACATTTTCTAGTCCTTTCAAACTTAACAAATTTCTAAAAACAGAGAATTCTCCCAGTTATCCTTCAAAATTTATTGTTTTAAGGTTCAGATCTCTATAATAGGGATTTGTGAAATTTATTTTACTCACATACTCCCTAAAATAATTTTTAAAAACTATGTCCCTACTTGTATAAAGTTGGCATCTAATTTTGTTTTTATTGAAAGTTCAAACAGTTGCAAATAAAGTAATTTCTGGCATATTAAATGTATTAGGCTGGGCATGGTGGCTCACGCCTGTAATCCCAACATTTTGGGAGGCCAAGGCTGCTAGATTGCTTGAGTCCAGGAGCTCAAGACCAGCCTGGGCAACATGGTAAAATCCTGTCTGTACCAAAAAATACAAAAAATTAGCTGAGTGTGGTGGTGTGCGCCTATAGTCCCTGCTACTTGGGAGCTTGGGGGGCTGAGGTGGGAAGATCATTTGAACCCAGGAGGTGAAGGTTGAAGTGAGCCGAGATCGCTCCACTACACAGCAGCCTGGGTGACAGTAAGATCCTGTCTCAAAAAAAAAAAAAAAAAGAAAGTATTGATATTTAAAAATAAAATTATTGTATCAATTTTTAAATGTATCAATGGAACAGTTACTTGATATTCTGTTATAATGAACAGATATTATCTTATAATTAACAAGTTATTTAACAGGTAGAAATTTTACATCTTCCTTTTGTTCTCCTTGAATTTGTATTTTTATTATACTTCCCTCACAGAATTATAGCACAATATAATTTTTTTTTTCTGGAAAGCATATTATTAATTACCCTATTATATATTTTTTGCAACAAAAATATTTATACACATTTAAATTAACTGTTTAATTATTTGTGATCCTAAGACTTTAAGTATTACATTTCTTTTGGGTTGAGTGATCACTACAAGTATTATTAATGCATAATTTTTCAAAACAACAAAAATATGTTATAAACTTAATATGTAATTATTAAATTTTAAAAATAGCCAGGTAGAGTGGCTTATGCCTGTAATCTCAGCACTTTGGGAGGCCGAGGCGGGAGGATAACCTGAGTCCAGAAGTTTGAGACCCTGTCTCTGCAAAAAATATGATGAAACCTTGTCTCTGCAAAAAACACAAAAACTAGCTGGGTGTGGTGGCATGCACCTGTTGTCCCAGCTACTTGGGAGGCTGAGGTGGGAGGATCATCTGAGCCTAGGAGGTGGAGTGAGCTGTGATTACGCCACTGCATGCCAGCCTGGGTGGTGGCATGAGACTCTGCCTCAATAAAATAAAACAAAAAGTAAAAATTTTATTGAAAATTTACAATTCTTAGATGAATAGGCTGTGTTAGTCCATTTTGTATGGCTATAACACAATACCTGAGACTGGGTAATTTATAAAGAAAAGAGGTTTATTTAGCACATAGTCTACAGGCTGGGAAGTTTAAGATTGGACAGCCACATCTGGTGGCTTGTGGTGAGGGCCTTGTGCTGTGTCAAAACATAGCAGAGAAATGAAAGAGGAACTGGGTATGTGGGAAAAGGGATAGAAGACAAAAGAGGCTGACTCAATTTATAACAACCTGCTCTCACAAGAACTAATACAGTCTTATGAGAACTAATGCAGTCTCTCAAGAAAGACATTAACTCATCTTAGTTATCTAACCAGCTTTAAAAAGCACTGCCTCCTAACACTGCCACATTGAAGACCAACTTTCAACATGAGTTTTGGTGGGGGATAAACTGTATTCAAACCATAGCAGTTAATATATACTTTTTTTGATAAACATTATTTATTTATAGAATAGTACATGATTCAGCATAAATTTCATTTCCATTTTTCCTTTTTTAGATGTAAATGCTGAGAAAGCTTGCTTGCATAAATGAAAACAAATGGAGTTTTGTTATAGCAATACCATTTATGACTTTCTTTTTGAGTTATATGTCCCACATCGCATAGTAACATGTCACCGAAAATTATTTTTTAATGATCAATCAACTGATAAGCATATTAGAGTTTTTAATTTTATTGAAAGCCAAAAAATAGTAAACCTCCTTATATCCAAAAAAGTATATTAGTCAGGCATCAGAATCACTTTTGTCAACACCAGCACCAATATTTCAATGGTCCCCTTTTCAGTGTCCCAAATGTTTTATATTCTGTAAATGTACTGTGTAGTAAGACTTGAGTTGGTAAATAAGGATACTTTTCTTTTCTAAAATGGGAGTAGTTGATTAAGAAAGATGACAGTAAAATATTTTAGATACAGGGCATTCTCGGGAAGATAGAGTTTGGGCAAATGCACATGTAAAGGGTGAAATTTAAAATTATTTCCTTAAAATTATCTATGCCTAGGTACCCTCTTAGAGGTTTTGTGTCCCCCTAGGTGTATGTGTGTTTATGTTTAGAAATGCTGGGCTATATTGATTTCACTCATATGAGTCCTTGGACCATTGTACGAGGCAACAGAAAGTGAGGTGTAGGGTAAGGAATTGGTAGGAAAAAGACATAGATAGATAGATATACAGAGATGAAGAACTCCATTTTCAAACTAAACAATTATTAATATATGATCATCCTATAATATAACTCCACAATGCTGGAATTATAAATAAATCTACAGCAAGCTTCACTGCTCTTTCCTTGATCTCATGAGATTTCTAATCATTTATTTCAGAGGGGTTTCTAGCAAGTTGGGTGATACTTTCCCAGCCCAGGAGCACAAGAGATTGACAGACATCAGTTTTTGTTGTGGCTTCGAGAGATTTGGATAAAAAAGAATGTGATTTCCTTTCAAACACCTAACCCGAGGGCTCAGGTAACTCCAAAGTCCTTCAAGCATTAGTAAAAGAAATTAGAAGGAACAGAAAAAGTTATTTGAAAAAGAAAACCACTTACAATGAGTGGGCCCCGGTTGTTTTCCCGGTATTTGTTCTGGAAGAAAATGTAAACGACAGTGGCAGCCAAAGAGTAGAGGAAGGCGAAGACAGCAACAGTGACGAAGAACTCTGCTGAAGACGAGGAGTCACCAATCAATGCCAGCTTCTGCCGTTCCTTTCCCTCGCAGGTGGGCACCTCAAACGTCACCTGGTGCAACCTAAATTGCCAGATTTAAGGAGACATTCTTTAAATGCAATGGAGACAAAAATACATGACTTGTGTCTACATCTTCTAAAGCAAAATGGGATGTGATCTGGGAGTTTTAGTGCATGCCTATGTAACATATTCATTAAGAAATTTACAGACATTATAGCTAGAAATGTGGAAATCAATATTGCAGCTAATCATCATTCAACTGGTTATCATAACAGCTAGTCACCCTTAGGTAGAGAGGAGGAAGGAAGGGGAAAGGGAACCTGAAATCATGATAAATTAGACAACGACATCCCCCTGCTGAAATTCTTCAGTGCTTCCTCTCTTTAACAGGGCTCGCCAGGCCTTACCTTGGTGCCCCTAACTGTATCTCCAGACTCCTCCCCTGCTGCTCTGTCCTCCATCACCCTGTTTCAACTACATTGGCCTGCTTTCTGTTTCTCAGTTATGACAAACATGGTCCTGTCTCCAGGTCTTGTTGTTGACTGTTCTCTTTTCCTAAATCACTCTGCCCCCTGACATTTCCCATGGCTGCCTCCTTGGCATTCAGACATCAGCTCAACATCTCCTGAGAGATGAGAGCCTTTTCCTGCCATTAATCAAAAGGAGCTCCTTTCCTTTAGGCATTTGCTATTACATCACTCTATTTAATGTCATTCGTAGCACTCATTAGCAGATAAAGCTGTCTTGGTAATGAATTTGATTACTTTTTTTTTCAGTCCCACTGACCACTCAACTGTGAATATCATTTCTCCATGATAGTGGGAATCTTGGTTTTCTTTTTTTCTGTGATCCCAAACACCTGACATTTTTTAGGCACTGAGTAAATAGTACTTGGATAAATGAATGCACATTCTTGGTTCTGTAAGATGACTGATAGATCATAATTTGATTGAACTTTTATAACTTCTATTTTAGTGAGTAAACTCTATCAGGATAGCATCCAGGCTCAATAAATTACTGGATACAGACAAAATAAGATGCTTTGGGCAATACTTTCAGCTCAGTAAGTAACACCTAAGGAAGATGTGTTATATCCAATATAGTAGCTCAGGGTGTGAACTGGAACTAAGTCGTGAACTATAATTTAATATAGAGGCCAAAATTTTTCTTCAGAAATGATAATTAGGGAGGCACTTGCAAAAAGATATGACTGAGGCTTATTTATGACCATAAAGTGCCACTTGGAAAATTATCTATAAAAGTAACAGTGATGATAAAGCCATTCACGAACCTCATAAATTCCAACTTATACTTAGGAAGTATTTTTCTTACTAAACAAAACTCAATCCCTTTAAAACGGATCTGTTAGATGTCCTAGCCAGAGCGCTCAGGCAAGTGAAAAAAATAAAAGGCATCCAAATAGGAAAAGAAGTCAAACTATCTCTCTTCACTGATGATATAATTTTCTGTCTAGAAAATTCTAAATAATCTGCTAAAAGCCTACTAAAACTGATAAACAATTTTAGTAAGTTTTTGATATAAAATCAGGGTACAAAAATCAGTAGCATTTCTATACACCAATAATGTCCAGGCTGAGAGTCAAATCAAGAGCACAATCTCATTTACCATAGCCACAAAGAAAATAAAATACCTAGGAATGCAGCTAACCAAGGAGGTGAAAGATCTCTACAAGGAGAACTATAAAACTCTGCTGAAAGAAATCAGAGATGACACAAATAAATGGAAATACTTTCCATGTTCATGGATTGGAAGAATCAGTATCACTAAAATAGCCCTATTGCCCAGAGCAACTTACAGATTAAATTCTATTCCTATCAAACTACCAATGTCATTCTTCACAGAATTAAAAAAAAAACTATTCTAAAATTCATATGGAACCCAAAAAAAGAGCCTGAATAGCCAAAACAGTCTTAAGCAAAAGGAACAAAGCTGGAGACATCACAATACCCAATTTCAAACTATACCACAAGGCTAGAGCAACCAAAACAGCATGGTACTAGTACAAAACAGACACATAGACCAATGGAACAGGATAAAAAACTCAGAAATAAAACCATACACTTATAACCGTCTGATCTTTGACAAGGCTGACAAAAACAAGCAATAGAAAAAGAACTCCCTACTCAGTACATGGTGCTGGGATAAATGGCTAGCCATATGAAGAAGAATGAAACTGGACCCTTACCTTTCACCATATAAAAAAATTAACTCAAGACGGATTACAGATATAAATGTAAGACCTCAAACTCCTGGAAGAAAACCTAGGAAATGCCCTTCTCAACATTGGCCTTGGCAAATAATTTTTGGCTAAGTCCCCAAAAGCAAATGCAACAAAAACAAAAATTGGTAAGTGGGACCTAATTAAGCTGAAGAGTTTCTGCACAGGAAAATAAACTATGAAAAGACCTACAGGACGGGAGAAAATATTCACAAATTATGTATCTGACAAAGGTCTAATATCCATAACCTATAAAGAACTTAAACAAATCAACAAGCAAGAAATGAACAGCCCCCACTAAAAATGAGCAAAAGATGTAGACACTTCTCAAAAAAAGACATAGGGCTGGGCATGGTGGCTCACGCCTGTAATCCCAGCACTTTGGGAGGCCAAGACGGGGTGGATCACCTGAGGTTGGGAGATCGAGACCAGCCTGACCAACATGGAGAAACCCCATCTCTACTAAAAATATAAAATTAGACGGGCATGGTGGCGCATGCCTGTAATCCCAGCTACTCGGGAGGCTGAGGCAGGAGAATCACTTGAACCTAGGAGGCGGAGGTTGCGATGAGCCGAGATCGCGCCATTGCACTCCAGCCTGGGCAACAAGAGCGAAACTCCGTCTCAAAAAAACAAAACAAACAAACAAAAAAGACATAGAAGTGGCCAAAAAAATATTAAAAAATACTCATCTTCACTAATCATCAGAGAAATGCAAATCAAAACCATGATGAGATAATATCTCACACCAGTCAGGGTGGCTATTCTTAAAAAGTCAAAACCAACAGATGCTGACAAGACTGCAGAGAAAAGGGAACACTTATGCACTTAGCCACCATGGAAAGCATTTTGGAGATTTCTCAAATAACTTAAAACAGAGCTACTCTTTGACCCAGCAATCCCAGTACTGGGTATATACCCAAAGGAAAATAGATCATTATACCAAAAAGACCCATGCACTTGCATGTTCATGGCCATGCTACTCACAATAGCACAGACACAGAATCAACTCAGGTGCCCATCAATGGTTGATTACATAGAGAAAATGTGGCACATATACCCCACGGAATACTATGTAGCTATAAAAAAAGAATGAAATTATGTCATTTGCAGTAACATGAATGGAGTTGGAGGCCATAATCCTAAGCAAACTAAGGCAGGGGCAGAAAACCAAATATGCATGTTCTTGCTTATCAGTGGGAGCTAAACATGAAGCACACACAGACGTAAACATGGGAACAACAGACACTGTGGAGTACTAGAGTAGGGAGGCAAGAGGACATGGGTTGAAAAGCTACTTATTGGGTGCTATGCTCACTGCCTGGGTGCAATATTCCCATGTAACACACCTGCACATGTACCCCCATATCTAAAATAAAAGTTGAAATAGAAAAAAAAACCAACAGATTTGTTGTGCACATCATCTTCCAATTAAGATAATAATGTTAATAACATAATAATGGGAATTAACATATTGGGGCATTTCTTATGGGCCAGAAACTAAGGCTTAGAAAGATTAAGTAATTCGTTCTAAGCCACATAGTAAATGTCAGTCCAGGGGTTTAAATCTGCATCAAACTCCAGAGCCTGATTTTTAAACTTCTACATTGACTTGTTTATGTTAAATAATAAGGACATTAACTAGGATATATATATTTTTAAAGTGAAGCTCATGGACCACTGGCGTTAGAATTACTAGGGACTATGTTTAAAATGCATATTCCTGGGCCCCATCTCAGATCTACTGAATTGAAACCTCTAGAGGTATGCTTAGCTCACAGCTAAAGCAGGAAAATCCAGTCCCCTTAAGTTCCTTATTTCTCAAGTCCATTTGTTTTTGCTTGTATATATTGCACTTTCCCACAAAAATCCTTTTTCTTAACAAACATAAATGTGTACAGCTCCAACAAAATTCAGGACAACAGAAGCATTCATTATGGTTATATCATAGAGCCCCTTTCCTACCCTTGCCAGTGATATTAGAATCTTCCTCAATAGTTTTGTCTGTAGAAATACTGAAAAATGAAATGGATTTAAAGGTAATCATGTCAATTATTCTGACACAGGTGATTTTCAGATAATACACACTTTTTCTCATTATTTAAAAAAAGTGGCATTGACTTAATACACTTTCAACAACTTTATAGTTCACATAATAGCCAGATGCGGCCGGGTGCGGTGGCTCATGCCTGTAATCACAGCACTTTGGGAGGCCGAGGCAGGCAGACTGCCTGAGGTCAGGAGTTCGAGACCAGCCTGACCAACATGGTGAAACCTCGTCTCTATTAAAAATACAAAAATTAGCCAGACATGGTGGCGGGCACCTGTAATCCCAGCTACTCGGGAGGCTGAGGCAGGAGAATCACTTGAACCCGGGAGGCAGAGGTTGCAGCGAGCCAAAACCAGGCCATTGCACCTCAGCCTGGACAACAAGAGCCAAGCTCCGTCTCAAATAAATAAATAAATAAATAAATAAATAAATAAATAAATAAATAGCTAGATGCTGGGGCTAGAGTGGGGAATAAAGAAGAGATGGAATGGTGCCTGTCCATGTTGAACTTAAAGTTTAGAGAGAAAGGATGGGTTTTCTGAGAGGAATCTGAGGCTAGTTTGAGGGTGGGGTAGCCAAGGTAAGATTCCCTATGGAAGTGACTTTTAGGCTGGAGATTTAAAGATAATAGGAATTACCCAGATGAAAAGTTAAGAAAGAAAGCACAATGAGATACTACTTCACATCCACTAGGGTGGCTATAAAAAGAAAGAGTATAAGATTGGAATTATAAGTGTTGGTAAGGATGCAGAGAAATTGGAACTTTCATGTTTGCTGGGGAGAATGTAAAATGATGCAGCCACTTTGGAAAACAGTCTGGCAGTTTTTCAGGTGGTTAAATATAGAGTTATCATATGACTCCATTCCAGCAATTCCACTCCTAGATACATACCCAAGAGAAATGATAACATTTGTCTACACAAAATCTTGTACAAGAGTGTTCACAGCAGCATTATTCATAATAGCCAAACAGGAGAAACAACTGCAATGTCTATTAACTGACGAATGAATAAATAAGATGTAGTTTATTCATACAAAAGAATATTATTTGTCAAAAAAGTAAAGTACTGATACATGCTACAATATGGATAAGCCTTGAAAACATTATGCTCAGTGAAAGAAGCTAGTCACAAAAGACCACATATTCTATGATTCCATTTCTATAAAGTGTTTAGAATAGGTAAATCTATGGAGACAAAAGCAGGTTAGTGTTTGCTTAGGACTGGGTGGAGGATGGGAGAATTGTACAGTTTAAATGGGCAAATTGTATGGTATGTGAATTATGTCCCGATAAAGCTTAGAAAACAGGAAAGAACACGTACCAAGCTCCTGTATAGGCAAAGGGCGTAACACATGGGGGAATAAAATGTGGCCTGGAAAACTGGAAGATGGTGGGAAAGGGAATGGTGGTGCAGGATGGGGTGGAAAAGTAGCTGGGGGCCCCCATTGTGGGGTCTTCTTGGCCAGGTGGCCAAATTATAGATTTTGGCTTTAATCTTGAGACAAAGATCAGAAAGATCTTCTTAGAATAAACCATATGTAAAACAAAAACACATGTCACCTGTTGCAATTATCTGCGCTTGATAGTTTCCAGGTGCCAGGCTGCACCCCAGGATCAGCATGTCTCCAATGCACCTGTTCCTTCAGCTGACATGCACAAACTAGGTCTGCAATCTTTGTGTGTGGTGGAGACAGTGGGGAGGGAGAGAATAAAATATTTTTAAAAATATGCAGTCAGCCGAATAGCAATATTTTGCCCATTGCTGACTTAGCATGTTGACTTAAAGAAATTGTTAATTGTGCTTATCTGTATAAGACAAAAAAAATTACTAAAAGACCTTATTAACACTGATGATGTATAGCTGGATATTTAGCCTACCAGCCATACTGGGTAAAATATATATATATACACACACACACACAAACACACGTGTATATACATATGTGTATATATATTTGTGTATCTATATATACACACACGTATATGTAACTGTTGCTTAAAAGAGCTTATATATAAGAACTTTATAAGTTCTTATAAGCAAAAGGCATATATGTGTATAAATACATACATATTTATTTATATATTATATATAAGTTCTTTTAAGCAACAATTATATATATGTATAAATTCATATATTTTGTATTTTGGGGGGAAAGTGTATAGTCAGCATGTGTTTTGTAGCTGTAATAACTTTGGAAGCAAATATTCATTCAGAATCTAAACAAGGAAAAACCTTTCTAAACAGAGCATGTCATTCAACAGAACCTGGATGTTGACGGGGCCACCTCTGATCTTGTGAGGAACTAGTCGGCGAGCAATTGCTGAAGCTGCAAAAGGTACCAAATTCAATTTGTTGATTTCAAATGTAAAATTCTCTTCCTGGCTTGCCCGACCCAATCAAGAGGTAATCGAATTTCACTGGGTTTAACCGCATTGTGTCTATCAATGAAAGGCCTCCATTTTAGAGTGGTTTCTTTTAAAAAAAAATATGTACCAATGTTTAAATGGAGTCATTTAAAACATTTCACTGATGCTTCAATTGGGTTAAAGAAAATATTGAGTCCCCATAGTTTTTAGTTACGTTTGTAGGGTCTGGAGTAATATTAAATGCAACTATCCTTTCAGGGGACTGGAGCAAGACAAGTGGCATTGCTTTATTGATAGAAATGTTTGTAATAACAACCACCAACATTTTTCAACCTAGGCATTGTGCTAGGTTCTTTACCTACTTGTATCTCATTTAATGCTCATAACAACTCTCTTCAGTGGGTACGATTGCTGTTACCATTTTACAGAGGAGGAAACTGAGGCTTGGAAAGAATAATGACCTTGCCTGAGGTCATGTGGCTAGAAGATGGCAGAGATGAGTCAGGAATGTAAGAAGAGTAGAAGGAGCCTACACTGGCAAGTACTGCGCATACCTGCCTCTCTTCTTTAAAAATTACAGCATCCTTAGATTTCCAGCTGAATATTTGTAAGCAAATGACCCAACCAGCTTTCCCGTGCCATCTCATCTAACGGTAGACTGATAGTCTGTACTGAATAGGATTCTAAACCAATGTTCATTCTGCTACCACCTTGAAGTATGTGAATTAGGCATTGTACAAGGTACCCAGCAGTGATAGAGTTGAATCCCTGTAGACTGACCGATAGAAAGCCATTAAAAACTTGCTAATTTCCAAATCTTGTCCTGGGTTATTCTAACATTTGCCTCAGAAACAAGTAAAGGGTAAATGAACCTGACTATGCCATGTTGTGAAATTGTGATAATTGTGGTGTGATTTTTTAATAGAAAGTGAGACATTAGGTAAAACAAAGCACAGATTTATCTTTAGGTAGCACCACACTATTATGGTCATCTGATAATAAGACCTTTGAAATTATTGACAAAACCTTTTACCCGGTGTGGAAGGAAACAGGACTAAAGCTCCTACCAATACATTTGGCGGTGGTTCAGTGCAAGACAGAAATGACATGTCCCAAGGGCAGTGATCCAGCCCAGGAGCAAATGTGGGAAGGATTAAGGTGTGGGGGAGCAGGCTGCTGTCATTGAATTTCTGGTAGCTGGAATTCAAGATCAGAGGGCAATTGGCAAATTGTAGTGCTGAGTACGTTTTCTCTTTACGTGATTATTTTTGATAGGCCCTGTTTCAATTCTGTTTACCAGTCGACAGGAACTTTAATCCTTTTGCTCCATTTTTATCCCTCTCTTCCCTATATGAAATATTGGCACTTATCTGCTTTTAGATTGCGTTGTCTTTAGCTAGCCATATGTATGTGTATGTGTGTAATAAGTGTGTTTGTGTGTGCATTTACAGATGCACACATACACTCTTACTTACTCAGCTTATGTGATTCACAACATAAACCACTACAAAATCCTGAAAATTTATGTAGCACTTTCACACACTGCATCTCATTTTTCCCCCCAAGTAGCCCCCCAACATTATGCAGATAGGGAAGTTGGAGCTCAGCTATCTCAAAAGAATCACTAAAGATCACCTGTTGGCACAGAGTAGTGGAAAACTTAGCACTCAGGCTTTCTGATACCAGCTCTTAGTTGTTTTACTTATGACCCAAATTTCATTTCCACGTTTTCCAAGCCACTGACTTCTCCATTATGCTCAAGTCATTCATTCATTCAGTAAAGATTTATTGAACTTCATGTGCCAGTCATTAGAAACAGATGGGGAGACAATGAACTATGGGGAATGAGAGTGCAGATTATCTGGAAGGTTGAAAAAGACAAATCCTTCTCTGTTACTTCCACTGGTTTTCTTACTGTACCTGAAGCATGGTATTCGGTGATGCTATTTAGAATGATGATGGTGATTTCACTTCTACTGCTGGATGCCAATCAATGATTGACATTTATTGAGCATACACTAGCCCAGGCACCATGCCAAATGTTTTTGTCTGTTATCTCACTGAAACATTCAAATTTGATCAAGTGATTACTATTAAGTTATTGCATGTTAATTTTAGGAGCAAGGAGACTTTTTGAAGTAGGGCCGAGAAATGGAGTCCGTATGACCCCAAAGCTCTTGCTCTTAACCTCCCATACAAAAACAGTGCAATGTTATCAATTGTTTGTATCAATCACATATTTGGTGACTTCTTGCACCATTGAGGGCTTTTCTAATGGCCTTCTAGCAACTGACTCTCACTTGTTACTTTCAGTCCTTTCTCCATAGGACAGTTCTCATAGGATGAATATATGGGAACTGCGGCCATTGTTCCATTGCTCCACTGGCTCATGGGTGATTCCAAACTGGGCCTAAAAACTCACGTTGATTGGAATAAGATTCTCCTTTATGCCACCAGCACCTCACAAGGCACATTACGCTGTCCTCAAAATGTGGGGAGAGAGTCTGCCTTCCCAGAGTCTCAGGTTTAGGATCTATTTGGGGTAGAAAAGGCAGACAAATTCGAAGTAGGGACTGAGAACAGGCCTGGAAAATATGCACATCATGGTGAGAACTGAGAGAAGACTCCAGCAATTGGACTCAGGTTGCTTAAGTTAAGAAAAAGTTTGATGTCTTCAGTTTGCAAAGGGGGAATAGAGAGAGTAGATCTGAAATGTAAGACTCACTTGTGGAAGGTGACAAGGATCAATCTATCTAAGATATCTTTATTGAGAAAAAGGGTCATTACTAGAATTTATCCAATATCAAAGCAAACAGAAATATAAAACGATCTAGTACACACACATTTTTCTAGGAGAACCTCAGGGATTCCAGTGATGCTATTTGTTTCCAGGAAGGTCAGTGGACATTGAGATGACTGTACCTACATTCCCATATGCCAGACTCAAGAGATGAACTCCATATCTTCGGATAAATGGCATTTTCCAGGCAGCCAGAATCATTTTCCTAGACATTTCTTTCCTAACCTTGGTTGAATCAAAAACAGTTTCATCTCCAAGGCTTGCAACAACAGCATGCACGTGCTAAAAATATTTTCTTTAAAAAGAAAAAATCTAAGTGAAAGACAAAGTGCTATACTTCTGCTTTTCAACATAACAGAGGTATTTCTCCTTGATTTGGTTATGCATTAAGTGTCTTAAAGTTTATTGTCTCCATAGGAGGAACTTTTTTTTTCATAAGAGGAAATTTTCATTATTTTTTGTCCTCTCCACTTTACCATTAGAGACAATGATTTTTTTATTTTAAGGAGGGTAATAATAAATATCGAGCACAGGGAGTGAGCTAGACACTGGAAAATGCAATCAAGATTACTGCAAACAATACTCTTTTCTACACTAATAATTGTACTCAGACATGTGAAGATAAGGCTGGAAAATTACTGTTCCCCCCTCACCCCCAGCATGTAGCTCCCATTTCCATGTGCCAGAAAGATGTTTATCCAACTTATTGAAAGTGTATTGTGGTTTTAAGAATATATATGCCAGGATCTTTTCAAATTTCACTCCTCCCTACAGTTTGGATTTACACAGATAGACATTTCAACATGAAACTGTGGACTCTAAGGTGATTAAAAAGGGATGGTTTGCAAAGGCCAAGGTATGATCTGGAGTAAAAGGGAAGTAAAACCCTATGAAACCCTTACAGTGACTTGCAAAGAGGCATTGCTGTGCTCACTAAGCTATGATTTATTAATTTTGGCTCTTCAAATAGAATTTGAGTAATAGAGAACTCAGACTGCCTCTACGTTGTCAAATTAAAATAGATATTGAGGTCGTTATCTGTACATTTCAGGGAAAATCCTTTCTTCTCTCGTTTGCTTTCCCTGAGCTGTGGTACTCTACCCAAGTGAATTGTGAAACAAAAACAGTCCTAGAGTTGGTTTTTAAAAAGTTTGAATGTCCGGTTGACAACGGCTTATTCATCTATTTTATTCGGTTAGTATAGAAATGTATCAGGAATAGACAATTTAAAGTCTTTGATTAAAAGATATTTATAACATTTAGAAACATACAGGAAGGTGGCAGAAATCTGACCTTTTGTTTAGAATTTAGGTCAAATTGATTTTAATCATTAATTCAGTCAAAACGTGCTATTTATAAAAATTCAACCAATACAGGAATGTTTACAGGAGGAAAAGGTAAGGTTCTTCATAATTTAATCTCCAATATTAACAACTTAAAACACTGAAATTAAACACAATCTTTAATATACTGTTTGCTACCTAATAATATGACCTGTACATGCCTTACTTTTTCAAGGAGGATCTGCCTTATTTTTTTTAACAGTCATATAATATATGTACAGGACTATGAATTATCATATTGTGCTGTTCTGTATGTTAGGTAGTGAAGGTTCTATAATAATTTTCCCCCATCCAAGTACTAACCAGGCCCGACCCTGTTTAGCTTCTGAGATCAGGGCGTGTTCAGGGTGGTATGGCTGTAGACTATAATAATTTTCTAAATAGCCTCACGCTAGTGGACATTTTGAATTTATATACTCTGGGTCATGTTACATAAGTTTTGTTAGATTCTTATTAGGTTTCTTAATTCCCAAAATGTTAAGATTTACTAAACCCCATCACTTTGGTGACCTAGTGCTGAAAATGGAAATAAGAGCTGGGTTCTAAAAGTTTCATTGAGACTATTTTACATTTTGTCCAACATGATAAAACCAGTTGACAATTCCTCCCTCTACCCATTACTTACCTCATCTAGTCTCACACCCAATGGCGACATAGTAACGAATATTCAAGTATCAGTCCCAGCAATGAAATGTTATTTCCAGCACCCTTTCACTTCTATTTGTCTCCATTTTGTGTCCAATGGAACGCTACCCTTTCACATGTTTTTTTTTTTTCCCCTAAATCAAAGGCAATATAAAGCATCTCTGTCAATATTCAGCTATTTGACCTTGGACGAGTCTCATGTGTTTCTGAGCTTCAGATTTCTCATCTGCAAAATGGAAGAAATAAAAGCACCATATTCATAGGATTGTGTGTGTGTGTGTGTGAAGTTTGAATGAGATGATGGAGTATATTGTACTTGTCATGGTGCGTGAATGTAATTGACAATTACAGGTGCTATAATATGTGAACTGTAAGGAGTTTCAAAAGCTCACAATTAAAGGTGTAAGTCTGATTACTAAAGTTGATTTTAAAAATCCAAACTCTTTTAGAAAGTAGATTTTAAAGAACTGGAAACAGGCATATTCTATTACTATACAGTTCTGTCAAAAAGTCCCCCAATCAAGCAGTTATTTGGTCATTTTCTGTTATTGCTTACTGTCATTTCATTATTCATGTAATAACTGGCTTCACTAAATGCTCAGGGTAGGCAACTTAACAGAACTCTTGCTGGGTAGGAAATTCAATATATATGCCAGATTATAATGAAATAAATAGTAATCACTTATGCATATAGAACAAAATACAATCTCCTTTAAACCACTGAAAAGGTATTATCCTGTCGGCTTTGGAATTGTAAATTTCCAATTCTTTAGTGATTAATATCACCATAAATAAACAAATCCTTTTTGAGAAAATGTCTAAGACACAAGAAAACATTGTACATTTTATTTAACTAGGAACAGTTTGTTGAACGTATTTATCAGCTGGGGATAGGAAAAGTACCCTTTATCGTCAGCACATATAATGTCACCCGTGTCTCCAATGCTTTGCAGGTGACTGGGAGATTAATCACACAATCTTCAAGCTGTATTTGTAACATGACATGTAAGAATTCATTTTCCGCACAGCAACCAGGTATCTTTCAAAAGCATAAATCAGAGCATGCCACTCCTCTGTGTAAAGCTCTTCTCCAACGGTTTCCTCTTGTACTTAGTCATATTCAAACCCCTTAACCTGGCCCACAAAGATGGACGTCACCTGGATCATGGCCACTCCTTTGCTACCATCATGCCCACTTGCTTCTTTCTCTTACTAGAATAACGCCCCGCCACCCACCTTATTCCCAAGGTCTTTGGATTAACCTCCATATTGTCCATGGCCAGCTACATAAGGGAAGGTGATGTTTAGTGAAGTAAATTCTAGAGAGTGAAAAGCAATTAGTCAAGTACAGTGTCTAGGGCATTGAGGAAGGGTAGGGGACGAGGGCTACTTCCTGCTTATCCAAGCCAGTGTCCTGAACTTCTTTCTCCAGATAAATTACCCCAATTTGGACACTTTTTCAATGAAATGCAGTTTTATACAAAGTCTAGCAAGGGTTTGATAGGAAAGACTGGACTTTTTAATGAGGTCAATGACACTGATCTAGTCATAGAAGGGTCAAAAAAGTCTTTGTAAAAGAAAATGGTATTTAATTATTGGAAAGGGCTCAAAAACAAAAACAAAAACAAAATAACCAAAACAGCAAGCAATTCCTTTCACCCACAGATTAAGACCTATCTTCTACTGATAATTTTCCTCTTGATTAACAGAATATTTAAATAGAACAGAAGCTAAATTAAACTTCCTCTCCTGATGATTAAAAATCAATGTCTAAATCATGTGACTATATGCTACAAATAAGTCTTACAAGTAATTTAATATTCAATAATTTTGTTTGGCTTCCTAGAAATTCTTAATGCTTCTGACAACTCCAAATCAGAGATCCTCAAACTCTAGTTTGGAATGTCTGAAACTCTTTCGAGGGATGCATTAGATCAAAATTATTTTCATGATAACACTAAGATGTTGTTTGTCATTTTACTCTCACTTTCTCACAAGTGTATAGTGGAGTTTTACAGAAGCTAGATGATGTAAGAAGCAGCTATTATTCTGACAGTTCATGGAATGTGCATTTGCATATTTTTGTATTTAATAAATTTATTAGTTATGATTTCTAATATGATAAATATCTATGGATATAATCTACAAAAATAAAAAGCTCTTTGTGGTCCTTAATCATTTAAAAAATGTGGAGGGGTCTTGAAACCTCACATTTGAGAACTGCTGATCTAGATGATAAATTTTGACTTCCCTCAAATTACCTCATTTTACTTATGCCCACTTTTGGTAATTCAGGTAATATGGGATAGATGGCCTGATTCACCATTTTACATAGGTATTTCTTTTCACTTAGCAGGTATTTACTGAGTATCTCCTATATGCAAGTCATCACACTAAGCAATAGTTTTTATTGTCATCATCATTCAAAAAGTATATGGCAGGTGCTCTCTGTCCTCAGTGAGTACTGAATAAAATGCTCTTTTATCCAAACTAAAACTGCCTAGATATTCTCTATTCAACTGATTGTCCATGCCTGACTCAGAGAGGAGCCCTGTCTAAAGTTATAAATGCTCCTTGGTCTTTGACCATTTTACTTCTCCAGATTTCTCAGGCTAGAGGTAGGAAAATAGAGGTCAGACTTAGACAGCCCACTGGAGTGATTACTCAGTATAAACATTACCTCTCCAATCCTTTATCTCATTCCTAAAGGGAAGTCAGAGACTGAGGCTTAATATGGGGAATTTACAACACGAAATTTGCGAGCAGTGTTACTTATCTTAGTATCCCCAACGAAGGGGGCATCTGATGTTTTTGCTTACCTGTATGTATTGTTTATTTTCTGAACAGTTTCTTGCTTTTCAGGTTTGAAACTCAGAAGTAGATCTGATCAATTATCATGTTTTAGCCACTGCGCTTGAGGATCTAAGGCATGTATACTCAATTCTATGCCAAAATAATGAGGCCAATACAGAAGAAAACATGGGGATAAAGAGAGAGAACGAGATTCTAGTTTCTTACTGTGTCTCTAGCGCCCAGCACAGTGACTGGCACATTTGGTGCTCAAAATTTTTATTGATTCAGTTGACTTTCACCTAGCTTCTTTATAAGTGACTGGAGCATCTCAGATAAAACAATGGCTCATATAACTTTTATTTGGAATAAGCATCAGCTGTGGAAATACCCACTGGCACCTCAAAGTTTGATAAAATCCATTTCTTCTCTGTCTTTCCTCTTTTTGCTGCTACCTCGTGCCTCTATTTTTAGCTTGTTATTTTCATCCCAAGTGCCCTCTTGAGAAGACAGTTGTTTTATATCAGGACACTGGATACTGCATGATTGAAAAGCATTCTTTTCTGAAATTAATTTTAGTTTTGCTTTTTCTATGTTTAGCTTCTCTGGGCTCCTAAACCTTGTGAAAGAAATTTCACATGTGGGCAGCCTATGCCAATATTCATAGTCTGGATTTCAAGCCGAGGAATATGAACTAAAGAAGACTAAGTGAGTGAGTGGGAAGGGAAATAATTTTATAAAAAGAGGATTATATTAGCAGGATTTAGTACGCAATAGATTGGCTCCTTTAATGAAGAAAAAATTCACCCTAAGTTAAGATTTCCATCTTAAATCTATGTAACTATTCCAGAACTCCCCCTACTATTCAGTGGGTCTGATGGCCTGTGATAACTCAGGTCAATAGAAAGAACTGGTGCATTTTGCTGTCCCGGAGAATGACTAAGGTCAATAGATTGTAATTCTGAAACTGTGGTTGGTTGAGTCTTATAAGAAGCCATGTTAAGAAAATGAAATTTGGTTACCTAATCAAACTCCCTTCTACCATGTGCAATTAGAGGAATGTCTTCTGAGAAATTTGAGGTAAGATGTGTCTCTTGTTTATTGTCAAGACTGAGTCCAAGAGGTAAAAAAAAAAAAAAGAATTGGCAGTACACTGGCTGTCTCTTCCTTAATTCCTTAAAGCTGCCTGCCTCTGCTTGGTTTTATTCTTTCTCTCTGCGGTGGGCAAAATGGAAGTCTGACATTCGCAACTTACCAGCTCAGTAGCCCTGACTAGCAGAGGCCATCGTTCTCCCAGCTCCAAGAGAAAAACTTCAAATTAGGTCACATGTTCATCTCAAAAACAATCACCAAGGCCAGGGAAATAGATGTACTAATTGGCCAGGCTGCAGTCAGGTACTATGTATATGTGTGTGTGTGTGTGTGTGTGTGTGTGTGTTGGGGGGGGGATTGTGTGTGTGTGTGTGTGTGTGTGTGTAGGAGTGATAGGAGGTGAAATTTCACATGAACCTCACTGAATGGGTTCTTCATTAAAAAGAAGGGTTCAATACTAAAAAACGGAAATAACACATGTCTTCTGTATGTGTCTCTCCTCTAGCAAATCATGTCTGGGTCTTTTAAAAAAAATCTTGCCAAGTATGAAGTAGATGCCCAATACATATTTGTCTAGTGAACATAGAGTTATACACAATATTGTATATGCCTTACTGCATAGCAAGGGCCAACTCTGTGTATGTCCTGAGGTGGACATTTTATTGAATTCATGCCCATTATGTTACAACCATTTCCCCTTCCCTCTTTTTCCTTCCTTAACATGCAGAGGCTCGTTTCTTTTTCTGCATGTCTCCATTTTATCAATCTCAAAGTACTACTCGAGTATATTTCCTCCACGAAGCCTTCCCTGAGGATTGTATGATTCATTATTTTCCCCAACTTTGAGGACCTTGTTTTCTGCACCTTGCCCCTTCAGTAGTAAAGTGTTGCTTAGACCATGGCTCTATGTTCAGACTACTCACGTTAAAATCTCCACCACTTCCTTGCTGTGTCACATGAGCTAATTTCTTAATTTCTTTGTCTATAGAAGATGATAATTAAACACAATCTTTAATATACTGTTTGCTACCTAATAATTAAGGTGATAATAACATGACCTACTTCATAAGGTGATAATAACATGACCTACTTCATAAGGAATAAAATAATAAGGTGTCTGTAAAAAGCTTAGCACCATGCCTGGCACATAATAAGTGTTTAATAAATACTATTATTATAACTGATGAAATAAATAGCCGTACTCCTCTAGCAGACACATGTGGTAGCTCCTGTAGATATTGATATGCCTCCTACATTAAGCTCTTTTTTCTGTTTGAGGGCCTTCCTCTATCCAAGCAAATTTACTATGCTGCAAGCAGGCACAGCTGGAAGTGTGGGAAAGTTAACATTTTTGGATTCAGCCCTAAAACCCTGGAGGGTGGAAGTCAGTGGGTAGATGGCCCAGCCTCTCTGCCCTCTGTCCGGGGATTCTTGGGTGTGTTCCATACAGTTTCTCAGAGGATCCCAGCAGGACTGAGCCCCAGTTGCCCACAGTGATAACCTGCTCATTAATGCAAACTTTACTGGCTTGCTCCCTTCTCTGTCTCGCTTACCCCATGTCTTTCTTGTGCTTTCTGAAATCACCTCCTATAAAGGCTCCTTGTGCCTAGGTCTTTGTTTTAAGGTCTGCCTTAGGGAAACCCAAATTAAGATAGCTCAGAGCAGTCTCCATTTTTAAAGTTGTTACTCAGGATATTTTCACTGTGGGCAAGGACCATACCCTTCTTTTGTGGCTCTGTATTGCTTGGCATGTTTTGAGGATCTACATTCAATAACTACTTGCTGAATAACTGATGTTTTGAGGACAGTTTTAGTATTTAGATACCAGAGAAGGAAGTTCTATGATATGTCTGATGAGATTAATTTTCTATTTGCATTCCTGTTAGGTTCAAGTTTGGGACACACATGCATAAAAGCCTGAACTTCCTTTAGAAACTCGAGCCCAGGAATTAAAACTTGTGAAAATGCACCAAAAATTGGGTTTATTTATAAAAATAACTTCACACCTCCCTTCATGGATTCTACTTTGTTGTGGAATCACCCATCTATTGAATGACTAATACTAACACACAGAGATGCCAAAATATAAACTGTAAGCTACAAAGTTGTATATTTTTTTCAGTGATGCAAAAACTTCAAACTGAAACTGAAACAACAGATGTCCTGGTGCAGAGGTGAAAGCAGAAGAAGGGAAGAAAGAAAGGGCCTTTGCTTCCTTGAAACTAAGCAAATGATGAGAGCAAATCAGGAATCTAGTTAAGTGAGGCTTATTTCTTCCGAATATAGTTAGCTAGGCTCCTGTTTGTTTTTATCATTCCCAGGGATGATTTGGTTACTATAGACTATACAAACAATAAAATCATATTTAAAAAAGTAAGACATAGAAAGATATATTAATAATGTGTGAGATTCATATTGAAGATTATATCAGTTAGCTATTGCCATGATAATGCAGTGTAATTAACCACCTCCAAACTCAGTGGTTCAAAACCACCACCATCTATTCTTGCTCTTATGCTTATGGGTTGGTTGAAGTGGCTCTGCTTCATGCATGTCCATTCTAGGACTCAGGATGAAGAGGGATCCCTCCACGTGGAGGAAGCCTTCTCTTGCTGATGGTGGGGGCACAGGATGGCAAGCAGAAACATGCAATGCTTATTAAGGCCTCATGTGGGAAATGACATCCTATCACTTCTGCCCACTTTCTATTAATCAAAACAAGTCACTTACCAAGCCCAAAATCAATGGGGCAGATAAATATACTGTTTTTATGAGATCACGGCAAAGGTGGCTTTGCAAAATACTAGTTGGAGGAAGGGGAGGAAGAATTGTGACCAACAGTTCTGACTCCACCGAGAATAATATTAATTATCATCAACTGCTGTGTAATGTTCACTATATCCCAGCACTTTGGCCTCCTTCCATTCACAAAACGTATTCTCACCATTACATTAATTATTCTCTCTGCTTGAAATTATTTTCCCACATATCTCTTCTGCTATAATGTAAGCTCTGTGAAGGCAGTTGTTCAGGGTTTGTTTTGTTTACTTATAGTGGTTTCTTATCTCTAGTAGGATGCCATCAGCTTCTTAAATACTTGGATTTGTGCATCAAAAAAGCCTCACGATCAAATGTCATTGTAAATTATTAATCCTTTTTGTCTATGTGATAATCCCATTCAAATGTTTCAAACCACAGTGTGCTTAAGTGGTAGGGCAAGGAAATATTGTTTTGGAAAGACAGTAATCTGGGTTAAATTTATCCACCAGAGGCTGTATGTCCTATGGCAATAGATTCATGATTCAACTCTTAACTTTCTCAGGTTTATTGACAACCAGGGGTAGATGTCCCAAAGAAAAGTTTTAGGATCCTGTAATCTAGATGGTTAGTTGTACAAGAATATTCCACAGAGCAAGAAGAATTTCTTATTCTTCTTAGGAAGCTCAGCTTACCCTGGGTCGCTTGAGGACTGACTTAAAAGCTCACATTTAGAAGGGAAATATTTATTAATTGTAGCATGGATTTCCACAGGTAATTTGAATTCAACATATGAAAGTATTTAAGGCTGAACTCTAAGACACTTTCTGTGATTAGAATATATCCTGACATCGTAGAATCTTTCCACCAGAAGATATTATTTTGTTCATTTTTCTGCCTTTAAGCATTCATTCATTCATTTCTTCAGTAAACATTTCTAATTGCCACCAGGTGCCAGGCACTGTGCCAGACCTCAAAACACAAAGACAAATGCTTCAAGAAGCTTATACACTAATGAAAGACTGACACATAAACAGAAGATTACCATGGAGTATGATTTGTGCCAGAATAAAGATGTCTGTATGGTTCAGCTGGACCTTCAGATAAATGCAATTCAACGTTGAACTAAGGATTCAGAGAGATTTTCTAGTAGAGATAAAATCTGAGCCAACTCATGAAGGAAGAATAAGAAATTTGCAGGGCACGAAAGGGGTTGAAGTGAGATGGGAAAGTAGGTAGAAGTTTGTAGACAAAGGGTAGAGTGTGTACATAGTTATAAAAGAGTCTGAAAATGGCAAGTTTGGGGAGGTACAAGTCATTTTGCAAGTTTACCATCTCAGAGAAAGGACGACTGACCCTAATTTTTTTTTAAGTAATAGCTTTATGGAGATAAAATTAACATATCGTCACCCTTTTAAAGTGCACGTTTCAGTAAGCTATCATATATTCATAGTTTCATGTATTCACAGAGTTTTAGTATATTTACAGAGTAACCTACATACTATCTAATTTCAGAACATTTTCATTTCCCCAAAAAGAAGCCTCATACCTATTAGCAGTCGTATCCCATTCATTCATCCCTCAGCCCTGGAAATTCTAATCTACTTTGTTTCTATGTATTTGCATATTCTGAAAATTTTATAGAAACGGACTGGCATATTTTACTTAGCATGATGTTTTGAAGGTTTATCCATGTTGTTGCATGTATCAGTACTTTGTTCCTTTTATATTGCTAAATAATATTCCATTGTATAGCTATATCACCTTTAAAAAATTCATTCATCAATTGGTAGATATTTGAGTTGTTTCCATTTTGAGCTATTATAAATAAAGCTGCTAGGAACATTCACGTACAGATTTTTGTGTGGACATATATTTTCACTTCTCATAGGTGATATACTTAGGAGTGGAATTGCTAGATCATACAGTTTAGTGGTAACATAATCATATGTTTAACATTTGGAGGAACTGCCAAACTGTTTTCCAAAGTGGTTTTACAATTTTACAATCCCACTAGCAATGTAAGAGAAATTCAGTTTTTCCACAGCCTTGTCAATACTTGTTATTGTCTGTGTTTTTTATTTTAACCATCTCACGGAGGCTGAAATAGTGTAGTTTTGATTTGCATTTCCCTAATGAGTAATGATGCTGAGCACCTTTTAATGTGCTTTTTGGCTATTTGTATATCTTCTTGGATGAATGTCTACTCAAGTTCTTTGCCCATTTTAAAACTGGTCATCTTTTTATTGTTAAGTTATAAGAATTCTTCATATATTCTGGATGTAAGTTCCTTTTTGGATTTATTATTTGCATAATTTGTCTTCCATTCTGTAGATGGTTTATTCACTTTCTTGATGAATTACTTTGTAAAAGTTTTTTCATTCCTTAAATTTTTAAAATTTTTATTTTATTTTTTGTAGAGATGAGGGTTTCCTTATGTTGAGCAGGCTGGTCTCGAATTTTTGGCCTCAAGTGATTCTCCCATCTCAGCCTCCCAAAGTGCTGGGGTTACAGGCATGAACTACTGCACCTGGCTGATAGAGTCCTTTAAAATACAAATGTTTTTAAAATTTGTGATGAAATCCAGTTTATCTATTTTTTTGTGGTTGTCTATACCTTTGATACCATTATCTAAGAAATGATTGCCTAGCCCAAGGTCATAAAAATTTACTCCTATATTTTCTTCTAAGTGTTCTGTAGTTTTAGCTCTTACATGGTCTATGTTCCATTATGAGTTAATTTTTGTAAATGGTATGAGGTAGGGCGCCAACTTCATTTTTTTTTTTTTGCATGTGGATATTCAGTTGTCTCAGCACCTTTTGTTGAAAAGACTATTTTTTTCTCCATTAATATGCCTTGTACTCTTATCAAAAATCATTTGATTATAAGTGTAAAGTTTTATTTATGGACTACCAGTTCTTCTCCATTGGTCTATATGTCTATCCTTATGCCAATACTATGCTGTCTTGATTACCTAGATTTTATTTAATGTTAGAGAAATACATTCCACCATCTCTATTAATAAGGTGTTCCAGAGCAAATAGACACAAGGGTAAAAAATATTAATCAGTTCTTTTTTCTTCTGTATGTAGTCCTACTAAAACAACGGAAAATCATTTTCAGAGTCAGTAGAAGGAATCACAGGTTATTGTAGTCTATATCAAAAGGCCTTTTATGCTGATGATCTTTTTTCCTATCCACAAAAAATTTCTTGGAAGTCATATTTTTAGTATCACAATATAAATTCCTGCCTTTAATATATATTTATTGAGGAATTGTTCTTTGTAAGGATAAGTAATTTAATTACTTCAGAAAATAATTACTAAAGTAATTAACCACATCTGTAATTGTATGTATGCATGTATGCAGAGTGTATTTATTTTCCATGCAATTATTTTCTTTACTTTAATTCTGCTACTTATCAGCTGTGGAACCATAGGCAAGTTACTTAATTTGTTTGATCCCTAGTTTCCTAATACTGACAGTAACTACTCTCATTGGGTTCTGATATGATTGGCTGTTTGTCCCCTTCACTTTCATATTGTAATTTGATACCCAATGTGGCAATGTTGGGAGGTGGGCCTGGTGGAAGGTGCTGGGGTTATGGGGGTGGATTCCTTATGAATAGATTACTCATTTTCTCACCCTGGGGAGAGAGGGGATGAGTGAGTTCTCACTCTATTAGTTCCCATGAGAGCTGGTTGTTAAAAAGAGCCTGACCTTCTCCAACTTTTGCATCCTCTGTCACCACGTTACCTCATCATACACAGTGGTCCCCTTCTGCTTTCAACCGTGAGCTGGAGCAGCCTGAAGCCCTTACCAGATGCAAATGTCCAATCTTGCATTTTCTAGCCACTAGAACTGTAAGCCAAATAAACCTCTTTTCTTTATAGACTACTCAGTCTCGGCTATTCTGTTATAGCAACACTAACTGTACTGACAGGTTCTTATAAATTAAATGAGAAATGTAGGTAAAGATCTTAGCAGAGTATCTGATACACAGAAGCACTTAAAAACCTTAAATGATTAGCATTAGTAAGAGAGGTACAATAAATATCTGCTGACAAAATGTGACTTTTATGTGTTAATTTTTAAAGTGAGATATTGCAAATGAGAAAAAATGTAATTTCTAGAACTTCTACAATTTCACTAAACAAAACCAGTTTATTCATTTTTTCTTCTAGCTATAACTTGGTTCTGTACCCACATGAGAAAGCACAAAAATGTTGACAGAAATTCAGTTACCTTAATGTTCTCATCAACTCCAGTTTCAGATTTAGCCATTATTTGATGACTTCTTCTGGGATTTATTTGGTCTTTTTTTTCTATTAGAAAACATGGCTTTCTAAGCAATTTAACAAGGTAATAAAGCCCTGACATACATGAACAACATCAATGGTGGACAAGCTATTTGATAGTATTTGTCTAAATGTGTTGTACTTGAACTTCAAGTTGGATCTATTTAAATACAAGTTTCTAGGGTCACATATTTCCTACTAGCTGTAAGAGTGTTCTGGTCCTTAAAGTAGTTTTCTAATTTGGATATTTTCCAAGGGAATACTGTCATCGACAGTAGCAACATTATCAGTGCTTTGGTTGCCAAAACACTCAATCTCTCTTCTTTTGTTAATGGCACCTTGATTTCCTTTTGGGAAATCACATCTCTTGGAGAGACTGCATTTCTTTTATGGAAGGGTCTATTCGATAGCCAAGGGATGGGCATATGTCCAAACTCAGACCAACAAGGCTCTTTTTCTAGATTTTGAACCCTGAATAGCATGGCTGGTTGAGTTGAATCATGCCTATAACAATGCACGAGTTGAACTACAAATTGAAGCAATTTGTTAGTTTCCACTGTACATGTGCCTTGAGCCGCTTTGTTTCCTGTATGTTTTGGAGGCCAGTTTTCAGCCTTCCCTTTCATTATGTGAATGTCTTCACATGTTTACAATAAATCCCTTCTCTGCTTTTATTACCCCAAGGTAATTTCTGTTACTTGTAACCTTAGGACTCTTGGTGATACAAAACCTATCTCTATCCCTGATAATTCTCAGAATCTTTAAAACAAAAAGGACTAATTGAAATGAGTTTTCCATATGCACGTTTTTGTTGCTTCTTTAATCTCCCAAAAGGCTCACTCCTAAATTCCCTTGAAATTCTTCTCTTCCTTCTAAATTCCAGAATCTCTTAAGTATTCCAGAGCTCTCTTCCAAGGGATTTGATTAAGACCTTGTGTAAGAGGAGATAGTGACATTTGATAATGATAGAGGTAACCATTAAATTCTTCTTTCATTTCCATCCTTCAGTTCTTCAATAAATGTCTATTAAGGACACACCATACCCTGTCCCAGATCCTAGAAACACAAAAACCACTAGGACAGAGTCTTGTTCCTTAAAGAACCTGCAGTCTAGTAAGGGAGATAAGATCACAGAAATAACGGTAATGCCAGAGAGACTGTGCTAAGTGCTATAATTGAGGTATAGGTCAAGTGCAATGGGAACACAAAGGCGAGAGATTAATTCAATGCTGGAAGGATTGGGGAAGATTTCAGGGGAGGAGATAAAACTTCAAGTGGACTAATCCTCCTATAAGTACCCAGTGACCAATTATCTCCAGGAAATGGAGTTTGCAAAATTAATCCTGACCTGTAGAGGATAGTTTAATTTTATCTTAGCATGGTGTATTACAATTTCATTGGGCAATGGACTAAATTGCTTAGGACAAACCTGAGGACATAAGGATGTAAAACCTTGCACGTCTGTGCCTAAGCGTCTGGGACCTATTGTTTGCGTCTTATGGACGTCAGTGGGATTTAGCAGCAACTGACCATGGCCTGGATTGGGGCCAGTGTGTTTCTTAGCAGTCTTTAAATCTGGTTTAAAATTAACTACCTACTTAAACAAGCTGCTTGGGCTTATTTTCTCTAAAAGGAGACAACAGCAAGGACAGAAGCCTGCAGCTTGTTCTCAGCTGCCTCGAAAACAGATACTCATTTTATGTTCTTTTATTTCCACACCATCCCTTCTCCTGCCCACACAGTGCAGCCAACTTTCATCTTTATTTTAGCAGAGAAAGGATGCTCTGAATTAATCTGGGATGGATAATCAGTCTGACAGAGTGAGCTTAAAAAACTTATTATTGCTCATGGCAATACTTGCAGGGGTTTAGTGTGAAATGCTTCTTTCATGCTGATAACCTCTAAGACATTAGGAAGAACTGTTATTTGGAACATAAAATGTCGTGTAGCTAGGTGACAATGCCTTCACTATGGAGCCAGGGAACATACGATTGAAAGAGGGAAAGCCACTTAATTTTTGAAAGTTCCAGTTTTTCAAAGAGGATGGTTTAATTTGATAGAATAATTAGCCAATGCTCCTTTCCATTTGCCTACAAAATTCATATTTTGTTTACATTCGTCTTCTATTGAGCAAGAACAAAGGGAAAGAATGGAAGGCCACTGCTTCTCATAAAAGTTGGGGAGAAAGATATCGTAAGTCATTATTTTATTGAATCCTGCTATGTGAATGAATGCATTAGGGAGCAACCTGGTAGACTTACAGTCCCAGAAGCTCCTTGGGAATGACGTAACCTTCATATAGAAGTAGGTAAATGGAGAGAAAATTTCAATGGGATTTCTAATGCTACTCTCATTTCCCCAACACCAGTGCCCTAAGTTTACAGCTAGGTTCAGTGAAGCCCAGGATGCTCTAAAGATCTTTGTTTATTTGGGAGGAAGTAAATATGGAAAAGGTAGAGGGTCTCTGGATCCTCATTTGTTCCCAGGGCTCACTGGGCAGAGGCCACTTTTGAAGTTTATCTGATAGGGCAGAGATGATTACTTGGGCCCAATGAGTGCAAACATATTGGCTGTTGCGGACTGAATTACATCTCCCAAAAAGCTTTTGTTGAAGTCTAGACCCTCAATACTTAAGAATGTGACCTTATATGGAAGCGAGGTCATTGCAGATGTAACTAGCTTAGATGAGGTTATACTCGAGTAGGGTGGACCTCTAACCTAATGTGACAGATGTAAGAAGACAGTTATGTAAATAGACACACAGGGGGAGTATCACTTGTTAGCCGAGGTAGAGCTTGGAGTGATGGAGTTGCAAGCTAAGGAACATCAGAGATTGCTGGAATCTCTGATTCCACCCAAAACCAGGAAGAAGCAAGGAATGACTCCCCTATAAGTTTTAGAGGGAGCAGAGCCCTGCTGTTACCTTGATTTCAGACTTGTATCTTTCAGAATGATGAGACAATAAATTTCAGTTGTTTTAAACCACCCAGTTTGTGATGCTTTGTTATGGCAGCCCTAGGATACTAATACATTTGCATAAAACTACCCTGGACTGTGTTCTGTTGATACTTGTGACAGTCTTCCAGCATCGCGGTCCACTATGTGCCTGCCTCCTCCTCTTCACCACACCTTAAGCTTTGGGCTCTGTAGGGCTTTCAGCATCTCCTTAATTTCCTGCATGTTTCCCACTTCCATGAATGTTTCCCTGCTGGCACAGCCAGGACCAGAGCCCAGGAGTCAAAACCCACTCAAACTCTACTCATCATTCAAATTCAGCTCAAATGAAAACTCCCCCACAAAGCCTGGGTGAGTGACAATGAGAGAATAGCTGTCTCTTTCAAGGCAATTTGTTTATACTGGCACTCTGCTTTGCCATTTAGCTAGCTGACTACATGTCTAGTTTCTCCCCATAAAACTTATTTCTCTCCATAACTCCTTAAAACTGGAGACAGTTGTGTTCATTTTGTATCTCTGAGGGGCTTGCTTCTCAAAGTATGGTCCTGAGACCAGGAGTGTCAGGTCACAGACCATTAGTGCCCACCGCAGAGCTTCTGAATGAGAATCTGCACTAAACCAAGTTCCTGTGAGATGTGTATGTGCAGGAAAACTTGAGAAGCACCCCTAGAAGACCTTGCAATATAGCTACTATTAATGGAACGCATGCTTCCCATCTGCTACTTTGCTGAGTGTTTTTACTTACATTATTCCAAATTAGTCATCACAGCAATTCTGTTAACAATCCTGAGAGGCTGGTATTATTATTCCTCAATATACAGAAGAGAACCTTCCAGTGAAGATAGATTGGAGACTTTAGGGAGTGCTCCTACATCTCCTTCCACTTGAACACAACTCCCTAGTCAAAGGCTGGGAAGCACCATGGGCCACCCAGGAGCAGTGTCCACCCTGGCTAACACAGCCGGCCATGACTGCCAGGTTAGGTGTGCCCCCTCACCCTACAAAAAAGGCAGAATAGGCTGCGTAATTTGCTGGGCCCAGTGAAAAATAACAATATGGGAGTTCTTTGTTCAAAAAGCAGGAAAAAGAGTTTTTTTTTCCCCTTCCTTTATCTCCTTCCAGTCTCACATCTCCTAGGGTGTTTTTACTTGTTATTTAATATCCTCCCTTGGTCATGGGAATACTCACTGGCCCTCACAGGCATGGGGGTCAGGGTGCAGGGGTGGGGAGCAGCAGCCCAACAACTTTGCTGAAGTGTCCCTTCCCGCTAGCTGCTGGACTATTAGCAATGCACCATGCCAGAGTGGGGAAGTCAAGTTAGGGGTCTTCCCTTCCCACATCCCCTCATCCCTACCACTAACTAATGGTGGATGAGTGACTCCCAAAGATATTGTATCCTTTTCGCCTGAGTGTGTTAGGTACCTAAATTGGGAGCTTCAGATGTACAGGAGCCACTTGTCTTAGGCCCAGGCTGTGCCAAAAAGGGCCTCCTAGTTCATGGCCTTTAGGGACAGTTGGCTTCCAAAATCCAATCCCTTGAGTTTAAATCTTTACTTAATTCTTTTGTTATTACTTAAATCCATTTACTAATATATTCTCTTTTGAATTATCTTTTATATTTTTCCTATCTGTCAAGACATCAACTTCTATGGATTTCAATTACAGTCCAGTTGGAATTTGCATATCTCTTAACTTTTCAGGTTCAACTGTCACATTCTAGGATCATTTAGCTTCTGTGGTATGGAGCACGGGGAAGCCACAGAATCTCTGTGATTTCATTTAGTTCCAACAAACATTTTAGTACACTCAGACCTCCCTGTACCTGGGCTCCACATCTGCAGATTCAACCAACTACAAATTGAAGATATTCAGAAACACCCACCCCAATTTAGAAATAACAGTACCACAATGAAAATAACACAAATAAAAAACCCAATACATTATAACAGCTATTTACATAGCATTTACATTGCATTTACTATTATAAGTAATCTAGAGATGATTTAAAGGTTATGGGAGGATATGTGTAGGCTATATGCAAATGCTACTCCATTTTATGCTAGGGACTTGAGCATTGGAGGATTTTGGTTTCCCCAGGGGTCCCCCATGGATACTGAAGAATGACTGTCTTCCTTCTATGTGTGTGTATAAATGCGGGAAAAAAATCATACACAGACCCTAGAGTCAGGCAAGCTAGTGATCAAACTTTGTATCGCCCACTGTGGGCAAGGGGGTCAGTTTGACTGAGGATAGCTGTAAACAGGAGATTCATGAGTTCTTTAATCCAGCTTTACCTTTAACAACACAGATATTTTGGTTTCTTTTGGGTGTCAATTCTATGGATCACTTATTTCTCAAATTATTGGAGGGAGTATGATTGATACCTCTAGTCATTCAAAGGATGAAGACATCATATATTTCAGCTCTAGAGGAAACAGAATTGCACCAAACTCTGGGCAGACCTCTCTCTGTGGGTGTCTCTGGTCAAAATGGGATGAGGAAGATCGCGTAGTACTCCATCAGTGCTGAGTGGTGCTTATATGTTTGTGGGCAAAGGTGATTTCTTGTTGTGAGAATGAAGTAAAGACAAAACCCTGGCCTTAATTTTCCTATATGTATAAGTAAAAAAAAAATGCATCTTCTTACATACAAACTGGAAGAATAGTAAGTGTGAATAAACCCTGACTCAAACAACACGTTTTAGTGTTAGAAACCTAGTGGTTTTTTTAGGCAACAATGGTAACCGCCCTGGGAGTTGCAGTTTCAGGGTGACATTTGAGTGTCTGTTGCAGCCAGAGATAGGCAACTTTTTGCTAGTTTAAGTCTAGTCTCTTGAGATGCTCCATCAAAAAAGGGTTTCATGGAAAAACAGTAAATCTGGAATTGTTGCATATTGCATGGCCCTCTTGAATATTAACAGTGCAGAGTTACTTATTAAAAGCTTGGACATGACCTCAGAAAAGATACCTGCTTAACTTT
Organism: Homo sapiens; assembly: GCF_000001405.40. Taxonomy (NCBI): domain Eukaryota; kingdom Metazoa; phylum Chordata; class Mammalia; order Primates; family Hominidae; genus Homo; species Homo sapiens. Next base: position 63,528,287 of record NC_000003.12, on the reverse strand, counting down.
GCTTAACTCAGTATTCCCTAAAGTTTATTTGACCCCAAATTGAGGTTGCATAATAGTCATTAACATTCTGTGAAACACATTTTGGTTTAAAATGAGATGTTAATGATGAGGGATGATCAAGAGGGAGACACACTTCATGGATTGCTTTTTGATTCAGAGAAAGAAAGAAAAGAGAGAGGTCATTTATCTCCTGTAGTTATCTTCCAAGTGGGATTTTTCTCAAAATCAGATATGAACATGTGGGAAGGAGGTGAGAGACCAGCAGGAGTTTTGGAACCACTGGGAAGACAGGTTCATTTCTCTATGCATTATTTAATATAATCAAGACCTCCCTAGAATATTCTGTTCCATGCTGTAACTCAAGACAAAGATCTTTGACAAAATTAAGTAGAATGTTAACTCTGATGTACATTGGGAAGATAAAGTGCCACACTACATCACACCAACTTTAAAAAATGAACACTGAAGTTATAAACTTGACACTTGGGGATACAGTATTGAAAAATAGCATAAGGCCACGCAAAGGACATTCATTACCCATCAGGGGGTTGCTGGGCTTAAACAGCAGGGGAAGGGGAAACAAGGAGGCTTATGCATTTGGCTATCAGGGGAAATCTTTTCAAGGATAGTTTTCTCTCTTGAAATAGATGAAGAGGGAAAGCGCCTTTTTGCTTGGCCTGGACTCTTGATAGTTCTAAGGGTAGATTTATTTGGATTTCTGGTGCTGATGGAGGGCAGCCCTCTGTCTGCAGAGGTGCTCAGGATTCTGGCAAAGCAATGTCACCATTTTTCAGGGGTTTTCTCAAGGACAGGCATCCCATTAATGCAAATTAGGGCAGCTACTGATTGCTGCTTGCATATTTATTACGGGAATGACAGGACAGTGCTTTCTGAATTTTTTTTTTAATGGAAAGGAAAGGGAAGACTGTGGTTGGTAATTTGGAAGTAGAGATGTCTCCTAGGATCTCCTCTCCATGAGGACATGGACACTATCATCAGAAATGCCTTTGGGATGATGCCTTGGGAATAAACAGGCAAACAGAAAGTGTTACATAAATTTTCCACTGGAGCCTATACATTCCATTCAGAATGTCCTGTGATCATTTCCCTAAATCAGTTGCTGCTACTATTCCGCCTGGGTTTGTTCTGGCTGTCCCTCAGTCTAGATTGCCTTGTCCACCATTTCTGCCTATTCAAATTGTCCCTGTTCTTCAGAGCTCTACTCAAATTTCTCTTCTTGGAAGGATTTCCTGATTGTCTCTGGGCGAACAAACACTGCTCTTCTCTGGCCTATTTGGAGCTTTATATATTTTGATTTCTACTATCGTGGTGCCCATGGCTGTCTCACCGTGAATGCTTTGAAGATGGGATTGGATTCCAAATCCCACTCACCATCTGAGCTCTGAGCACACAGCTAATGCTCAGTAAGTGCTAGTTGAATCGTACCTCAGCCAGCATCCTGATTTAGACTAGGTAGTATTCCCCTCATTTCCAGGCTTGTTCCTTGGTCTTTGTTTCCAGACCTGCTTCCTAGACTAGTGTTTCCCAAATGTCAGTCATTTACTTATCATTCCCATGAGTGATGTCACATCTATGCACCCCTTAGGCTTCTATTTACTTAGTATTTTTCTGTAAATGGATTTCCCTTTTTCCTTATACTAACTCATTTAAAAAGCAGACTATCTCTACTATAAACAGAAATCTAGTGTCGCTTGCCCTTAATAGATCATAAACATACACCTTAATACAATGAGAATAAAACATTATTAAATTCATTCATTGAACAAATATTTATTGAGCATCCAGTATGAACAAGACACTGGGCTAAGTACTGAGGATATAAGCAATGAATAAGAGGGAAATGATCCCAGTTCTCTTTGGTCTTATGCTGTAAGAGGAAAACAAAGTGAACAGGTGAACAGCTAAACAATAAATGTAAATGATATAATGCACAGAGGTGCAGAGCAAGGGGATGGAGAATACTTAGGCAACTCCAGCAAGCTGCTATTGCTGTCTGGGAAATAATGCGTTCGCTAGTGAAGAACCAAGGAAAGTCTCCTTTGACCTTTACAATGGTTCGGATGTGGTTTGACCCCAGCAAGTCTCATGTGGAAATTTGATCCCCAATGTTGGTAGTGGAGCCTTGTGGGGGCAGATCCTTCAAGAATGGCTGGTGTCATTCTCAATCTTAGTTCCTAAGAGAACTGGCTGTTGAAAAGAGCCTGGCACCTCCCCTCTCTCTGTCTTGCTTTTTCTCTTGCCATGTGCTCTCTAAGCACACTGGCTCCCTTTGCCTTCTACCATGAGTAGAAGCTGCCTGAGGCTCTCACCAGAAGCAGATGGTGATGCCATGCTTCTTGTACAGCCTGCATTTATTTAAATGGCTCATGGTTCTGCAGGCTGTACAAGAAGTGTGGCTTTTCTTTCCTAAGTCACCCAGTCTCAGGTATTACTTTATAGCAACACAAGTGGACTAAGAGAGCCTTCTAATTAGAACTTCCTCCCTGGTTCATGGCCAAACCCTTCCATCAGGCAGGCTTGTCTTCAAGAGATGGTAGAATTCCCAGAGACCTGGAGGATTCAACCATTCTCTCTGGTTCTCTAAACCATGATCCCTCTTGAACTGTGCCTAGCACATCGTAGAAATGCCTTTATGTTTTTATGGAATGAGGAAAATGTCTATTGTTTCTTCCTCCCAGATTGTCTCTGCTTTGGATCTGGCTAACTCTGTGTCCCTGTGACCCTGCTACTCACCTGATCCTACCAGAACAAGCAGGGAAGGGAAATATGGTCAGGGAAGGTGACTTCTCTTGCATCCTTTTTCTAAAGCATTTGTTCTTAGTCAAGGCTGTCCATTAGAAGTTCCTGGGGAGCATTGCAAAAATACTGAAATACCTGGGCCTCAACTGCAGAGATTTGGGGCTTAATTCACCCAAGTAAGTTCTGGGTATCTGTGGTCCAAAAGTTCCACAGCTGATTCTAATGTGAGCCAGGTGCAGAACCACTGTTTGAAGGGAAGCCTTAAAGGAAGTAAGCAGTTTTACAGAAGAAAAAAATCAGGGGTTTCAAGTTTTTAGGATCACATGAAAACTAGTATTTTGATGTGATATACATACATGGATGGGCATGGAATAGAAACATTTTGGAGGTGAAGTAGTCAATTCCTTGCATTGAGAAGGCACTATTTTTGGCCTTTTTTACTTTTGTCGCTCTCCATCATGTATTCCCAGGGTGCATTTAGTGGTGCTATCTGAATCTAGCTATGGTCACATAGACACAGCTCTCAGGTTGGAATCTGGAAGAACTATTAGTTTCTAACTTCAAAGACCCTAAAGTTACCTGTCTTGTCTCCTACGTCAGTGACACATTCAATTAAAGATGAGCTGACTTCTCTCTCTCTCTCTCTCTCTCTCTCTCACACACACACACACACATGCACACACACACACACACACACACACACTTCTATTATGATGCATTTTGAACTCCATACTTGGAATCTGCTGGGAGTAAAAAATAGCATAGCATTGGATATTGATAGTTAAAAGCAGATTTTCTTAAGGAGAAACTTCTTGGGCATTCAGAATGGTGTCTAAAAGCCTTGAACAGGCTGCAAATTGAGGATGACACCCCTCAGTGTTTGAAGATGGCTTTCCCAGACTGCTATTCAGAAGGTGGGCTAGCAAGGCATCAGGGCGAAAGGGTCATGACCATCAGTGAGCCATTGCCCAATCTATGCTCTGAGACATTGGGAGACAAAAACAGAACCCAGAATGCCACGCTTCAAATGTGTGGCCAATTGTTTAAAATATAGGATGATATGGTTTGTGTCACCCCCATCTGCGATCCTGCCAAACTTTCTCCTTCGTAGCCATCCTGAAAGACACTGAACCAGGGGATATGGGTAGCACATGCCCTGCAGACATTCTATCTTCTTAATCTTATTATTTATTTTTACAGAAGTATAGCTTGTCGGAGCTGAAGAGATTGTAGACATCATTGAGTACAGTATTTCTCAAAGTGTAGAATGTGAGATGATTTTTTTCGGTGATATTCTGCTACCTTTTTTGTATGGTTTTTGATTATTATTATTACTATTTGGTTACTTTTTATTGACAGCAAGTAATGCTGGCTTTCTACTTATGACTGATAGGAAGCTTCCTTTAGCATGAATTAACTTAGAAAGTGAGTCATTTTTTTTTTTACAGAAATGAGGTAAATATCAGGAAGGTGATGCATATGTGGATATGGTATTTTGGATGCAGTTATGGAAATTTGGGATGTGGTAGATGATGGATTAATGTGTGGGAAATGCAGTCTACTAAAAATCTTTCACTAGTCCACAGTAGAATGACATACCCTGGGTCCTTCCTCAGTGAGTGGAGGGCAGATTCCTGGTTTATGCCTGTTTATCTGGCTGTTCATCCTAACTGTTGTCACTTTAAAAGGGAAATAAAACACCTAATAGTACATTACAGACTCTGACCTGAAATCATAGTGAGCAGGGGTGATAGATTTTTTTAAATTCTAAGACTCGACATGCAAAACAAACAAACAAACAAAACCCAAAAATCAACCTTAGCAAAGATTTCTTCTTTCTGCCTGGCAGAGACACAGGTAAGATGGCTATTTCTGACATCCCCAAGAAGCATGAGTGGCCCCCATCACAGTGCTCCCTAGGAAGGCTCACATTGAGCATCAGGGAGATCTGCCCTAGTGGGATTGTCAGCGTGCATCTGTCAGGGTTCTGATGGTTACTACCTTTGGTGATTAGGGGCAAAGGGAGAGAATAATTCCTGGGATGAGGTAGGGGGTGGCCAGGGGAGACAGAGAGAGAGCTGATGGGGCTGTGACCACTTTTCAAAGAATGCAGCCAACTGGCGGTGACCCTGCTTGGAGGACCAGGAATAATCCCTTAACATCCCTCAGCAACTGCCAGTGCTACCCTTTAGCCAAAGACAACAGGAAGCCAGACGTAAACTCCTCCCACACCATAGTGCAAGGTGGAAAAGATGGAGAGTGGACTTGGAAGGGCAAAGGGAAGCATCCAGCACCCTTCTCCTTTTCTGTTCCAGTTACTCTGCCCTCAAGCCTCCAGCTCAGTCAGTGAGATGGCATTTTCAGAGGGCAGCACCGCCCCACCGTCACGTGTGCAGGGGTCCCAGGTTACTATGATTCCCCTAATTCCCACTGTTTTCCAACCTCCAAAATATATGCTGAAGGGGTCCACTTCTACTTCTCTGTTACAACCTGACTCCAAACCAAAACTATTCCTTTCTGGACTCACATCAGCCTCCTCATGCTCCCCCATATTCCACTTTCCTCACTGCAGCTAGAATGGTCTTTTAAAACACAAAACAGAGTCTGTCACTTCCCTTCTAGAGCCCTCCAAGAGCATCCTGTGCTCTTAGGGTAAAATCTGAACTCCATTGCATGGCCCACAGACCCTGCATGATCTTCTCTGCCTCCGCTCAGACCTCCCCTGGACCCCTTGCCTCCCTTTCCATGTTTCATCCGCTATGCTCCCTCTGCTGTTTTGTGCTGGGGATGCTTGGTTGACTCTCAGGACTTTGTCACTTACTCCCTTGCCTCCCATTCCACACATCCTCGAGCTTATTTGTCTTCTGTTAAGACAGTCCTTCAGCAGGGCAGGTTAGAATCACCTGGGAAACCTAAACAAAAATAACTGAAGTCTATTGCAACCTTTGGGACTGGAGCCTGGATTTGTTTAAAAGCCAATGTGCATATTTAGTGGAGCACCACAATCTTGAAAGAATGGTGATTAGTAACAATCATTATATGATGTAGTTTCATTGGCTTTGCTTTCAATAATCCCCTTAAGGAAGTTTGGTGAGATGCCTAAATATAAGAGGTCCAAAAGTGTCCAACATCAAGTTACATAATAATGGTGAATACGTAGTAGCAATAATAGTGGTAATAGTTATTGTTGTTCTTTTTCTCACAGACTAAGAAACTGAGGGTCAAAGAGAAGGAAATTCCTTGGATAAAGTGAGACATAGGAAGCAATAAAACTGGAACGATAGAGGATGGTCCTACATTTTCACGTTAGCCCTTTTTTTGAGAGCAATTGATAACAACCGCAGCAAACATTTCTGCTGTGCTCATCTGTGCTCAGCACTTTACAAGCATTATGCTATTTACTTAACTCAGTAAGTCCATGAGTTTATGTACAATTGTTATTCTTAAATTAAATTTGACAACCTTGAAACTCAGAGGTTGAGAAACATGTCCTTTGTCCCTCCAGATCTACTTGCCCCCTTCTCCTCTGCACTGTGCCTGGAGAGGCTGCCTGCTTTGGACTGCCTCAACCTGCTCTTTTGTCCTCTGGTTTCTGGTTGCCTTTGGCCAGTCGGAAGCACTGGCAGGAGGGCTTGGGGTGGTCAAGGAGCTATGGCCAATGCCAGCCCTCAGGCATGCCTCTTGAGGTTTCCCTGCACCCTGCCCACACATTTGCAGAGAATCTCTTTATTACTTATCCTCAAATTGCCCACTTGAATGTGCCAAGTGTTTCCTGCAAGGGCCCTGACTAATACCATTATGAGTTAGGAACTTAGATCCAGATTTGCCTGATCCAATGTGGGTTTCCTGAACCACTTTGCATATTGCCTCCAGAGTATTGGCTGCAGGAGCACTTTGTGAGGGATCCAAGAAAATACTCCAACGTAGTGACTAGGAGCCTGGCCTTGTGGATGTACCCTTCCCTATTGGTGTAATTTGTGCTTCTGTTTTCTTATCTGTAAAATAGAGATAATATTAGCACCAATGTCACTGGATTGCCAAGTACGCTCCCTGACTTAATATTTGTAAAAGTGCTTAGAACAGTGCCTGGTACTCAGCACGCACTCAGTAAATGTTAACAAGCTCTATTATTAACAGCATAGAGTTGGATTCTACAAAGATACTCAGGCAGTTTCCTAGAGATGAGATTTTAAACAGTGGTTCTCAAATTTTTTGATCACTTGCTGAGGTCACTTATTATATTTACCAAGAATCCATCCCAGATTCCAGCTTTATAGGTAAAAAGTGGTTCCAAGAATCTGTATTTTTAAGAACTGGGGACCTCCAAGTGATTCTGAGAGAGGTGGCACCTAAACCCACTGGAAGAAGCATTGTCTTCAAGGGGTCTAGTGCCCTAGAAAGCTGGATTATGGAGAGAGCAGACACAGCAGTAGCTGGGGAAGTTCTGCTGTGTATCACCCTCTTTTCAGGCATAACACTCTACATATCCCTTTCCTTCTAGCACCTCACTTGCTTGTTTCTTTCTCCTTTAACTGAAAATGTTTAGAGATTTCCACACAAATGGACACAAATGTGCAAACATTTGGCCTTACAAAAAACGGGGCCCCAAAGAGGCACAATGGACATCTCTAGTCAAGCTAGACTCTCACTCCCTAGAGCCTGTGAATTTTACATTCATCAGCAAAGTCATGGGCAGGCAGACCCTGCAGGGTAGACAGGGCCAAATCATGGCTTTGCTGTCAGACATGACTTGGATTCAAATTCTGGCCTCACCTCTCACTAGCTGGGTACTCCCTTTCTGCCTGTTAAATTGATGGCGATGGTGAGGATGATCACTCTGATTTTTTTTTTTTTTGAGATGGAGTCTTGCTCTGTCACCCAGGCTGGAGTGCAGTGGCACAATCTCAGCTCACTGCAACCTCCGCCTCCTGGGTTCAAGCGATTCTTCTGCCTCAACCTCCTCAGTAGCTGGGATTACAGGCGCGTGCCATCACGCCTGGCTAATTTTTGTATTTTTAGTAGAGACAGGGTTTCACCACGTTGGTCAGGCTGGTCTCGAACTCCTGACCTCGTGATCCACCCACCTCAGCCTCCCAAAGTGCTGGGATTACAGGCGTGAGCCACCGCACCCGGCCGATTACCCTGATAATGGTGTGTGCTGGTGGAGAAACAGGCTGCTGGGGTATAAGTTATACAGCTGTCCTGGAAGATGGTTAGACAATCAGGACTGAAGCCAACTGGACCCCAGAATTCCTTTCCCAGAATTCCATTTAACTTCCTTCCTGATATATCATTGCAGCATTGTTTATAATGTTAAAATACAAAAGCTACCTATTTGCTAATGAGAGAAGAAAGGGCTTAAAGTATTCATGACTTATGTGTGGGACATGCCGGGTCACATATTAAAATTATGCTGTAAAGAATATTTAATGACCTGGAAAGATGTTTGTAAGATATTCTGTGAAAAAAGCAGGTTAAAATAGAACCTACCATCTGACTCCAAATTTGGAGATTTATATGTTTAGATATATAAATTTGGAGACACATATGTGTTTATATATGTTTCTTACACACACACATATATTGTCTAAAACAATATGTTAGAAGTGGTTATCTCAGGGTGATGTGAATTATGATAATTTATACTTTCTTTTTTGGTTATCAGAGTTTTCCTAATTTTTAAAATAAATCTCATATTTCACTTTTTGTAATAAAGGTGCCATTAAAGAGCATACTTTTTCGGGGGACAAATACAATGCATTCAACTCATTATACATATTAATTGAGCATGTTACTGCTTAGCATCAGGTTTGGGGAATAGATGTAAAATACTGCCCTTGCAATGTGGTTGTACAAACCAAAAACCGCTATGATGCAGTTGGGAAATAATCTGTCAAGTGTGATTCAGTGGCAATGGGAACTCTGCCAACCTTGAGGATGTCAGAGAAGAGGCATCACTGATGCTTGGTTGAGGGTCAAGGAGGGCTTGAAAGTTGGTTATAGATTAGGTGAGCTGAGGCAACAAGGAGCACAGCTATGGGCAAGCTCTGCTCTGCTCACGAAGAAGGGAACTCAGGGAACAAAAGAAGAATTCACATTTACTGAGCACTTAATAAAAGACTTTATCTCTATTAATCCTTTTAACAATCCTATAAGGTCACTATTATTATCATATCCTATTTAGAGATGAAGAGATGAGATTAAGAAAGGATGAATGACTCTTTCATGGTTTCACAATTATATGGTGCCAGAATTAAAGTGAGGATCTGATTTCAGAGCTTAAAAACCTGTGTACTCTATGAAAAAAGAAAACTTGGGCCAATATCCCTGATGAACATCGATGCAAAAATCCTCAACAAATACTAGCAGGCCGAATCCAGCAGCACATCAAAAAACTAATCCACCACGGTCATGTAGGCTTTATTCCTGGGATGCAAGGTTAGTTCAACATATGCAAATCAATAAATGTGATACATCACATAAACAGAACTATAAACAAAAACTGCATGATTATTTCAATAGATGCAGAAAAGGCTTTTGATAAAATTCATCATCCCTTGATGTTAAAAACCCTCAACAAACTAGGTATTGAAGGACGTTTATGTTGGCTCCATATCTTTGCTATTTTGAATAGTGCTGTGATGAACATATGCGTGCATGTGTCTTAATGGTTAGAATAATTTATATTCCTTGGGTATATACTCAGTGATGGGATTTCTGAGCAGGTTGCTTGTCCCCCTGAATTTCACTATCTGATGGTAATAATAATAATAATTCCTTCTCCAGAAGGGTGTTGTGAAGGTGGGCTGAGTCCACATGTAAAGCACTCAGAACTGTGCCAGGTATAAAATCAGCAGTCAGTATGTGTTCTCTGAGTGTTCAGCAATGTTAGGTAACTTGCCCACAGCTGGCAGGTATAGGGCTATAATTGGAATTTAGGTGTGTCAAAAGGAAAATATTAAGCAGTAAAGGTCTAATGCTGGTGGAGGTAGCAATGCACTTGAAGGGAGAAATTACTCTAATTTTGTCTCCCATGCTCACTCAAGCATCATTGAATGGGCAGCCTATTTCCATAGTACCTTCTCTTTCTTGCTTGTTCCAGGCCTGGGACACAGTTAGAGCCCATAAACAAGGTTATGGGTGTGAGGGGTCAAGCATGTCTGTTTCCTTCTCTGGATATTTGCAGTCAAGAATTCAGGACTCTCAAGGCTTGGCGTGGGTAACATAGTCTTTAGAGAGTATTACAGGTGAATAAAACCTATTAAACAAAGGGTGAAGGCATGTCTCCTAACAAGTTTCCATTTAGCCCCCCTCCCCCTCTGCCTCTTCTTCATCTCATAGAGACAAGGGGGATAGACTTGGTGTGAAAGGATGTAGGTGATTGTTTGAGTTACCTCTGATCTGGGACTTTGATTTTGATATTGTGTATGGTCATATAATCTGTAAAATCTCCCAAAATTCTGACACACCCTGGGGCCACTGCTGTACTTGTGAAGTCAGCCTAAGTGGGAGTTGTTTTCATGGTGTTTGTTGCCTTCTTGCCAACCTGCATTATGAAATCATTCCTTCCGTACATGCACGTATTGTTGCCCTTGCCATACTATGCTATAATTTTATTTCCCTATTTGTCTTCCTTTCTACATTATGAATTCTTAGGGACAGAGAATGTATCCAGTAAACAGCAATGATTAGGATTCTGGCTTTGGGGTCAGGTACACTAAACTGGAGCCCTGAGTTGGCTATAGCCTCTCCCTTCTGACCTCATTCAGATAAACGAAGTGTGACCTATAACCTCTATGTTTTTGGGTAGTATTGATCTAGAATAGATGGGTTTCCCTAAAATTGAGAAATGTGGTATGAATGTGCATATTTCTTTGGAGAACGCAAAGCTTTTCTCAGATTCTTAAATGAGCGCAAGGGCAAGAATATGATTCTAAAAGGAGTAAAACATTGTTCCTGTAATTGGTTAAAATTAAGCTTATGAAGTAATTCTGGATTCTGCATGGCACTTTTTATAATAAAAAAGGGATACTATCATTGATGTCTATACTAGAAGTGTCCGTTTTTCTATCTTTTTTGTGCTTTTCAGTACAAATTCACTTAATGATACTGTTCTCTACTTCTTAAAGTATATTTTCCTCCATGATCATCCACTGAGATCAAACTGATGTGCCAAGCACTCTACTAAGCACTGGAAAACACATTAGCTCATTTAGCCGCCACAATGAATCTCAAGCATTAGTATCTCCCCATTATACAGAGAAGGAAACTGAGACAGAGTTAAGATTGGTTCTAAAGCTGCCTGCCTGTGCTTAGAACCCCTATGCTATGTTGTCCTTGTTGTTGCTAGAGTCCTCAGTTTGTGATTTTAAGTGCTTCCGTCCACTGTTTGGTTTACAAAACATCTAGGTCTAGGAATTTCAGAATTCTCCTTAAGAATTCAGCCAATATCACATGGATATAGATCACCCTGAGGCCCACAGGTTATGTTCATTTTGAATCAGAATGTTTACTTCCTGCAAAAGTAGGTATCGTTTTTATAAACAAATGTTGCAAGACAGGTTAAATAACATCACATACAACATTATTCAGAGGCTTCATGAATATATATTACATTTTTAGTTAAAGAGAAAGAATAATAATACATCAAGGATTCTAATGAAAACATGAACCACATGTAAAGCAAGAGAAAAGTTGCTTCCTAACACTTGGATAGGCGAATGCATATCAAACAGATATTTAACAAGAAGAAAAAACTAAAGATGAATAGATGCAGATTCTCCTCTGCTTTTGGAACTCTGCTCTGAAGAGTTGTATATAACTGAGTATTAGAGGGAAAGAAAGACCGTAGTCTTTGGTGTCAAATAGAGAAGTCTTTGGATCTAGGCTCTCCTATGCCTCGGCTACTTGATAGCTTAATTTGATAAACTATAAAATAAAGGTGAGACTTCATTTGTCTTACAAGGTTGTTGAGAGGTTACGATGTCTGCACTGTATAATGGTCAAGGAGCATTAATATTCTTCCTTCCTTTAGAATTTTCCTTGTAATTTTGTATAACACCAGAGTGATTGTTTTCTAGTGGCCAGTTCTTTGAACATGAAGTACTTGATCCTGAAACAACTGATTTCCAAGAGATACAGGACTTTGCTTACAAGAAGCTCCTGAGTATTCTATAGAACCTCTCTAAGAATCCAACTTTGGCATTTCCAAAGTATATCAAACCAGAAAGCCGATTGATCCAGTGTGAGTTGCCCAAGATAAGCAAAGATGGGGCAAGAGACTCCCCAAGATGGAATGTCATTTTCTAACCAAAACCATGATGGGCAGCAGGATAGTGAGCACAATGTTCTGGGTATTTTTCTAAATAGCCAGTGCTAATGGGTTGGATATGCTTATATATGATATCACATATGGATATACTTTGAACCAGTAAAACTAATGAGAAATTTGCCTTGAAAATATAATTTTTTTTGAAAATTATAATGACTGTGCATAAAGAATGTTGACTGTACCATAGTTTATATTAGCCGAATTCATTGTTGGAAATCAATAACCAGTCCCCTTCATCTATAGGGGACTGGTTAAATAAGTTATGCTCTATATGTGTAGGAGGGATCCTCATGATTGTGATAATGTAAAAAAAATAATTTAATGTTATTTAATGCTCAGCAGATTAAGCTACCTTTTTCGTGTGAAAAAACAGTAATATGACTATAGTATATATACACATACAAACAAATTTGGAAGGTAGAAACACACAACATGTCTTTTCATTCAGGTGCCTTCTGAATTATCCAAATTCTCTATAATAATTTTGTGTTGGTTTAGTAATAAAAACAGAGTCATTAAAAAAGATCCAGATCATTTACAATACACATGTCTTAACCTTCCCTGTTCTTTTTTCTCAGGCCAAAACACATGAATATACCCCAATTTCCATTAGCAGGCAACATAGGGAAAAGAACTCTGTGATATTTTGAATTTTCCACTTGAGGAAAGACTGTTTTCTTTATTCATACTGAGCTGACTAGGAGGGAGAAAAAGAATAAGAGAGAAGTAGCTGATTAGGGTGATGTGAGGCTTCAAGATAATAATTATGACAATTCCACTTAGCACCAGGATAGCACCTAGTGTCTTCAAAGTTGTCTCAGATATTATCTAATTAAGCAAAAGGAGGAAGACAATTACAAGAGTGGGAGATTTAATCTGAGAAGCATGAGGGGGACTTTAGATACTGAGGAGGTGAGAACAACAGAGGGGGAGTAGGAAGAGTAGCCACATAGAAATGTAGGGCAAAGTCTGATATATCATAAGCTCGCAGATGTTTTGAAGGCTGAAAGCAAAAAGCATAAATTGAAAAGATGGGGGGGCAGAAATAATAAAACTGACGGAAATGCAGAAAGGGAAGCTGCTGGAATATTTAACAAAACCATATTGTTTCTAGAACCCCACATCATGAATCCGTTGAACATTGCTTTGTAAATATTTCAATGTATTATAATTCCCATGACCCTGGGACTCACATAATTCCAAAAGCCTTAAACATTGAGCCTGCCACTCAGGATTACTGACAACATTTATCTCTGTAACGGAAGGAAAGCATTAAACTTACATCACAAATGTTTTTGTGGGAAACCTTAGAGGACTGCCAAGCTCCTGCCCCATGATCCAAAGTAAATGCGCCGAGAAAACAAGTACCTCAAAGGCTATCAAAAGAGCAAGTCTCAGGCATCCTAAGAGAGGAAGGTTATTCATTAAGAGCTTGGAGAAAAAGCTAAAATACAAAATGCTAATTTCAGAACCTGCAGTTCTTGGTTGATCTGATTCTTGTTAATATTGGTCTGTTTCTTCACTTTATTACTTACTCCAAATGGCCTCATTCTACAATATATATTAGTGATTCTAATTTAATAAGATCAGTCACATGTTCCCTAGTCATATGTTCTTCCTAGGGTAGAAAGAGAGAAGGCCTTGAAGGATGAAGAGACAAGCTGTTTATCTGCCTAGATGACGGGAGAGAAACCCAGGAAAGCAAATGGTGGGAGCCAACTGCTGAAGAGCCAAAAGCCAGAGATGGGATCTATGCTATGATCCAGCAGGGACAACAGGCAGAGATTTCAATGAGTTGTTCCATTTTCCATGATGTTCCATGACTTGCTCTGTCTTCTTCAGCAGGTGTAAAGATGTGCAATGGCACGTTACTCACCCTGAAGACAAGCATCTCAACACCTGCTTTTTTTTCCCAAAAAACATTCAAGCCTACAATGTAAATACAGCTGCCAATGACCAAGTATGAACTGTCTGGCCCAATGGTGACTTGCACATGTAAAAGGCCATATGAGAAAAAGTCTAATGCACCAAACACATTTGTGTGCTTTGATTATACCTACATGCCTTATTGAATTTTTTTAGTGCTTTACTGATCTAAAAGAATCAAAGAATCAGACTCCTAGCTCTCTACTTTGGATATTGCTCACTGCATTTCTAACATTTGACTTGAAGCAGCAGTGGTGGGGGTGGTGAGCATGGGAAGAAGATCGGCTTGTGTCACTGCAGTCAATGCCAGGCAAATTATGGGCACTTCCAGAAGGTTTATGAATTAAATATAAAGGGCTTCATTTTAGCAAGATGCCCTCCTGGGATTTCAAAGGCTCCTCAGTTGTCATAATAGTCTACTTTTTCTTTTCTCTCTCCCTTTCTTTTTCTCCCCTCTTTCCTTCCATCTTCCTCTCCTCATTCCTTCCATCATTTGTACATTCATTTGATTATTTACTCAGTTCTCTTATGCAAAACCACTCAAGTTCTTTGATGCTGTGATCACTGTAGGGGAATATATCTTTTGGGAGGCACAATTCAACCCACTATACCAGTTTTGGCTCTATTCTCCCTCAAATTACCTATGTTGAACAATAAATAATAAAGGTTACAGCATGTGAAGTGATATATTGAAGGACACAGACTTCTCTGTAAGCAAATATTGGAAACAACTTAAACTTCCATCAACAGGGGACTTGGCTAAATACATTTGGTTCATCTATCCTATAATACCATGCAGCTATTAAAAAGGACAAAGTGGGATCTACGTGAATTGATATGTAAATATCTTTAAAATACATTTTAAAGAGGATTAAGCAAGTCACAGAACAAAATATAAGTTACAAATTCATTTTAAAACAAACAAGATGGGAGCAATGGCACATGTCTGTAATCCTAGCTACTCAGGAGGCTGAGGTGGGAGAATCCCTCAGCCTAGTTCAAGACCAGCCTGGGCAACACAGTGAGATTTCACCTCAATAAAACAAACAAACAAAAAAACAGAAACAAATGGACAACAAATTCTCCTTATGTGTAGGAGTGTGGGGGTGGGGGGGAGGGGGGGATATGTGGAGAATTTTTATCTGCCCCCTCATGATCTTTTTCTTTGGTGTATTTCTCCTTTCCCAGGCCAGTTATACGATTCTGGGGAGGAAGACTGGCCCTCAGTCTCTTAATCCCCCTTGCCTGCAGTAAGCAGTATTCAGATCTAGACATTTGTGGTATCCTATTGTGCTAACCATAGGACTAAAATAGAGGCTGGGTTGAAAACTAACCAAGAAGCTTTCCAAGGACTTTTAAAATTTAGATTTTCAAGAGAACAATTCTTTGCCTTTTGAACCCCGTATTAGTTTTCTGTGGCTGCTTGAACAAATTAGCACAAACTTAGTGGCTTAAAAAAGCATACATTTACTATGCTATATTTTCACAGGTCAGAAATAGGACACAGGTGTCAAGCAGGGCTGTGTTTTCTTCTTGAGCCTCTGACGAGAATCCATTTTCTTGCCTTTTGCAGCTTCCAGAGGCCACCCACATTTCATGGCCTCTGGCCCCTTCCTCCAGCTTTGAATTCAGCCACAACCACTTGAATCCTCTCATGTCACATTTCTATGACCTTGTTTCCATCACCACATCTTTCTCTGACTCTAACTCTTCTACTTTCCCTCTTTCACTTTTAAGGACCTTTGTGATTACTTTGAGCTCACCCAGATAATGCAGGATAACAGCTCTATTTAATGGTCAGCTGATTAACAGCCATAATTCCATCTGCAACTTTAATTCTCTTTTGCCATGTCAGGTAACATATTTATAGATTTTAGGGATTAGGATGTGTATTTTTGTTGTTGTTGTTGTCAAGAGGATATTACATATTCTGTTCCAAATCTAGAGTAAACCCAGGGCTGCAAATAGCATAATCCATTGAGAAAGCCCACTGAGGTTGGGAAAATGAGGCAGACACACAGAAAGAGGCAGTGCCAAAAGATAACATGAGACGAGAGAGAGAAACTACCCTGTTGGGACCTGTGTATCCAGCCATTCTTGAAGGTAGTATACCTCACTTCAGAATTATTATGTAAGCAAAGAGATTCTTCCCATTTGTTTATAAAATTTTGAATTGTGTTTATCTCATTTACAATTCAAAGAGTCCTAATTACTCGCTTGT
Organism: Homo sapiens; assembly: GCF_000001405.40. NCBI lineage: Eukaryota > Metazoa > Chordata > Mammalia > Primates > Hominidae > Homo > Homo sapiens. The sequence continues at coordinate 63,512,049 of NC_000003.12, read as the reverse complement.
GTATGTGTGTCTGTGTCAGTAATCAGATATGTTCGTATATGTCTAGAAAAATCTAGAAAGAATAGCAGGAATAAAATTAGGGTGGCTGGTATGGGGTAACTTCATTTTTGAGTAAATACATCTGTATTCTTTGAATATTTTACAATAAGCATATGTTACTTTTATAATCTTTAAAATGAAGAAAAGAGAAGAGACTACAGCATAAAAAGTAAGCTCCTTCAGGGCTCCAAGGTCTAATTAAAGCAGCAGAAACCTCATAAGTTTCTCTTTCTTTTGGTGCTTTTAAGTAGTGCACGAGTCCACTTGAGAGCCAATAATTATAAGTTTCTTCTTAGGCCCTGAAAACATAATTTATCCGTTAAGAAAAGCTACTCAGATGGGGCCATATATGATAAAAGGCCCATGCTCAGAGAGACAAAGAACTTACTGGCTCGCCTTTGTAGGCCTGATATCTTCCGGTCCAGGTCCACATGGCAAGCCTTAAAAGCACAAGCTCGTCCTAGTTCTCTTTCTTGCCTTCTTGGATTATAAATACGTGCATTATAGGGATCCAAGTTAAAAGAAAAGAAGTAGAAACAAATGCCTGTGTTCCCTTTTGCAAAACAAGGACACAAAAGCAGCCTCGACTCCAACTGTATTAAAACATGTGAACAGAATGGTTTGTTAAAATGTCACAATGCAGAGCTCTGAAGAATTCTGCTGGACTTGGCACAGTGGGGCAAACTATGCTGGATATGAACTCCTCCTCTTTCTTACAAGGAATGTTAAACAGAGAAACTACCTACTTGGAGGGAGCATCTCAGGGTCACTTTCTTAGATGAGAACCTCTGAGCACCCCAGCCCGTGAGCAGGAGCATCAGGATTTTCATTCAGGCCTTTCTAGGCCCATGATTCCCAGTACTCAGGGTCCATGATTCCCAATACCCAAAAAGCATAAGTATCACTCAATAACCTTATTAACTACCCAGATTTTTAGGCTTCACCTACCAAAAATTCAGAATCAGGAGGCCTGGGGCTGAGTCCAGCAATTTGCATTTCAACAAGCATCCCACATAATCAGATGCAGGAGACCACATTTGCAGAACAAATGAAACACACACACACAACGTGCGCGCACACACACACACACACACAGTTGTACCTTTTGCCTTTTCATTTACTTAAAGTTTCTCAGGCCCTGAAAAGCAGAAGTCTTGGATACTTACATATTTCCAGTCTCCATTCTTTTCTTGTATCCCAGAGCATAAAGAACTGAGACTGGGAGGTATTTAAATGAGTAACTGTTACTGATCACAGGTTTAAAAAACACACAAAAAACCCCATACTCTATTACAAGGAGAGTAAACAAAATTCACACGCCTTGAGAGAGAGGTAATCAATTTTTTAATATGTTAAACTCACCAGGGTATAAATAATTATTCAAATCTCCGGGAAAGTAAGAATCTAACTTTATTGATTTAACCTTTATGGCCTCATGTCAAAAAATTGCAGTGGGTTGCATGATTTAGGAACCCTCTCTTTTCTACTGAGATGTCCTTGTTCCCACAACTGGCACGTTCATATTTCTGCTTTATTTATGTGAAGGACTGTTGGTTCAGAATGCTGTCACCTCCTTTAAACCACACATTGAAAATGGCAGTCAAGTTCAGTCATCTATGGCTCAGCTGGACTTGAGCCTGTTAAGTATCAAACAAGTAAAAACACAGCATTGTTTTAAATTTTCCATTGTTCTCTCCATTCAAAACCATCTGTTGAAACTAAAGGGTGGAAAGAATCATTATACAGTGATAGGGTGACCTGGGTTTGAATGTTCTGCTTCTTTTAACAACCTTACCTTGTGAATATCTGCTTTGCTAGTTGGAAGGCTCCCAGCTCAGCCACTCTATCACATAATCCTTTCAAATTAAGGTAATTTTTGTTCCCCCCTTATTTATTTTTGTTCCTTGCCTTCTACTGCCACATACTCACCATCAACCCCACTCTTAAATATAAGCCTCCAAATAGTACCGCTGTGTCTATAATGGCTAGAATGATATTTTCTGGTTAGTAGTCATGAGAAAGGAAGGAGGAAGAAAGGAAAAAAAGGAAGCAAAGAAGAAAGAAAGGAGGGGAAGGAGAGAAGAAAGAATTCTATCTCGCATACTAGTAATAATTAAATGAGATAGTCCATGTGAAAACTGCGTTATAATGTATGTCATTTTAAAAATGCTTAATTTTAACAAAAAACTTTCTAGAAAAGATGATTTCAAGATACCATGCTAAGTTTTTTGCTTCAGATTATGCTGTACAGTTTTCAAAATATAATAACCTTTATTGTCTGTCAAAAATAATTATCTTTCTGGGGACTATCAATTTAGTTGGAACTTAATTAGTATTAGTTTTTATTAGCATTTCTGAATGAACTGACAATTTTTCTTTAGTATAACTAAAGACGTTGAGGTTCTTCTGAGGTGTATTCTATTTTTAACTCCCCAGAGGAAAATAGCCTTAGTTAGCAACTCCAAATCAATGTGTGTACGCTGTATATCTTTATGGGCAAAAGCAAGGAATGTGCAAAGAAACTGGTAAAAAGAACAAGAAAAGGGCAGCCACACTTATTTTAAGAGATATTAGAACTTCCTTAGAAAAGATTTATTTTTAGATATGAGATGTTTTTCAGGCTATAAGAATATGTATATTCTTTTAGTTATATACATGTGTGTATATATATAAGAATATGTATATTCTTTCAGTTATATATATGTGTGTGTATATATATATACACACACATATATATAACTTTCAGCCTTAATTGTGTGTGTATGTGTGTGTATATAGATATACCCATACATATGTATATACACATACATATATATATAACTTTCAGCCTTAATTGTGTGTGTCTGTGTGTGTATATAGATATACCCATACATATATGTGTGTGTGTGTGTATATATATATATATATGCTGAAAGGTACATGAGTATTAAGGAAATACAGCTGATCTTGGAAGAACTGGGACTTTAAACTAGGACCACATAGCCAGAAGTTTTATGTTCTTTCCATTTACTTTCCTATTTGTTAAAAGTCTATAAAGTTATGAAGCAAATTGACAGGGTAAACATGGACTTTGTCTAGGAAGTCACAGAAGACTAGAGACAAGGTTCTTTTGAAATTCCAAAAACTTAGTGAATGAATATTTTTCTTCCTGCCTAGTACCTTCTTTTCTTCTGGGAATAGCTTTCCCTTTCTAAGGGATGAAGAGGGTGGGTGGGATTGTTTCTGCAACTGGTAGCTGCCATCCTTTAATTTGTACTTTTTTGATTAGTGGTTCAGGTTGGACCAATCAGAATGGTTATGTTCCACCCTTCAGGCCATGTGATTGGTCACAAAGAGGTAACATGACCCTAACCAGGCCAGTCATATTACTTTCCTGGGATTCGTCTAACTGAAGCCAGGAGGAAGTCACTTTCTGCTCTGATGGTTGAGTTAGGGAGTTTTGTCTTTCCACATTGGTCTTTGCTCCAATGTCAGCTTCTCAATGACATCACATTATTTGAGGTTGCAATTCCACCCCCAGCATATCTGAGTCACTTTACATCACCAGAGTCACCTTACATCACCTGAGTCACCTGACATCTGAGTCAGCTCTGTTTTTACTCCCCTGGCACTTATCACTTCTTACTATAATTTACTTATTTACTATAGCCACTGTTTATGTCAATCACTTCCTCTTGAGAATGAGAGCTCCAGAAAGTTAGGAATTATTGTCAGTTTTGTGCATAGAGCAATACCTGGAATATATAAATTCTTGTAGGTGAATGAATGAAGGAAGGAAGGGTGAGTCTACAGCAAGAAAGAACAAAATCCTCACAGAAGGAAGCAGAAATAGAAGATGTATAGAGTTGATAGTGGTGGAGCTATGCTATTCGAAAGAGTAGCCACTAGCCACATGTGGCTATTGAGAATTTGAAAAGTCTGAATTGAATCTGGATTTTGAAGACAGTACAAAAGAATGTTGACGATATCATTAACATTTTTATATTGATTACAATGTTAACATCTTAATACTTTGGATATATCAGGTTAAACAAAATATATTACTAAAACTAATTTTGCCATTTTCATTTCCTGTAAGTTAGCTACTAGATAACTTAAAATTATACCTGTGACTTATATCCATGGCTTGTACTATGTTTCTATAGGTCAGTGTTGTGTTGGAGTTCCTGAATCCCATCATTTTTTTTCTTTTCTTTGTTTTTCTGCTATCATTTTTTAACTTTTTATTTTGAACTAATGTTAAACAAAATTTTGCAAAAATCACGGAGGTGATATATACTCTTCCTCTAGTTTCCCCTGATTAAATGTCCCACAATATTTTTAACTGAACTACAGACTTTATTCAAGTTTCGCTGCATTTCCTAATAATGTCCTTTCTCCATTCCAGAATCTGATCCAGGATCCTACACCGCTTTTATAAAATAATATGTAGTTGCATAGTTGTTGTGTTTCCTTAGTTTCCATCAATCTGTGACAGTCCCTAATTTCCCCCAGTCTTTTATGACTGTGGCACTTCTGATAAACACTTCACAGAATGTTACTTACACGTTACTTCTCGGAACATATGAGTACTTCACAGATTGTCTGTTACTTCACAGAATATCTCTCAATATGATTTGTCTGATTTTTTTTCCCATTATTAGATTGAGGTTATGCACTTGTGACAAAAAGACTACAGAAGCAATTTTGTGACCTCAGTGCATCATACCAATTACATATTATTTTTCCTTTTGTAATTTATAAACATTTGGGGCAGATATGGTTAAAATATCCAGTTTCTCCTTAAACTTTTTATGCACCGCTTAGAGCATCTGTTGGTAAAGAGCCCAATTTCTTTTTCTTTTCTTTTTTTTTTTTATTTTTTGAGACAGAGTCTCGCTCTGTCACCCAGGCTGGAGTGCCATGGTGCGATGTCGGCTGACTGCAATCTCCGCCTCCCAGGTTCAAGTGATTCTCCCACCTCGGCCATCATTTCTGAGGCTAGTTCTTCATAGGGCTGAGTAGCAGTGGGTCTGTCTATTCATTCCTTTTGCACTGTGGTGTTTTATATCCTGTCTTCTTCATCATTTATGCTACTTGCATGGCACTATTGGTGTTTGAGTCTGCAGTCTATTTGGTATCAACTCATCACATATAAAGCCAAGGTTCTCATAGCCCAGTGCTCAGGGGCCGTCATATGTTTCAGAGGCAGCATGGAGGTTTTTAACTTTTAATTTAAAATGATCCTTTTAAGATTATACCTCCTCTTTTGCAGTTAAAATGAGAAAATTTGTTAATGTCTAACTCCGCATTTCCCAAAGTATGCCATATGAAAAACTAATTGTGTGACGTTAAAAGATCTTAACACTTTAAGAAAAGTTTCTATGATCAAATGAGTTTGGGAAATGCCAGATGAACAAAAATAAACAGATTTTTCTACTGTAGGACTTCTCAGAGCATTTACAATTTCAACGTACATCATAAAGGGGGCCAGTAAATGGTGTTTCTCAACAGCATTTAAATCCTTTCTTTGAAGAGCATTTCACAGGATTAATAGTTCTGAAAAATCACTTTGGGGATCACTGGCCTAACTCATTCACCTGGAGGAGACAAAATAAGCTTTCTCAAAATAAATGAGAAAATCCATTAGGAAAATTTTGTGGCATACAATTAATAACTATTAGCTTTTTGGGTATCATTAACTGAGAAGTAGAAAGTGCAGATTTGGAAAGAAGCATATGTACTCCATCAGTCACCTTAGGCCTTTCCCACTGTCCAATCATGGCATTGGGGCCCATGTTCAATCAATGGTTCATATTGCAAATTTGCTCTGTAAGGCTAAGTCAGGAGAAGGAAAGAAAGGAAAGAAGAAGAGAGCGGAGGAAAAGGGAAGAGAGGAAGGGAGAGAGAGAAGGAAAAAAGCAAGGAGAAAAGGAAGGAAGGAAGGAAGGGAGGAGCATCTAAGTTTGAGTGACAACAAAGTGTGGAGGAGTAATCTAGGTGCTGCCTTAATACTCAGAAAAAAATGAAATAAGTCCAGAACAACAGACAGAGCTATTTATCGGCGGGTAGAGGTTTCAGCCCAATGAGGAAATCTTAGAGGACATAAAAATACAAAAATCAATAAAAGGGTTGGCAAAGAAGGCCCTTCATAAGGCATTAATGTCATTGATTGAACTCATCTAGCTGTTAGAATATTGTTGACTAAACCATGCAGCCAATTGGAATGAAAATCACAGCCAGTTCCAATGGAATAATTTGCATAAAGATGTTAGCTGTTGATAACCAATAAAACCCTGCTTTCTTAGGGTGAAAGGAATAAAATATTTATCTTGTATATAAACACATTGCAATGTAAGCATGCTGTTGCAGGAATGGTCTTCACTTTATCAATTAACTTTTTAATACATATAAACTATTTACTGTAGACAACCTTCAAGCTGCAAAAGCAGACCCACAAATAACCCATACATTCAAATAATTAGTTCTACTCTGTTCCCTACCCTCCACTTGGCTCCAAAAAGCATTCCTTCTTTGATGGGACCATTTTCATGGCCAGAATGAGGGCTTGTCTGACTCAAGCTTCTCCCGTAAGATATTTTTACTTCTCACCAGTATTGTTGTGTGGAAGTGTGAAAAGTAGGGGAAATAACTAGTGTTTTGGAGCCAGGTATTTGAGGCATTTAAAACCTCATTCCAAAATTTACTAGCCCTGTGGCCTTCGGTAAGGTGTTAAGTTGAGGTCTTTTCACATAAAATTGTCGATATTCACCTGGTTTTGATCTATAAATGTGTCAATTTCATATGCTTCAACCTAACATTTAACCTTCTGGGCCTTGGTTTTGTCATTTATAAGTGAGACTTTCATTGTGAAAATTACATGTGTCTAAAGCGCTTGGCACAGTGCTGGCCCAGTGTGGGAGCTCAGTAAATGAGAGCTGTTAACACTGATCACTGACAGTATGCTCCATACATTCTCTTTTCTTCCTTCTGTTTCCAGTTCACTTACCATCTTTCACTCACAGACACACTCTTGATTCACCTCCCTTTTCTGACTTTCACCTCTTTCTCAGTCATCTCAGAAATCTCTCTACTCTGATTTGCTCTCTTTTTATCACTTCCCCTACATCCCTCTGTCCACGTGAGTCACACAGGACCCTACCGTGGCTAATGCATTTAAGGGTAATAAGTCTGACATTTGGAAATTCTACTAGATGCTATACAGAATCTTTGCCATTAACCTCGATAGTCTTTGAAAGTTCCCAAACCAACTTTCAGAATGGCCACAGAAGTCTCTCCCATTTTCTCTTCATTTGCTAATTAAAAACTGCCTTTTTTCAAGCATAGATCAAGACATATTTTAAAATAATATTTAATTTTGTGGCAATCTCTTTTCATTAATTATGTTGCATCTGGGTTGTTCAGTGTAAATGCATAGCATTTTAGCAATATACGGAGGTTTGGTGGGCTAGCCTTGGAACGTAATACACATTGCACTCGAAGGGGCAATGACTGACTTGTAGATAAACTTTGGAAAAGCAAATGGTTTGTAAATTTGGAGGAGGGTGGATTGTTACAAACCTGCAGAGTGAAGAAGGAAGATGGAGGTGAGTAGATTACAGAAAGAACATTTTATTTCTTCTATTCTGTGAATCACCAGTTCTAAGCTAAAGCAAGTTGGTACTTAATATCTCTTTATAAAAAATTATTTTGCGAGCTTCAGACAGTTGTTGAGATTTTCTTTGCAAGATCTTCATGAAGTAAAGCAGTTCGTGTTGACTCTTAGCTTACCAGGGCTCCTAATTTTATAATATTCCCAAAAGTCTGAACAGTCAGACCTACATGTGGATGCATAGATGTATATGATAATTTAAAACATTATCAGCATATTCTTTGGTAAAATATTTTAATTTCAACAATTAATATAAAATAACTCATTAAAAGGTTATCCTGTTATATATAGTACTTGCTAAAGATTTGGAAATGTGCGTATGAAAATAACGTAAGGTTTTCAATAAAAATCCACTAGATTCACAAATTAATATGGAATACTAAGTAGGAAATGGTAATCTTCTATAATCTGTTAATGCTGGGTATAAATGGCATTACTAAAGGCAATATCCTATTCATATAAATTAATTAAAATATTATTGATATCTAAATAATTCATTTTTTTCAGACTCATCACCTTAGCCACTGACTGTCCTTTAAGATTATACATATAATTCTAACATTATTTGTTGTGTATTTGGTATTTTGTTAGTTTGTTAGTTTTAGGAGGTACTGTTACTCTTCTATACTTTTTAATCCAGTAGAAACAACCCTTAAATGTTTTGTTAGAAAAAAATACATTTTAAATAAAATGAGATGTAAACAAATGACAAAACTGGAATAGATGACTAAACCCTACCTCCTTAAAACTGTGACTTTCTACAAAACAATAATTGGAGAAAATAGCTTTAACAAACAAAAAACAGTAAAAAAGAGTTGAGATTAAAAGTCTGAGAAGAATTTTGCTACTGTTTTCTGTTCAAAAAGGCCATTTTGATATTGTACAATTATAAGACGTGCCACAATATTTTGCCAGCACTTGAACTCTTCAATGGCCTAGATTATAAAGAGAATGAAGAAGACAAGCCATAGACTTGGAGAAAATATTTGCAAAAGATACATTTCATAAAGGACTGTTATCCAGGATACACAAAAAACTTCTAAACCTCAACAATAAGGAAACATTCTGATTAAAAAATGGGCCAAAGACCTTAACAGACACCTCACCAAAGAAGATATGCAGAGGGCAAATAAATATATGAAAAGATGTTCCACATCACGTGTCATCAGAAAAAAAATACAAATTAAAAGAATGAGATACAATTACATACCTCTTAATATTATAATGGCAAAAATCCAGAACACTGATAGCACCAAATGTTTATTTCTGGTGGGAATGCAAAATGGCTCAGCTACTTTGGAAAGCAATTTGGTGATTTCTTACACAAACTAAACATACTCTTACCATGTGACCCAGTAATTCCATTCCTTAGTATCTACCCAAAGGAATTAAAACCTTATGTCCACATGAAAATCTGCATAGAGATGTTTATAGTAGCTTCATTCATAATCCTAGAGACTCGGAAGCAACTTAGATGTCCTTTTGTAGGTGAAGGGATAAACTGCAGTACATGCAATGGAATATTATTAAGTGCTAAAAAGAAAGGAGCTACATCCAATGGAATATTATTAAGTGCTAAAAAGAAAGGAGCTACATCCAATGGAATATTATTAAGTGCTAAAAAGAAAGGAGCTACCAAGCTAAGAAAAGACATGGAGAAAACTTAAATGCATATTACTAAGTGAAATAAGCCAATCTGAAAGAGCTACATACTGTATGACTTCAACTATATGCCATTCTGGAAAAAGCAAAACTATGGAGACAGAAAAAGCATCAATGGTTGTCAGAGGTTGGAGGTGGTGAGGGTGGTGAATAAGCAGATCACAGTGGATTTTCAGAGCAGTGAAAATACTCCATATAGTACTATAGTGGTGATTATATGTCATTGTACATTTACTCAAACCCGTAGAACATACAACAACAAGAGTGAACCCTGAGGTAAACTGTGGACTTTGGATGATAATGATGTGTCAGTGTAGGTTCATCAGTTTTAACAAATGCACTACTCTGGTGGGGGATATTGATAAAGGGGGAAGGTATGCATGTGGCGGGGAAGGGGGATTATGAGAAATCTCTGTACTTTCCTCTCCATTTTGCTGTGAGCCTAAAATTCCTCTAAAAAATGAAGTCTAAAAAAGTCCTAGATCAGCACTGCCCAACAGAACTAGAATGCAAGCCACTAATGGGAACTATATGTGCAATTTTAAATTTTCTGGTAGCTACATTAAAAAAATAAAAAGAAACAGGTGAAATAAATTTTGATAACATGTCTATATAAACCAATATATCGAAAATATCACTTGCATCTATGTGTAATCAATATAAATAATTATTAATGAGACTTAAATATTATTTTCTTCATACTAAGTCTTTGAAATGTAATGTGTATTTTACACTTACAGCATACCTCCATTCAGACCAGCCACGTTTCAAGTGCATGTAGCTAGTGTATAATAGCACAGGTCTAGCTCTTTATCAATAAGAAGTTTTACTTGTTCAAATCAAACCATAGGCTAATCTCTCCTGTTCATCATGTAGTATCTTTTAGGTATCTATTACTTTCTAACATTGTGTTAAATTCTTAGAGTATTTCAAAAAATAGATAACAATGTAGTCAATTATGATTAGATACAGAATTTTCTACAACTCAAAATTCTTAAAGTCATCATATCCTACTTTATCCAAGTAAGACTTACAATAGTAGACACGGAGATAACAAAAGCTGATGATGATAGCAAAGGCTCATCATATTTATTAAGCACTTATCATGTGCCAGACCGTGTTTACATGTGATTACTTTCATTTTCTTTTCTTTTCTATTCTATTATTTTTTCTTTTTCTTTTCTTTTTTTTTTTTTTTTTTTTGGTTGGGGGAGGGTGGGGGACAGAGTAGCTCTTTGTCACCTAGGCTGGAGAGCACTAACAGAAACTCAGCTTACTGCAGCATTAACCTCCCAGGTGCAAGTGATCCTCCCATCTCAGCCCAGCAAGTAGCTGGGACTACAGGGGCATGCCACCATTCTCAGATAATTCTTGTATTTTTTGTAAAGACGAGGTTTCACCATGTTGCCCAGGCAGGTCTCCAACTTCTGAGATCAAGCAATCTGCCCACCTCAACCTCCAAAAGTGCTGAGATTACAGGCGTGAGCCACCACTCCCAGCCTCATTTAATTTTCATAATAACCCTATGAGGTGAGTATAATGACATTTAGAATTCTAGACCCCTAATACTGGTATGTCACCAGTGCGAATAATAATGCTCATCACTCTTGCAATAATAATGGCTATTTTTTTTTACAATTTGCCATGGGCCAGGCACTGTATTAAGCAATTAACTATCATTATTTCATTCAATGTCACAGAAAACTTGCAAAATAGGGATTATTAGTTTCATTTTCCAAATTAGAAAATAGGTTCAGAGAGATTAATAACTTGTACAAAGACTCAGCCCATAAATAGCACTAAATCCTTGTCTATACCACACTATGTACTATAATGTATAGTTTATTTTATAATTGTTAACTCATTTGAATGAGTTCTCTGGGGACTTTTTAATATATTTGGGAAGATGAGGCTTGCTTGCTAGAAATAATTGGAAATACCACAAAAGCAGTGAATGAGCAGTGATCAAATTGTGTGAGTGAAAACAAGTTTTGAGAAGATAAGAGCTGGAACATCCTGGGAACATAGCTTAGAGGAGAAACCATTCTTTTTGGTTTTAAAATGCCAGCATTTTCCCAAGGGACACTCATTTTAGGAAGCCACTGTATGATCATTACAGTCCACATCTACATCCATAATAAGCACTGTCATATATTCAGTACTTTTTCTTTTTTCAACCATTTTGACACACTTTGGTTTGTTTGATCTGTAATCACCTTGTAAGGTGGGCAGGGCTGATATTGTACTCATTTTATTGCGGAGATAAAAACAGACTGACTCACCCAGAATCCCACAATTGCTCGGTGAGGGAGGCAAGTCCAAAGTCAGATCTCGTAACCCTGGATTCAGCTCTTTTTTCTCTAGGACAGTGTTTCCAAGAATCTAGTACATGTAGCCTTGATGATTGAGATGACTGCGGAGGCATAGAGGACTGCTCTTTATTTTCACATTGTTTCAAGGGTATTATCGTTTAGGATGGGGTAAAGTGTGCATTTCAATTACAAAAGTGAGTTTTTACTCAAACGAAAATATTAAGTAAATAGTCCAGGTGGTATGCAGGTATGGGTAAAAACCATGCTCCAAACTGGGAAACCCTTGTCTTATTTAATACCATCTATTTCCTGCTAGAAATTGTCACACTTTCTATTACTTAATGCAGATTCCAGTGAGCAAGTTGCATATTTTTTGTTTAATTTTAAAAAAATTTAATCCCAATGGCAAATAAATAGTGTTTTAACACCTTTAGCCTTCCATTTTGACTTTACAAAACAGTTTTTGTGTGTGTGTGTGTGATTATCTTTTCTTCTTCACTGAACTGTGAATTCCTTGAGGACAATGAATTTGTCATACTAATCTTGGTGGTCCTCAGTGTGCCTGTGTATTTATTTCAAATAGGTTAGTGTATTAGAAAGAAACAGAGACCCATTTAGGTTACATCAAGAAATGAGGGTATTTTTGGAAGGATACATATGAACGGAGCTAGAAAGTAAGAAATACAGAGGCAGCTCTAGGATTAACTCACCTCCCGTCTCTGTCACAGGACATGCATCCTGCTGGTTTCTCAAGGTGTCTTTGTTCCTCTGATACTTTCCTTCACCTCTGAAGGAAGTGGCCTCCTTCTTGATTCAGAGTTTTCTGCTTCCTTATAATTTTGGCTTATATAGAGTTCTTCATTGCCTCTTTGGTCTTGACTGTACCTCATCAATGATGTGAAACTCTATCCCTCCTTTGTTCCTACTCTCTCTAGCTTCTTGGTGCAAATTCCCCAAATAAGAAATCGAGTTGGTCTGGTGCAGCTTTCTACAACAGGTCATTTCCTCATTTATTAAGAAAAAAACTATTGCATCTAATAAATATCACAGATTTACATGTCCAAAATAGAACAACCAACTGATATCCCACCAACCTCCCACCATCATCCTTCCAGTTCTTGGACCCCAAAACTTCATTCCTTCTTTGCCTAACCTTCTCGCCCATATATGCTTTCTATTAGCCAGTTCTATGGATTATACCTTTACATATATCCTAAATTATTCCAGTTTTCTCTCTCTGAACCACTAAAACCTGAATTAAGCCACCATCAACTGTTGCCTAGATTATCTGTAACCACCATTTAACTGGTCTCCTCACTGCACCAGAAAAAATTTTTTTTCACATAGCAGCTAAAATAATTATTAAAATATGTAAATCAGATCATGGCACTTGTGTAGTTTTTTTTTTTTAATTTTTTATTCTTTTTTTTTTTTTTTAGAGGTGAGGTCCCACTATGTTGCCCGGGCTGGTCTTGAACTGCTGGGCACAAGCGATCCTCCTGCTTCAGCCTCCCAAAGTGCTCAGATTACAGGTGTGAGCCACCATGGCTGGCCTACTTCTGTAGTTGTAAGTAAAAGATGCCCCTTTCATCTAGAAAAAAATTCACACGCCTTATCGGGCCCACGAGGCCATGTCTGATACTGGCTCCTCCCCGCCTCACTGCATCACACTCTGCACTTACGCACTGTGGTCTCGCCACACTAGTCTTCCTTCTATTCCTTTACCACACCAGGCCTCTTCCCGCCTTTGCTCCTGCTGTTCCATCTGTAAGAATCTCTTCTCCAGATCTTTGCAATCGTTCATCTTTCTTGCTATTCAGGTCTCTGCTCAATGTCTCCTCATAAAAGGGATCTCTTTGCCAACGTTTCCCCAATTATTCATCACATCACTCTGTTTAATTTTTGTCATGGTACCTATTTTAATCTGACACAGTCTTGGTCTCTTGCTCGTTTGCTTGTTTATTTTCTCCCTTCCTTCCTCCCACTACAACATGAAGCTCCATGAGAAGGCCCCAATCAATCTTGCTCTCCACTGGATTCCCGGCACCAAGAACAGCTCCTGGCACAGTGCAGGCATTCAAAAAATGTGCTCTATGAATGAACGAGTCTTTTTGCCAGGAACCATTTATAAATTATTGACTGGCTGATAAATTAGTGCCCACCTCCCATCCAATTAGCTAAGATGGTGGTGCCCTTAGATCGCAAACATAGCTAAAGATGGACTAGTTCTGTTGCTGAGGGCAAGCACCCTATCCTCATCTGGTTACACACTTGACACAGATGGACTGACCAAATGAGTGAATGAACGAGGGCTCAAAAGTTCAACACGTCTCTGAGTATTTCTGCTGATGTACAGTGAGACTTTGAAAGAAGAGCTGAGTGTACTTTTTTTTCTTACTCCCTGTATTTCTCTTCTAAAAAGCATTATAAAAAGCACCAGAGACACACTGTTTATCTGGCTAGCAGCATTTGGTTGAAAATTGAAGTGATTTTTAAAACTACAGAAACACATAGTCATCTGGCACCAGTGATGAGCCTGAGTTAGGGAGGAATTCACATTACATTTTCATTTAGTCTTGCACAACATAAGGAATTTACATTCATTTTCTTCTGTGCCACTGTTTGTTCCCATACGGAATATTTATGCTTTACTTTTTAAAAATCTGTATAAAGGAAACACTAAGCTTTATCAGTCTTTAAAGAATATTCACTCTGCAGAGCGACTGAATTCCATCTCTAAAGACCATGGTAATCAGAGTAGTAATTTCAGATTTGGAAATGGCAAAGTTTGTGTCAAAGATGGTGGTTCACACTGACAAGAAAAAAAAAAAAACAGCAACACCCCACAACATATATAATGGCATATTATCCATGGCATTTACTCTCTCTTGACAATTGTGATGACTTAGAAGAATATTGAAGGAACAAGTCCCTTCTCATTTTAGCAAGACATAAACTAAATCTAGAGATAAATAAGAATAAATTGTTTAAAATTAAACCTGAAGACAAACTCTTTCACCATACGTTGTATCTGTGAGGAAACAGGGACTAGAAAATGAGTTTTCTTTGTAAGTACTATGAAACAAACTCTTCTCAATGCCAACATTTAATGAGGGTTGTTAAGATGAGCACCATGATGTAAATTAATTCAATATACAAATTTTCAAAATGTTCGCTCACACTGTGTAAATATTAATTTGTTAATTTGGGTGATTTGTCATAGACTTCTTTGTCATTAGTAAAGATTAAGAGACCTTAATTCTAATTATCTGCAGTGTGACTCTGTGTGATGGTCATATTGGGTAAGGATTTCAGGAATATTTATGCAAACTCCTGTACAACCGAGGACTTGCAGTGGGTGATGGATGAGCCATGGAATTTCTCTGTGCCTTAACTTGATCAATATCAAGCTATTCTTAAAAAGGATGAAGCTCCATAAAAAAAGAGCCCATTCCCTTTTCATTTTTAAATTCCCTTCATTGCCAAGCATAGTGCCTGGTACCATACTGAAAGTGAGTTGCATCAGTTAGTAAATCAAAGGTATGCATTGAGGAATATTGACATAAAACAACTGGGGGCAGGTGGGCAAGAGATAAGGTGGGTATGCCAGTGATTAGATATAAAGAAATGTGAGCATATTCTTCTTAAATTTTTTTTGGCCAGGAATACAGATGCCTAATAATTATGTAAAAAAGTATTAATTCTCACTAAAGTAATTAAGTAAATGCATTTGTAGTATTCCATATTAGGAAGAATGGAGAAACAGGCACTTTCATATCTTCCTGATAGGCATATAAATTGTCTTTTGGAGAGGAATTTGGCAAAATCTATAAAAATTTAAGGTGTGTACACCTTTTGGCCCAGGGACTTACCTGACAGATGAGCTTACAAAATTATTTTAATTGTACCATTGTTTGTGATAGTGAAAAACCAAAATAACCTAACTGTCCACATAGGTAACTGGCATCATAAACTATGATATAGTCATACAAGAAATTATAGTATAGCTATGAGGTCCAAAAAACAGGTGGTAGAGACATAAGGGTTGACATGAAAATATATTTATAATTATTCTTTTTAATAAAAATGACTTGTAAAATAATATTTACATCAAAATTATAAAAATGAATGCATAAAAAGAAAAGTTCTGAAATAACGTACATCAAAACTTTTGTGGAGATTATCTCTGAGAAGTTACATTAAGAAGGATTTTAATATTCTAATTCATTTCTATATAATAGGATTTTTAAAAAATAAATACTTTTTTTTAAATATCAGTTTTAGGCTCACAGAAAAATTGGGAGGAAAATACAAAGAGTTCCCATATAACCCCTCTCCTCCCCAGGCACAGTCTCCCCTGTTATTGACATTCTGCACAAAGGAGGTACATCTGTTGCAATTAATCAACATATAGTGACATACCGTTATCCAAAGTCCACAGTTCATATCTGGGCTCACTCTTGATGCTGTACATTCTGTGGGCTTGGAGAAATTTATAAGGACATGTATCCATCATTATAGTATTATACAGAGTAGTTTCACTGCCTTAAAAAAATCCTGTGCTCCAATTATTCATTCCTTCCACACCCCACATCTCCCTCAACCTTTGGCCACCACTGATCTTTTTACTGTCTCCATAGTTTTGCTAAAAGGATTTTAGAACAGAAAAAAACCAAAAAAAGTGCTACTTTTTCTAATAAAAAAGGATATTTTAAAATGTGGTTATAAACAACAGAAAATTTAACTTAAACAACAGAATGCAAGACGGTGGAAGAATAGTGGAAAGTGAACCCCCTGGTGCATGTACTAAAATAAAACACGTGTACAGAGATTGTTGAGCATAATTCATAGCTAATTTCTAAAGATGCCAAAAGGTAATCAAGCATACCTTGGAAGAAGCCCCAGCTCTGTACTTAGGAAAAGTGATTCTCTGCACTTTACACTTACTTCTTATATCACAGCATTAAGCCTAAAGAGATGATAACTAAAGATCCTTCATTGCAATCAAAGATGTTCAGGTTTTTTGATTAGTATCTGGGACCCCTCAGCTCATCTCCTTCTTCCCTCCACAATCCACCCCTTGTCAGGGAAAGGAGAATCAGCTATAGCATTAAACCCTTTGGAATAGCTTTATTCTTAGAAAACCCTGTCATTTGTGTGACTCCTTAACAGTCTCTAAGTGACAGCTGCTAGTTTGGCAAAGAATCTTTCAAAATGAAAAATGAGAAATTCTACAAACTGTGTCAGCAACAACTTATTTATTTCAAATTCTAGCCAGCTGCAAAAAGGAAAAAGAACAATCATTTCAGTTCCAGCCTAGAGTTGTTCTTCCTTCACAGTTTATTCCTGGACTCAGGAAATCAACTGGAAAATTAATGCCAGTGATTCTGAGTCCCAAGGAAAACAATATCTCTGAGAACCATTTGCTAAATTCCTCTTGACCTTCCTGGTTTGGCTGGTATGAGGAATAGGCTATAAATGTAGGAATGAGGAGGAAGTCTCTGCAATTGTGGGGACTTGTCAACTCAAGGGCATCATTGCTGCTCTTTACAGTATGGTGGTGAAGGGCATGGTCTTTGATGTGAGTCAGATCCAGACATTCTAAGTATGGCCTTGCCACTTACTAGCTATGTGACCTAGGGCAAGGCATTCAATCTCAGTGAGCCATAGTTTGCTCACCTGTCAAGTGGAGTTTAGAGTAGCTATCTCATAGAGGTGTTGTTAGCGCTGATGGGTATAATATGTGTTATGTGATTTCCACTGTCCTGGTATATGGTAAACTTATCAATAGTGGCCTTTTTTGATGATAATAATGATATCGATGACAACGATGATGATGATGATCTTTGCCATATATATATATGTATATATGTATATATGTATATATGTATATATATGTATATATATGTATATATGTGTATATATGTATATATATGTGTATATATATATACGTATATATATATATACGTATATATATATATATATATATATAAGAATTAACATATCCACCCTACTTTTTGATCTCTACCTTCATTTGTATTTGGCTGAGGTGGAGAAGGCAACTAGCACTTCAGCCTTTTTTAAGGGGACATGCTCAAAAGCACATTGTTGGCGGGGGTGTGAAAGTGCTACTGTTCACCTATTACTACCACATTTAAATTACCATTTGCTTTCTTTTCAAGTTTTTTGTTTTTCTTTCTAAGAGTAATGTATGTCATAATAGAAAATTTGAAAATAACAAAAAATAAAAACATCCATTTGTTTTTTATGGTACCTAAAAATTTTTTATTGTGTTAAGTATAATAAATAAGGTAATTGTTTGCTGAAATCAAAGTGTAATCCCAAATTTAAAAAAAAAATCAATCAATGTTAAAACACAACATATCAGTCTATTGGAAATCAAAGCTCTGTCTGATTCTTTTTAGGTCAGCAGTTCTCCAATTTCCACAAGTCTAAGGCTTACTTGGGGATTATTTAAGATGCCAATCCTTGGGCTTCACCCAGATACTGATTAAATGTGTCTCTGGGGTAGGGTCTTGGAATCTCCATTTTTTTTTTTTTTTTTTTTTTGAGACAGAGTCTTGCACTGTTACCCAGGCTGGAGTGCAGTGGTGTGATCTTGGCTCACTGCAACCTCCGCCTTCTGGGTTCAAGTGATTCTCCTGCCTCAGCCTCCCAAGTAGCTGGGACTACAGGTGTGCGCCACCATGCCTGGCTAATTTTTGTATTTTCAGTAGAGATGAGGTTTCACCATGTTGGCCAGGCTAGTCTTGAAATCCTGACCTCAAGTGATCCACCTGCTTCTGCCTCCCAAAGTGCTTGGATTACAGCAAGCAGTGTACCGTGCCTGGCTGGAATCTCCATTTTAAATGAGCTTTCTACACGTTACCATGCAGGTAGGGGAGCTTTCAACCTATCATTGAGAGAGTCTAAAGTTCTGATCACATCCAGGGTCTCTGAATTCCCACAGTGGGATACTGGAAGGGGAATTAAGAATGTGAATCCTGGTTTTCCAGTTGTCACTTCATGACACTCCAAGCCCTGATGGTTTCATGTCTCGGCTCTGGCTGCCAGAGTATCTGACTAGCGAGTCAGTTTGAATACTTGCCAATCCTCTCTGTTTGAACCTCTCAGCCCTGGAGAATCTAAGTCCTCTCATGGCTCACAAAATGCCATTCTATTGGGGATGGGCTGGGGTTGGGGAAGGAGAGGGAACACAGGTCTCCACCACTCAGTTGACACCAGCTTGACCCCATAAGGTATACCGTGGGACTTCCAGCCACCTGCTTGAGGGGACGCAAAGCATGTCCTAACATTTCTTTCTTTCAGGAATAGAAGGAAGCAGAGAGGGTGGTTAATGGGACCATGGTGCAGGCACCACACATTTTCAAGGCACATGACATAACATACAGATAAGAGTGGGCTGTTTCCTTCTGCCATTCCGAGGCTGTCACTACAGCTGGATTTTTTTGTCCTTTTCTAGGCAACTCAAAGTCAGTCTCTCTATTTCTCTTTCCTATTCTAGGAAAGAAAACAGATGTAAGGAAAAAACTAGAACTTATTTTTATAACTTTGAAAACAGTAATGTTTGTGTTCTTCTAGGGTGTAAAGCTTCTCCCTGGTAATGAGGTTCTTCCCACCACACTCCCCCATGCCTGCTCTGTAAAATTACACACAGTGAGACTGAGAACTACATAAAAGGCCCACTCAGCATACAATGATTTAATCTCTGCCGCTTGTCACTTCCCTATGGGAGCTCAACAGAAACAACAGCCTTGATTACATAACCTACAATCATTTTCAGTAAGTGCCCCAATCCTGGTCTTTAAAAGACTGTTCAGATCTTACCTAAATAGAACAAGCTTCAGAGCAAGCCCTACGAGGTTCAAAGAGTCTTATATAAATTAATGCTTTGAGTCTTTACATTTCCCTCTGTTCTCCCTGGAGCAGCAGTGGCTGGGGCACTACCAGGTTCCTGGCCAAGGTCAAGTTCTACTGTTCCTCTGTATTTTCGTAGAATTAGAGGTCTAACTCTCTCTTAGGAAGCCTTAAATCCAGCTTTCTCATTTTGTAGGAAACTGAGGTTCAGCAAGGGTTTCTGTGGTAGTCATCATCTGGTTGTTCTGATCCCATGCCCTACTCCTCCTGTGCTCTGGATCTCAGTCAGGGGCCTGATCCTGTCCAACTGGCTTCCAGTTACATTCAGCCATTAGGAAGCTCTGGTGGGAGACTGGAGGGTTAGAGCAAGGGAAAATCTAGGGGATTTCACTCCTTTCTCTTGTTGCTTTGGTGAACATCTTTCATAGTAGCTGCATCTCTTCCTTGGTTCCTGAACTCACTAGACGCCTCCTCTCACCATATTCTCAGCTTCTGATAGACAGGTTCCACCTTGGGCTCTAACAAGACCACTTCCTCTTATCGTGCCTCTTGCCTAGGAGTCAATACATTTTTGAAAAAAACAAAAAAGGGCAAGAGAGTAAACACTTTAGGCTTTATGAGTCAAAAGGCAAAATTGAGGATAGTATTTTGTAAGTACTTATGTAGCATTTAAATCATACACATTTAGGCCGGGCATGGTGGTTCATGCCTGTAATCCCAGTACTTCGGGAGGCCGAGGGAGGCAGATCACTTGAGATCAGGAGTTCGAGAACAGCATGGCCAACATGGTGAAACCACGTCTCTAGTAAAAATACAAAAATTAGCCGGGCATGGTGGTGTGTGCCTGTACTCCCAACTACTCGGGAGGCTGAGGCACGAGAATCACTTGAACCCAGGAGGTGGAGATTGCAGTAAGTCCAGATTGCACCATTGCCCTCCAGCCTGGGTGACAGAGCAAGACTGTCTCAAAAAAAAATTATATATATGCATATACACATAAACCTTTAAAAGTGTAAAAGCCATTCTTCACCTGTGGGCCATATACAAACAGGTAGGGGGCCAGCCAGTTCTACTCAACAGATTTTCTTTGTCAATCCTTGCTCTACCCTTAGGGGTGTCTTCCCTCCCTTGCTCGTCTTCAGATTGCCTTAAGGACCCTTTCCAAATCATCCAAACCCTGTGTAGCTAATTGTCTACATTAACTTTTTGTAATTGAACCACCTGGCATGAGCTCTTGTTTCCTGAATGGACCCCTACCGATTTGGGCAATGACTTGTTTAAAATCATATTCCATGTAGTGGGATTATTATCTACTTCATAAATTTCTTATTGCTTTCTGGTCTTCAGAAATATGTTCCCAAACACATCTCAATGGAATTGTGTAGATTCATCATTCAAGTCAAATCCGCTGGTTGTCTTCTTGTGTTTTGACTGCTGACACGGTGATGGAAATCTAGTGGCTCCACCTGTAACCCCCTCACTTTGGAAGGCTGAGGTGGGCAGATCACCTGAGGTCAGGAGTTCAAGACCAGCCTTGCCAACATGGTGAAACCCCATCTCTACTAAAAATACAAAAATTAGCTTAGTGTGATGGTGGCTGCCTGTAATCTCAGCTACTTGGGAGGCTGAGGCATGGAGAATCACTTTAACTAGGGAGGCAGAGGTTGCAGTGAGCTGAGATTGCACCACTGCTCTCCAGCCTGGGTAACAGAGTGAGACTCCATCTCAAACAAAACAAAACAACCCAAAAAACAAAAAACCTAGTGGGTCCAAGGGGTGCCCATGAACCAAAATCAGGAACAAGAAACTTAAAATATTAAAGTTGGTCCCTAGACTGTCCAACACTACTCAACATCACTGAGAAAAGTGATGGAAAAACTAATGAACAGGACTGGACTATAGATGCACCATTGGAAGTGGGGCATGGAAGACCACGCATGGCATGCTATATACCATGCCTTCCCTCTCTGCTGCCTCCACCCTGGGCCAACCCACCACCATCTTTTCCTTGGACGGCTGCAGCCACCTCCTTACTGACCTTCTTGACTTCACCCCTTAAGTGAATTTACTTTCATTAGCCACAAGCAAGATCTTTTACAAACAAATTGTATGGCTCCTTTCCAATGCCTTCCCATTTCACTCAACATCAAATCCAGTTTCCTCCTATGAACCCACAGCACCCTACAGGATCCAGCCTCTGCCTCCTTTTTCAGCTTCATCTCCTGCAGCTCTCCTCTTCCTCATTCCAATCCAGCAAAACTGGTTTCTTTGCTGGTTCTCAGACTCTCCCCAATCTCAGATTTCAGGCCTCTGCTCTTGTCCTTTGCTCTCCCTGGAATATACCCCTCAGACATCTTTGAGGCTCTCCCTCTCCTAATTCTTTCAGGTCTGCACTCAAATTTCATTTCACCAGCAAGGTTTTCCCCCAACCAGCTGATCTAAAATAGTACAGCTTCTCTCTTTATCCCTTAACCTTCCTAATTTCCTCTCAAGACTTTTACCATTACCTGATACCTACTGGGATTGCATCCCTGCCTCTTTGGTGTCTCATGTCACTCCCCGCTCCACTTAGGAGCCTCTCTTTATTCCCCCAGATTCCAGTCTTTTCTCTCTAAAGGCCATGCCCATGCTTTTCTCTTTGCTTAGAACATTCTAAGCGATGTTCATTCTGAGTATGTATTATTTGATCCTCTCCACTCCCACTAATTCTTATTTTACTTCTCTGCACAATATTCATTTTCTTCATAGAAATTACAACTGTAAAAATATGTACATGCATATATGCATATATATGTATTTATTTATATTTCTCACTTCTTTGTCTTTCTCCCGTCTCCAACTAATTGTAAATTTTGTGAGGGAAGCAGTCGTGTCTACTTCACCAACAAATACATACCAAGTGCCTATATAATTCAGAGCCTTATACACTGCAGGTGCTTAATAAAAAATTAATAAGAATAATTAAATTATACAGAATGGGGTCATTCACAGATCTAGGAAAAATGATTGAAGGGTCTCCTTATTGTATTAGAAGCTGTTGGTTGCCCACCCGTATCTCTCTTGTTCTCACCATTTCTGTATACAATGATGGCTTTCTAATGTCAGCATTCATTAATTTGCAAGAAGACTTTCTTCAGCTGTAGGCACATGCTAGGTCTGCATGCAGTCCCAGGGAATTAACACCCCCAGGAGCAGCTTTTGGCCAGTGACCAATTGGATTGGGGGTATAATTATCCAGCCTGAACACTTGCCGGATGGATTTACTGTTGGAGCATGTCGCCCACAGTTTCCTAAAAATCTTAGGTGCCCCAGTTGCCAATGGTGGTATCTTGCCAATTAATCTACTTCTTTTTGGCTTTCTTCCCTTCCCTGTCTCATGTCCCCATTCCTCACCGGTGCTTCCAGGATCGTCTTCCAAGAAAACTACTTGCACTCAAATCCTGGTCTCAATATGTGCTTTTGCAGAAACTCAAACTAAAATATCCATTCTACCCAATTCACCATCACCACTCTCCTTTTGGGGAAGTGTTGCAACAAAAGTTTTCCAATCTTGCAATTATACAGATTGAGAGGGGAACAGTGGGGTGGAGATGGGGTAGACTAATTTGTCATTCACTAACTTTTTTCATTTAACCCTTTTCATGCCAGCAGCCATGGCACATATTTGGATCATTTTCTGTGATCCCCAAGACATTCCCTACAAATGATAGCTCCTCTCTTTACTGCAGAAACTTCCAAACAGGACTGTCATACTTGGTCTACAGCTGAATTCTGGTGCCAATTTCTTTCACTAGACTTCCTTAATAATAACAACAACAACAATGATAGCAACTCAGGGAATATTCAATGTGTGCCAGACTCTGTACTACACGACTAACTCATATTATCTAATTGAATGGTTGCAACCACACTATAAGGAAGGTACTGGTATTACTGCCTTTTTATAATAAGGAAGCTGAGGCCCAATAAGGTTATGGGCCCAGCGTGCTTCCACTGCACAATTCACTACCAGTTAGGGGGTTATGTCTTGCCCATCCACTAGGCAGCAGAGTTTGGATTTGGCTAGAGATTCACCATTATCCCTTTGGCCACACCACCTCTAAGTCTCCCAAAGTCTCTGCCCCATAACACCATCAGGTCTCATCATACACAAAATTTATTTTAAGGCAAAACATTAGAATGAGATACTGTAGTTATAAAGTTTCTGAAATTTTAGGCAAAAAGAGTGAAACCCTTTGGTAATGAGAAACAATAAATGAATACTTAAATGTAATTGCAAGTGCAGCATTTCCTGAACACAAGATATAAAAAATTGCAGCCCTTCACACTTTTATTTTCCCCAAATTGGCTATTATGGTAAAAACCGAAAAAATAAAAAATGTTTCTCATCACTGCTCTTGGCTACGCATCTTAGGGACAAAATTCTTTCTGCCTGGCAGAGCTAGCGTTACTAGATAATGGCCCAAACTCCACAGCTTTCCTGGCATCTACTTGCACCTGCCCCCGTGTTCCAAACAGGGGTGGGGGAACGACAGAGCAAGTGGCTAGAGTCATGAGCGGGGGAATGGTGCTTATTCAGCCAGTGCCCAGCTGAGCAGCACTGGCTTTCCTTTCCTTCAATGTGGAACCTCTCGTTGAATTGAATTTCACAGATTACAAAGATCAGACTAAGCCTCAGTCTCCTACTCCACCGATGCCAACCTCCCAAGGATTATGCTAGTGCCACTAAGAGTTCTCCATTCTGTCACTTTGAGGGGGAGCTTTCATTCTCCCATTAGTTAAATTTTTTTAAAAAGTCTTAATACATCCTAGGGCAACCTAAATAAACATTAAATAGTTAAAAGCACGTTAATCAAGAGACAGTTAAATATGTGCACCCTTTAATGTTTTTATATAGGCAGAGGCAGGGTTGGGGAAGATCCCATTCTGGGTAAAATATAACAAACTGGCCATTTGTTTTCTCAAGGGTAATTTTGCTAATTAACCAGAATAAATATCTTTTCTAGCACTCTAGTTGATTTTTAATTGCCCTTACTTGATAATGAAATAAAAATAGTAGCCAAAAGACAATGTATTGAATGTCAGGTCTTGTTTTAAGCATTATTTATATTTATGTCTTATTTAATATTTATAACAATACTATGAAATAGGTAACATTGTT
Organism: Homo sapiens; assembly: GCF_000001405.40. Classification (NCBI taxonomy): domain Eukaryota; kingdom Metazoa; phylum Chordata; class Mammalia; order Primates; family Hominidae; genus Homo; species Homo sapiens. The sequence goes on along the minus strand of NC_000003.12, from coordinate 63,487,346 downwards.
TCTGTTTCACAGATAAGAAACAGAAGTGATAAGCAATTTTCTCAATATCATACAGCTAATAAGTAGCTGAGTGGAAGATTTGAATCTATGTAGTCTGTCTCTAGAGTCCAAGCTACACTACATTGCTTCAGCTTTAACCGTGTAAAAAAGTTTGCACAAGTGTGAAAAGAATATTTGATTGACTCATAATCTTGCCACCTAGAAATAAGTATGTTAACATTTTGACGCAGTGGTTATGACATAATCTTTATAAATATAACTAGTTTTTGTAGTTTACCCAAACCTTCGAGGAGAAAGGTTGTAAGGTTTATCACCAAATTTGGAGAATATATTTGGGATGGGCTGATCTAAAATACAAACTATGTCTAACCAGATTTCATTTCAGAGGCCCCATGCAGCACCTCCAAAATCTCAGCCATCATCTCATTTTCAGAAAATCTGAAGCTGACATTGAAGGACACCCTACTATGACTGCCAACTGGGAAAAACCTCCCATATATACTAAGATTCTTTGTATAAGACCTGAACTGAAAACCACCAGGGGAAGTATTGTGAACTGAAGTAACTGATTTCCAACCAAGCTATTTGTTTGTTTGTCTGTTTTTGAATGAGTAATACTATATAATATGATTTAGAGTGAGAAGAAGTAGGGATTTACTCTATCGATTGATCAATCAAGCAGTTGATCAATCTATCTACTCATCTATCTATCTTCTTTAAAGATGGTAATGTTCTCACACAATGCCAGTGTCTTAGGTTGGACTTCTCAGAGGCAGCCCCTGAGATCAAGATTTGAGTGCAACTCCTTAGAGGATTCAGCTCTGAAAACATCAATAAGGCAGTGGAGAAGTGAGACAGAAAAGGTAAAAAAGATAATGAAAGGTGTGTTAATGTTCCGGTTTGCACTGTGGGTGATTCTGTCCTGCTGGTGCCTCTGGGAAATGGTATAATACATGACTTAGTGTTATGCCACATGAGGGGTGAGAAAGTTGGGATTGTCATCCTCCAACTCACATTTGTCATTGGGTAAGGGCTGCTCCAGGAGACATTACTCCCCAGCATTTCTTGCCTGCTCTGCCTATAGACCAAACAGGTTCCAGCGGTGAGAGAAAGCCCTTTAACAGTCATAGGGACTTGTGGCTAGGCATGGTGGCCCACACCTGTAATTCCAGCACTTTTGGGGGCCAAGGTAGGTGGATCACTTGAGGTCAGGAGTTTGAGATAAGCCTGGCCAACATGGTGAAACCCTGTCTCTACTAAAAATACAAAAATTAGCCAGGCATGGTGGTGCACATCTGTAATCTCAGCTACTCAGAAAGCTGAGGCATGAGAATAAACAAAATTTATGAAGGACAATTTTGTTAATTATCTAGAACAGTGATTACTAATCTCATATGTAAAATAATGCTTAAAATTGACAGCAAACAATAATTTTATCTTGATGAGGTCTCAAGACATGGAAGTGACATAGCAACTACTTTATTTTTTATTGTAAATCTTCTGTTGTTCCCTATATTTAGTTGTTCTCAAATGAAGGAAGATTTTTACAAACTGAAAATCTTTTTTATTAGTTATTTGTTCAACCAAGGTCGTAAATTTATCATCATGTCATTCAATGAGCTGGTTACTTCCAAAAAACAAGAGGTGAGCACCTTCTCTATTAGAAGGTCATTAACAAACTTAGTCTCTTTCTTCACAAATATCATATTTTGAAGACTTAAGATAAGCAAATTAGGGTCCTTCAAAATTTGCATTGTATTGGTCTGTGAGAAAATATACTGAATTCTATTTTCCATTCCCCCACAGCTCGACACACTTTCTCTCCAACTGAAATGTCCCATGAAAGCTTTTAATAACCACCATTAACTATATTCGATGGCTTTTTCTTGGTTTTTCACTCCTTTCTTTCTTTGAGGTACTCAATGCTGCTGAATGGTAGCATACATAAAGTTTTCTTTTTTATATTTTATTTTATTTCTGTTTTTATTTATTTTACTTTAAATTCTGGGATACATGTGCAGAAAGTTTTCTTACCTTCTGAAAAACCTGAACTTTCTGGGTCATCCAACTTCTTTTCCATTTGGTCTTCTCCTTTTGGTGTCTTTCAGTGACCCCTTTCATTCATTTTTTTACAAGAACAGGCATCCTCCATAGTTCCCATTCTGTCTCTCTTGGTGACCTCTCTTCATCCAGATGTGACTTCATGATGATGACTCTTAAAGCTTCATTTTCAGTCTTCACCTCTCTCATCTTATATAGGGTTTAACATGAAACTCCCTGATAGAGAATTCCCCTGTGCTTCTAACAAGCATCTCAAACTCTGCATGATCAAATCCTAACTTGTACTCTCTACTTCAAAATAGATTTCCCTGTTATTTTCCTTTTGTCATCTTTAACTCCTTCTTCCTATTCAACTTATAAGGAATTCAAGGTCTTCTATAATCAGGGAAAAAAGTGGCCTTTCTAACTTTATCACTTTTGTCCTTGATAAATTTTCGTTGTATTCACCATGCTCCAAACAGTCTGAACTTTGCTTTCTTCTTGTTTTTATTCAAATCACAAAATTTTAAAAATCCAAAAGTTTAAATTTAATTTCTGTGTGATGTCAACAAAATTTTTCTCAGCCCAATCTTCTCAATCAGTAAAATAGTAGCCTCCTTCACAGAATCTGTGTAATGACTACATAATCTAATATATGTCAAGGTATCTAGCACAGTGTTTGGCACATTGTACCCTTGCAATAAGTGTTTGCAGGTCTGTTCATTCATTCATCATTCTGACCCTTCTCCATTGCCTTTGCCATGAAAATTTTTGTTCCTATAGCCCCCTAACCTCTGAACTCTGCCCTTCTCTATCTTTTATTCATGTATAAGTTCAAAAGGTTACTTGGCATTCCTAGAGTAGGCTTTCTACAAATATATTAAATACCTTAAAATGAGAAACCCTACTTTCCACTTCTATGCATAAAGGAAGTACCAAAAATATGGAATCTAGAACTACTCTCCTCCTAGTTATCAAGTAAATTTCATACCAAATTTAGTATATTATTGCAGATGAGAAAACAGTTAAGTAATAGTTGTTCATTGTAATCACAAATAATAAGGAAAATAAGGTGACAAATGGTTTATTTCTATAACAATATGATACATTGCTGCATGTCAATTATTTCTGATAGGAATCAGGAACACATACATATGGTGCTGTAAAGGAGATATGCACTTCGGCATATTTATTAGAAGAAGCACATTATTACTTTGTGAGTTATCTAGAATTTTTAACACTGACATTATCTTACATCCTAAAATATGTGTCTGATAACTGGTTAAGTAGCTTCCTTTGATGTATCATTTACAAACTAATTGTTTTTGTTCAAATGACTTGAGTTTATTGTCCTTTTGCTCTTTGCAATACACTGAATAGTTAAAAGCTACTGAATGTTCTTACCTTATTTCTAAGATTATCATCAAATCATTGGCATTGGCTTGTGACATTTTAGAAGAAAATAACTTTTTTAAGCATAAGCAATGCTTTTATAATCTCCTACTTCAAATTGCTGAGTTGTCTCAACAGCTGCTTCTTGCCATTCACCTTGAAAATACAGATTTTTTTCACCTACTTCAATCCATTTGGAATTTCAGATGGGGTTCCTGTAAGTTATTTCTCTCCAGAAGCTGTGTCTTATCATTTCATCTCACTGGAAGCCATAGGATGACTCATTTTTAAAGAGCGTTTTTAAAATTACCAAGGTATCATATGTGTATTTTAATAAATTCAAATAATACTCAAGTATGTAGAGTTAAAAGTAAATGTATGACCTCTGCAAACCAATGACACATCCTTCCCCAAAAGTAATCCCTGTTAACTGTTTGTCTGTATCCTTCCAGAATTTATATTTTACACACATATACATACACATACACACACATACATATAGGTGCATAAATTTAAAATTATATTGTGCATTTACTATTATATTTTTTCTTAACATGCTGCTACTTACTTTCTCTTTAGTAATACATTTTAAACATCTTTCTATATCTGTACATTCACTTTTAAAACTTCTGCCTAGGACATATGTAAATCATTCACTGAGCCTGCTTCCTGCTGATGGACATTCAGGTTTGTTTCAGTCTTTTATTATTAACAACACTGCAGTGCACATCATTACATGCATATTACATGCATTACATGCATATATTTGTGTATTTATATGAACATTTTTGAAGGTAGATATCTAGAAATGGTATTGCTGGATTAAATAGAATGTACATTTAAATCTTGATACCTACTTCCAGTTGTCCTCCAAAAAGGCTTTATCAATATACATTATTTCCAACCACATGTGAGAATCTACATTTCTCTCCACCCTTTATAATAGTGGATATTATCACTTTTTACTTTTTAATTATTTATATTACCAGCATCTTGCTAACCGTACTTCTTCTGAAACAAATGTCTTCATAATAGTCTGTATAAATCCTGGCTTATTACTGAGATTTTCCCCATAATGGTACAGGTTATGAATATGTACATGGATAATGGTACATGTTAAAATATACAAATGTAAAATTGAAATTGCAACCCTAGTAAATTAAGCTGTTTTGGAATGGTGTGTATATCTCCTAGATGAACATTAATGGGGGCAAAAGTACAAGACATTCTGTAAAAGGAGATTGGCTAATACTGCTTCCTTAACAGTAGACAGTAAATGTAAGATGTGGTAAGCAAAGTGGCAAACGATTTCTTGCTAAATCCTAGAACAGTGGTTTTAAAATTGTTTCTAGGAGACCTAGGGTTCCCAGGAGATCTTACAGGGGCTGTACGGTGGGGAGTGGGCAAGGTGTGTGGCAGGGAGAAGGTTGAGGAGGACTGGCTGGTGGCATTAAGCTCCCTTCTTCTCCTGCTCCAACTTTCTCAGTGACTCATGTCTATTTTATACATGGAGCTTCTGAGTGAGATAATGTTAGAAAGAAAAGCTGTGCTACTAAAAAATATAATGATTAACTATATTTGTTTCAGAACCCAGGTAAAAATCTTTTAAATGAGGGGGCTGCTATAGATGGCAATACATTTTGATCTAATTTCTCTAGTTGCCTTTCACTGGGCCAATCATTTGAATTTGTAGTCTTGGGAAGAAATTAAAGAAGCCCAGTGCAGGAAACTGTGCTTGAAGTGTCTTCTCACATTGTATCCTTAAGCAGGGATTTTATGAAATTAGATATTACCCTGCTCTCCACCGCCACACCAGCTCAGGCACTCTTCCAGTTCAGATAGGTCTCTTGATTACTCTCCTCCAGTTTGAGGAAAAGACTGAGAGTCCTGGGCTCTGGTAGTTCAATGTTTAGAGACTTGCTGACTTTTAAATCTTGAGAGATTGACTTTTAAGTTACCTGCTCCTGCCACATCTCTTAGTGGGAAATCACTGTAGAAGCCATGCCGAGCTTATGATCTCATGTATAATGTTACCAAGCATCCCAGCCCCGCTGCCCGGCCATTGGCAGTTTTCATCTCCTGTCCTAGATCCTGCATGTTAATCTGAAAGCATGCGTTGGCTTGGCCACTCTCCTCCAGAAGCCAATGGGTTGGTCCAGAGCTTTCAGAAGTCATGCACTTGCACGTCCACTTCCACCAGCACAGCACAGCACTTTGTACTAAATTTTCAGGGATTACGTGCTTAATATTTCTGAGCTTTCTACTCTTTTATTAGTTAGTTAGGAGAGTATCTACTTGAGCAAGGTATTTGCAACTTTTGTCAGCTCTACTCTTAAAAACTATTAAGAATATTGGTATCAATGCTACGTCTCTATGATGATTCATCACCTATGAACTGAGTCATCTTTGTCTTAGACTAGGAACAGTTCACTTTATATGTATACACACACACACACACACACATATATATATATATATACACTTAATATATAAATATTAAGGATGTGTTCCATAGTATACAGATCCTCTTGGATACTCAGTGAAGAAGAAGTTTCTACAGTCAAATGTATTTGGGAAACAATCTGTCATTCTTGTTGATTTCAAAATGTGCATTAGAAAGGCACAGTGCTAAAAATATTTCTTGAATTTATTTGATCGTATTTTAAAATTACTTCTCCAATCTCCCTTTCTTTTTCCCTCCCTCCTTCTCTTTGTAGCAAGTATTTTTTCTTTTTTTTTGAGGAGAGTCAGTTCTGTCTTGAAGGCACAACTCATAAATCCTCCCAGTGCCCACACTAGGTGGTGAGTGGGCACTGTGTTTGGGCATTCCGTGGGTGCAGGCAGAATACTTTCTGTTTACCCAGAAGTCCCTGGAAGACTGCATTTTTTCTGAGACAAAGCACAGAAGAAAGAAATAACCCCCTGTGAGGCTAACAAGCATGAACCACCATTCCCTACCTGAATGGGTAGGCAAACGCTATGTCGATGCTGAGGTTACTTTCTGTCTTGTTGACGCAGTCCACACTCAGCCGCAGGCCTCCAGAATAGCCACCGCATGTTGCAAATGCAAAGATTGCAAAAAGCTGTGGAGAACAATTAAACAAATAGAAGGCAGTTATTAGGATGATGTTGCTCTAATGAGATATATCAAAAGGAGCTTAATGTCTGGATTGAGGGAATTTATGGTCCTTCTGAAGAAGAGCATTGCCCTTGGTTCAGCTGGAAGATGAAGGTAGAATGGAGTGAGGACTGGGGACATGGTGTCTAAAATAATTGTCTGGCAAGTGAAAGAAATGTGGCTTGGAGAATAATTAAAGACAAAGCCAAAATAGCTGTGTTTGAGTGTGTAAAGAGCTGTCGTGTCTCAGAGGGGAGAGGCATAATCCCATAGTCAAAGGCCTGGATAGCACTACACCAACTAGTTAATAATGGATGTCTCCAGGTAGGAAGATGTGGGGGTGTATCCTTGCTTTCTTCTCTTTGTTTGTCTTTATTTTCTACCATAATATGATTTGTCTTTTGGAATAATATACATCAATATTTCAAAGTCATGGTCGGAGAATTCTAGAGCTGAGTTTGAGGAAGAGTAGGTGAGTTTCTAAGAGGTGCTATTTTAGAGCACAAGATCTCAGTATATTTCAGCTTCCAACTTTCACTGGTGGTTACATCTCTGTGTTGGTTGCTGTTTCTAAGTCAACTATTAAAAGTTTCAACAGTTAATGTCATGGTCTATCCTGGTGTAGAATGTGAATCTGTGGGGAACCAGGCACCAATAATTAGGAGCAGGGACTCTGAGAGGTCTCCTAGAAAGAAGAGACACTTGGAAGACAGGATGGCCTAAGAGGGGACATAAGCAAATGCTAAACTTTGTTCATTTCATAATTTGGCTAAGCTCAAAAGAATTTCTTGGTCATTTCTAAAGGAAGTCGATCAAATGCACCTAACACTAACATGCTGCAGTATTCCAATTTATCTTAACTTTGGAATTCAGCTTCTTACAATAGTTTGGGGTCACTACTGGAAACACCAGCTCATTTTGCATAGTGAGAGGAGTTATTGCACAGAAGTCAACTGGGGTCAAGGGCTCTGGAATGTGACCTTGGGAAAGCTGCTTAATTTCCTCATGTCTTGATTTCCTCACTGAAAAATAGCATTGATGTTAACTCTTCTGGGTCATTTTGCTATTTGCGGTGTGACACAGACAGTTGCTGTGGACAAGAAGGCTGCTGGAGCTGGCAAGATCACCAGGTCTTTCCAGAAAGTTCAGAAGGTGAAATGAATATTATCTATAACTCCTGCCACCTCAATCTTAATCAAGGGTAGAAAAAAAGCCTCAGAATTGTTTTGTCTCAATTGGCCATTTATCTTTAATAGAAAAAGACTGGCTGACGATAACAAGGCATTGTGAAACCTTCACAGGCAAAGCAATATTTTGTGAGTCACGTGTGTGTGTGTGTATGTGTGTGTGCATGTGTGTGGCAGTTTTAAGTGACTAGTTTTTAAAATCTGTATTTTTAAAATGGAAAGAACTTGACCAAAAGATATAAGGATTGTAGTAAGAGTAAAATGTGTTAATATGTGGAAAGAATTTAGAACAGGTCCTGGCACTGCGTAAGCTCTCAATCAATGTTAACGAATATTACTGTAAATAGCAGATGCTCCTTAATAAGATGTTCCAGGCCATAAAATAGGAAATTTAGGCTTAATCCCTAGCCAAATCTGTCTGGCTGTCTGCCCCAGTGAGCCAACATCCAAGCAGTCCAGAAAAACTGATCTTTTTAACTTTGTTAGCTTTCGTTGCACAGGATTTGATGAAGCATTCAGAAGCTATTCTAGGTCGCTCCACAATCTAGGGTTGAGACACAGAATGCTGAAGCTGAAGGGAACCCCATCTTTAGGCCCCTGGTGTGGACTTGCTTACTCCTCATGACCAAATGCTCTCTTCCTGTAAGCAATTAGTATTAGTAGTATTAATAGAAATAAAGAGAAGGTGATTTTAATGGTTCAATGCTTAATTCTAGTTTTCATCAGCCAACACTGGATGTCCCAACCCTTTGGGCCACGTCAAGATAGTGTCTTTGGTAAGAAAGAATGGAATGATGGAGTCGAAAGCCCCATGCCGTGGCAATGGAGCTAGCCCTTTCTGTCTCCAAGTTTCCTCATCTGTAAAACAGGGATAACCCCTATGTCTCTCTGAATCGCTGAGAAAACTAAGTGAGACGGAATATGTATTTACATGCTACCCTCTTCCAATTCATGCAGAGATTTGTGTGATATTTACATTTCTCTGGGGGCAGGAGTCATAAGTGTGTGATAGGCAATTGTGCACATAAAAGTAAGAAGGGATTGTACATTGTGACCATTTTAAAGTGCCTACTATGGGCCAAGCATTGTGTCCAGCATGTAACATACATGGTCATATTTCCTAGTGGCAACAATATTGTGAGGCATGTGTGCGTGAAGCTTAATATTCCTATAGGAAAGATATGGTAGAATAACATAATTGTTTCAAAATGCTTCATTCAAAAAAATCCTTGAGACGTTAAAATGTAACAAATTGGAATTGAAGGATATAAAAACAAATCTTGTCCATTTCAGTGCTCAACAGCTATAAAGAAACTACCTTGGCTTTTCATCTTATATTAAGTGCTTTATATACAGTAAGGTATTATTAATACCATCATATAATAAACTTAAGAAGGAATGATAGTTATGTATTTAACTAGTTCAAAATGTTAGATACGTGGAAAGGAGGTGTCATGACTATTGAAACCACATACACCACAATTTTTTCTTTTTACTTCTCTTGACCTCTGAAAACACAAGGCATTGTAATTGAGTTAAATATGATACCTATGGGCTTCCAGGTTACATTTCTCCCTTCCCCATAGTCCTCACTGCTGTAAGGTACATGGATGTACTTTGATCAACGAACAGGCTGAGGCAGACATCCAGGCCTGCATGACTTAGCAAGTTTAGAGTGCAGGCGCATACTCCACTAGTTATATACCCTATTTGTGTAAGCTCATACTTGGCTCAAAGCCGCTATTGTCTGGAAAAGGTGTAACTTCCCTGCTGACATGCTCTTGGGCCCAACATGGCTCTTGTGCAGGTGCAGGCACCCAGAGAAAAAGTGAAGCTACTGATCCCTGTAAGGGAGAATGAATATCTAGCAGATGGACAGTGGGGAGCCAGCACGTGGCTCGGCTTGCTCGTGCCCAGAAATAGAGTTAAGCTGCTAACCCTAGAGCTGGCCTTGCAGGCTGGCCATGCAGCTGTGCATGGGAGCCAGCTGCTTAGACGAGCTGAAGAGCCAGAGCAGGCAGCCGAGATAAAGGTGTGAGTAAGCTGCTGATGAGAGAGCTGCTGAATAAAGCCATGTCTCATTTACCTGCTATCTCTCAAGTGTTCTTCTAGCTCCCTGCCTCACATCCACCCACTCCCCTCTGCCCTCAGCTGGGGCAGGAACCTGACCCTGAGCATGACAACTGCTTAAAGGGAAATCATACTATATGATTGATATTAAATTCACATGGGTTTGGTGAGGATTGAACATACGATGTCTGTATAACACTGGAAGAGTCAGATCCTTCTGTATTTTGGAGCGTGAAATCAACTCCTCCAGAGAAAATCTGCCAGTGGCCTGGTCCCGTAATTGGAATACATCAAGACACAGTGAGGAGAGGGGACTGGAGGCTCTCCAGGGGCCTGAGATTCTCTAGGTGTTGCCTTGAAAGAGTGGGAGGGGACTTCAGAAATCTTCCCACTGATTCCCCTCCCAGTTACTCGCCCAACCATTCCTCCTTACATGGGGGAGCAGAGCAGTTCTGGGGTGAGGCAGACCTAAGCTTGAGCCCATTTCCTAGCTGTGTGACACCGGGCAAATCACTTCACTTCTCTAAACCTCAGTTCCCACATCTACCAAATCAAGACTAACATGCTTCAATCATTGGATGTTTAATGACAGATTTGCTATGTGCCAGCTGTTGGGGAACAGAAAAATTAAATAGTCACAGAAAAGACAAGGATAAGGAAGTTTCCCACCCACCATGGGGCTTAATGCTAGATATGGGAGACACAATCAAAAAGCACATACAAATAAAATAATCTCAAATTGTGTTTCACGTTTTGAGGGGAGTTATTCTGGACAGGAGGTTATACCTGGGGGGGTGTTACATTTAAGCTAACACCTGGAAGATGAGTGAGGGGAAGCCCCGCAAAAAATGAGAGTTGAAAGTAGGATCCTGGGTCTCTAGACTTCCCAAGTTAGGATTCTAATTAGCTCTATGGTTGGGGGAAGAATGATGTTTTTTTGCCACATCGGTAAGAGTTGATTCTCAAATGGTCCAGTCTTCTTCACCCAGAAATGCACCATGGGTGCTTTGATGACCTGAGGTTCTCCATGTTTCTCCTGAGTGTCTCAAAATCACATTATCTGGAAGCTCATTACCAAAGCAGAGTAGGTGATTTGTCCTTTTTATCTTTCTTTCCTTCCTTCTTCTCTCCCTCCCTCCCTTCCTTCCTTCTTCTCTCCCTCCTTTCCTTCCTTCCTTCCCTTCCCTTCCCTCCTTCCTTCCTTCCCTTCCTTCCCTTGCTTCCCTCCCTTCCCTTCCTTCCCTCCCTTCCCTTCCTTCCCTCCCTCCCTTCCTTCCTTCCTTCTTCTCTCCCTCCTTTCCTTCCTTCCTTCCCTTCCCTTCCCTCCTTCCTTCCTTCCCTTGCTTCCCTCCCTTCCCTTCCTTCCCTCCCTCCCTCCCTCCCTCCCTCCCTTCCTTCCTTCCTTCCTTCCTTCCTTCCTTCCTTCCTCCCCCCTCCCTTCCTCCCTCCCTCCCTTCCTCTATTCTTCCTTCCTTCCTCTCTCTCTCCTTCTCTTTCTTCCTCCCTACCTTTCTTCCACTTTTTACGCTTGGTGGGGTGGAAGAATTTAGAAGGAGGACCTTGGAAGACATAAAGAGACATGGTATTCCTTGCTTGACCACTGATGCTCGAGAGGCCATTAATGCTAGCAGCTGAGAAGGTTTGTCTTGCAGATGCTCAGTTCTGCAAAACTAAGTGCAATTCCTAATGTAGACAATTTCCCCTTTGGAGAGACAGAAAAGATAGAATAACTTTCTGTTATATAGCCAGGATGGAATGAAAACTGGGGGTGAGACCTGGAAGGCTAAGGAGTGAGAAAAGCCTGAGGGGACAGTGTGAGGGGGTTGGTGTAGAAATAAGTGAGATAGAGGAACTAGAGAGACAGATCTCCATTTGAGGATGACTCTGTAATACTATAAGCAAGTTGATGAGAGATGTAAAGACATGGTGGTGTGTGTGCGCGCTATGCTCTTCAAATTCTAGGCTCCACACATCTATCTTCAGCCAGCACAGTGCCTTCTTTCTGTTAATGTGGTGCACTAGCTCACCTTACCAGACATTGAAGGTGTAACCCAGGGGCAAAAGTCCATTTACCCATTCAAGTAGAATTATAAAACCTCTGTATTCCCATCTTTTCTTAAGCTCCTGATACTCCTCAAACAAAGCAGACACCTCACCCTCCAGCACATTCTAATATAATCAATATCATAACCACTGGCCCAATCATTCACCTCCCTTGAGTTCAGGAGACCAAAATAAATCACCTGCAATGAACTCTCATTTCACTACTGTCTTAGATGATCTACGGCTCTGTTCCTTACAAAAAATTACTCTCAAAATTGACAGGATCAGCCAACAGAGAATCCCCTTCTATGCAGCCTGATTAGAAATGCATTTAGGTGGAACAGAACAAAATTGTCCTGTGTTTTCTAGCTTAATAGTCATCCATAAACCAAAATCACCCATAGCAGTAACGATATCTTTGCAGTTAGTGACATCAAAGGTTTTCCCCTGGGAAAAGGGCAAGCAGCTCAATCCTTGTGTGCTAATAGAACCACACACGGAATATCAATGAAAGGTGATATTAATCCTTCTGGTTAATTTGCAAGTCATAGTTAAATGCAATAGGTTGGAGGAGGACAGAAAATCAGGCTGATTAATGGCACTTGTAGGGATGCTTGGTCTGCAGTGAAGTCAGGGAGGGGACATCTCCCAAGGCCTGGTACACAACCTTCATGTACCAATCCTGGAAGAAACAAGAGTCAGGAGACTGGTAGGTAAGGGGTTGGGAGATTGAAACCAAGTAGTTGGTACCACTCAGTTTGGAGACTGAGACCAAGTGGTTGGTACCACTAAGTTGAGTTTGCCAACAAACAAATCTCCCAGGAATAAAGCTGTGTTTTATAGCATTTGCCAGTTTCCACAGTGCAAGTATTTCCACCATGGCCAATTCCAAGCTATGAACATACTGCCTCTAAATTTGGACCAGGAGGAGATCTACACAACTCCATTGCCACCAAGGTACTCACTTGGGCCAGGGACCTTCATTCACTTTGGGCTTGTTTTGTTGATTCACTCCTTTTCCATTAGGTATAATCATTCATTCACTCATTCATCCACTCAATTACTTACTCACTTATTTAGTTAGTTATTATAGCAGAGGCTGTTGATGCCCTGCTGATAGCTGCAGCTTCATGGGGTCAGTCCTCATACACACCAAAGACTTCCTTCCTCACATACCTGAATTTCTCTGCCGAGGGCATTCACAGCTAGCATACGTGTGCTTGGCCTGAGACTGGAGCAAGGTAGACGTCCCCAGGAGCTAATTCCCTGGCAGCTTTCAAACAGTGTGAGAAGGAAATTGGTGGGTAAAATCTCCAATGTTCTTGCCCTTTTGGGGGACAATTTTGAGGTGTGTTCAGAGGGTGCTCATTGAGACCGAGCCCCAGTTTCCCACAGAAGCAACCTGCTCACCACACATCGTTGGCTGGCTTTCCTTCCTTCCCCATCCCACCGCCCACTTGTCATTGTGCTTCCCATCATTGCTCCCCAAATAAACTTATTGAACCAAAATTCTCGTCTCAGAATCTCCTTTTGGGAAACATGACTAAGACAGTTATCAAACAGTAACTGAGTGGGCACATTTTACTTTGCAGGCACTACAAGTACCCAGGACTATGATAACAAAGGAGTCATATTTCCCTAACCACCTGATCTCAGCTTCTAGCTTACCGCATTCTAGTCTCTCTGGCTGTCTCCAAATAAACTGAGCTCCCTCCAGCTGTAGGACCTTCATGCTGTCTGTCTCCTTCAGCTGAAACTTCTGTCCTCACATGGTTTGCACGAAGGGTTTCTTCTCATCCTTTCTTTTCTTTTTTAAGGAGGAAATCTTTGACTACACTAACTAGGCTTCCTCATTTTAGTACACACCCACCTCGGCTCCCATTATTCTATTTTTTAACACGAGCAGACTTTTAAATATAGGTATGTGTTTGGTATTATTTAATCCTTTGCTTATGCTTTGTTTTACCACTTCCCTAAGAAAAGGCAATACACTTGTTTTTGTTTATTGCTGAATCTCTACCACCTTGCACAGTGCTTGGCATGAAGTTGGTGCTCCCTAAATGCTTGTTGAACTAAAAAGAAATACAATCAATCAATCAATCAATCAATCAATATCCTTCCCCTACCTCCAGGGAACTTGCTGTCTATTTCAAGACACAGACAAGCTAATGAACAGGCACTGCAATGGTGCTTTACTGTGGTGGCAGAAATTGGAGCACGTTAGGGGAATATGTGGTATATAATTGCAGGGGAGGGAAGGGGGACATAGCTGTCTGGAGGAATGGATAGCTAAGCAGAAACCAGGAAAATGGGCCTGAGTTATCCAGGTAAGAGGGAGAAGGGTGTTTTAGGCAGAGAGGAGTAAGTCAAAGACACACAAATGAGCAAGTGTGGCACATTTGGGCTGTGCATTTGGTAAGTCTGCATATGTTGTAAGAGAAAAAGAAGAGAGTTACTCAGTTTAAGAGGCAGGCAGAAATATGTCAGGTATGGGCTACCAGGGATCCAAAAACGACAGCCCGTGGCCATATCCAGCCTCATCTCTTCATCTATTTATGGATGCTTTCATGCTCTGATGACAAAGTTGAGCACTTATAACAGACAGCCTGTGGTCTGCAAAGCCAAACATATTTACTATCTGACTCTTACAGAAATAGTTTGTCAATGTGAAGACACGTGGGTCTTGCAAGCAGAATAGGTTTTCAGCAAGGGAGAGGCATTAAAAAAATTGCAGTTTAGAAAGGCCACACTGATTACACTGGTAAGTGGATTGGCGGAAGGTGGAAGATAAGGAAGTGTCTTACTTCCCCAGACAATAGGCAAATCCTTTGCCAACAGGACCATGCTTCAGCATCTTTGTATTCCCCATTTGGGCCAAAACATTGTCGGTGGCTCACAAATTTTATTGAGTAAGCAAATATATGAAGGAATGGGCAATAGAAGGATGAAGTGCTTGAAAAGGGGCATTTTAGCACTGTGTAACTGAATAGTAACATTGTAATGATGATGATGATAGTAATAATAAAATAATTATATTTAGTTTTCTGTGTCAGTCTCCTCAGTAAGTCCATCATTACATTGGCTTATTTAATCCTCTCAACAACATCCTAAAGTAGAAATATAACCCCTCATTTTACAGATGAGGAAACAGAGGTTAAACAGCAAGTCCAAGGTCACATGATCTACTCCTAAGTGAAGCAGTCAGGTCTGCCTTTCTCTAAAGTGTCTTCCTTCTTCCCAACTCGCCCAGGAGTGTGAAAAGGGTCTCTCTCTGATGGAGCACACTGTGGAAAGACTCATACAGAAATATTGAAGATGGGCTTTCTAACTGAGGCCTTCTCTGTCACATCAATGTTCAGAAAGTCAGATGAGGGCTACATGAAGCATCTGTAAGACAAAGCCCTGATCGTCCCCATTGCTGCAGGTGGTAGCTCACGTACTGTGCCTCAGCAACACCCAAGCCTCCACTCCGCAGCATCGCAGGCTGCCGTGGGGAGGGAGTTAGTCTGGCATGATAGGAATATTTGAAAAGCCTGATGTGAGTAGGTTATGCCAATTACACTTGACAAGTTCCTCCTCCTAATTGTCAGCCACCCACAGCTAAGGGTGCCAGGTTCCTCACTTTCATGCAGCTTCACAATTCAACAGCTCATAGGTTAAAGAGGCCCAGAGCCTCCCCCTCCTCCCTGCTTTGATGTCCCCCTCTTGTCCCATCTCCTTTCATGATTTGTCTTGAACTGATGATTAGTCCTCAACACCCCCAAAGGGCATTTCTGGGAACAAAGCTGATTACCTCAATAGTAGCCATAAAAAAGCGAGGAATATGTACTGTCAGGATATTTTCCAGCGCAGAAAGGTTTTGTTAACTGCGGCCTCCCTCATGCTCCACTCCCTATACAGGAGGCCCCCAGTAGACAGATGAATGCCTCTAAAGCTTAATGTTCCATTCCTACTGATCTTTGTCTAATTCTTTCTTTTAGTTTTTCTTCTCCTACTGATAATCGTATTTTTCTAAGGAAATTGACCAGTCATTTTCTCAGCCATCAGTTTATGGTTACTGCTATGGGTGTATAATACTTTGACCCAGAAGGCTTTTGTGAATAACCTTGTAAAACCTCAGATGGGAACTTCATGTGAAGATAAAAACTGCAAGTTGTCCCTGGAAGACATGCAATTGTCTTTTATTTGGAGGCACTGAGAAGTATTGTTAAAAGGCTTTCCTCCACAGAGCTATGTGTGTTTTCCTGTCTACAATATATAACTACCTGTGCTCTTAAATGGCCCCAATGTGGTCCATCCTGCATTCCATTTCATGCTACCTGTCAAAAATTGAATACCGTGCCCTTCTAACTGCTTTGTGATTTGTGTGAAATCTTCTCAGGCAAAAGCAGCCTTACAGAATTGATACTTCATGCCATCAACTGGGGAATTCAGAATAGGCCCTACAGAAGGAAAACTCCAAGTTACTTACATGGCAAAAGAAGTTTCTGTTTTCATTTTCTGAAATGACTAGTCTGGGGACTGCACCACATGGCAGAATATTTGGCTGTAGATAACAGAAAGTCTGACCTACGGGGCCTTAAACAAATAGGGGTTTGTTTTTCACACATATCAGGAAGTCTAGAGCTAGGTGACTACTGGTATTGATGATGTCTGGGTCATTTCTTTGATTCTTACAGTCTTTGCCTCATTGTCACAAAATGGCTGCTGTGTTCCTGAACACCTTTCACTGCATAGGAGACTAGGAAGTGAATCTTCAGCTTTCCTGAGTCTTATAGGGGAGGTGGGCAAGAGGAAGAGGGTTGGGATGATTGTTGAGTCAGTTAGCCTCCACTGTCTGACACAGAAACTGATGAGAGAAAGCTGGCAGAAATAAAACAAGCTTCCAAGTCATATTATAAAGGAAACACAGCATTGTCAAGCCCATGCAAGATCCAGTCATTTCTTTTTCACTAGATACTTCCTAGACAGCCCTGTGCCTTTATGCAATGAGCTAAATTGAACTCTTGCCTATCAATTGAAATTTAAATTTCTGCTTGAATTATATTTTTCCACATGAAGCCTGATACAAATCTTTAAAATAAAACAACACATGGCAGAAATGGTAATAACAATTTGGAAGTGATTTTCATTCCTATAAAAAAATAGAGTAATTAAATTATGAGGTATCCAATCAATATTATGCAAGGGTTAAAAAGAATGAGTAGCAGTACAGAAAAGTTGGAAGTTGTTTATAATCTTTTTAAAGCAAAAAAAGTAAATACATGTATTGCATTTTTGTAAAAGAAAATATTTCTACATATACATACAGTATATACTTTTTTACAGAAATTTAAGAGGTCTAGAAACATAATGCTGAAGTGTTATTAGTTGTAACCACTAAGGAGTAGAAGTTAGAGTCAGAATCTCGGTTTTAGTTATTTTTGCATTATTGCAATGTCTTCCAATAAGCATGTATAACTTTTGTAACTAAAAACTGATTTTCTTAAAATCATAAATGTAGACAACATCTGGGTAACTTGAGAAAAGTAAATTCAGAACTGTCATTAGATGGATGTGCTGTTTTCACTTTCGTTTGGATGAAAAATGTAAAGTTAAAGAAATCCACTCCCTTTGGAATTATCTTCAATAGTACTTTCAAATTTATTATATTTACAGAGACTATAAAGTGGAAGAACATTTTTGACCTGCTTATTTAATAAAATATTTTGGCAACATCTCTCTTTAGAATCAGGGTAAAAATATTTCAAAATACACCATCAGAACATATGGCTAAAGTATAGCATCAATCATTCGTTGATTAAAAAGGGCAACTTCCATCGGGTTGAATAGGAATAATTACCTTTAAAGGAATCAACTCCAATTCTCTCATATTTGTCAAAATGGAATAATAAGATAAAATAAAAATTCAGCAGAGCTGACACCATTTCTCTGACACCTGATTAGAGAGAGTCTTCTGAATTAATTTCTTGCCTATGGTAGTGTTTTTGAACTTGGTATTTTTCTTGGGTAAATTTGTGATATGGACTTCCTGAAGTTTCTAACCTACCATAACCATATCTTAGTGCATTGAAGAAAATCAGTGATGATAGATACCTTAACTGTATACTTCTGCTTGATAGAAAAATTAGAGCATGATGAGCTCATGCACACAGCTACTGTTCTGTAGTTAAATAGCATGCATCGGATATGCTGGAATGAACTACCCCTTGCCAGAAGCTGTGCTTTCATGATAATACAGAATGACTGAATTTTTTAAAAACTGAAGATAAGTCACAACCCTCAACTTCCTCCTCCCCTTATACTTTAGAATAGGCCTCAGATTGCCATGTGCAGCGTTCTCTGAATAGGAAATAAATTCCCATCGGGATTCAGTTCTGGCTGAATTCAATACATTTGGCATGTCTTTTTTAAAATTTAAATATTTTATCAATCACAGTTGTATTTGTATCCATAGAGCAATTTAGAATACCATAGGGTTATTCTGGAAAAAAAATTGATCTATAATCAATTGGCTGTATTCAATTAATGCCTTTTCACTAGACAATAAGAGTCATTAAGCAAAGAAATGTCACTTATCCTTCCTCCTTTTTTTAAAAAAAAATGTTTATTCAGCTTTACCTTAGTGAAAGATAAGCACAGCATCCATTATCAGAATAGTAGGAGGTTTGTTTGTTTGTTTGTTTGTATGTTTTTGAGACAGAATCTCCCTCTGTCACTCAGCCTGGAGTGCAGCAGCATGTTCTTGGCTCACTGTAAATTCTGCCTGCTGGGTTCAAGCCATCCTCACGCCTCAGCCTCCCAAGTAGCTGGGATTACAAACATGCACCACCACACCCGGTTAATCTTTGTATTTTTAGTAGACATGGGGTTTCAACATGTTAGCCAGGCTGATCTCAAACTCCTGATCTCAAACGCCTGCCTCGGCCTCCCATAGTGTTGAGATTACAGGCGTGAGCCACCACGTGGCCCTTAAGCATTTGTGTGTGTGTGTGTGTGTGTGTGCTTTGCAGGTATATTAAATAGAATCCAGAGCTTACCAGCTACAGGCCACAAGTATAAATAACATCACACTTAAGCTCATAAGCTAAGAGGTAGCAACCCAGAATCATTCATAGGACCATTTATTATCAGAAGAATTTTGAAACATGCAAATAAATGTGTCTAAAGATTTAAAAACCTTTCTACATTCTACCTCCTTTGAACACCATACTGGCAAGTTGCATCTCTACACTGCTTCTACTTCGAGACATTCATGGACTCGTTTTGATTATTCTGATTCTTTTTTTTTTTTTTTTTTTTGAGATGGAGTTTTGCTCTTGTTGCCCAGGCTGGAGTGCAACGGCACCATCTCTGCTCACTGCAACCTCCACCTCCTGGGTTCAAGCAATTCTCCTGCCTCAGCCTCCCACGTAGCTGGGACGCATGTGCCACCACGCCTGGCTAATTTTGTATTTTTAGTAGAGATGGGGTTTCTCCATGTTGGTCAGGGTGGTCTCAAACTCCCAACCTCAGGTGATGTGCCCGCCTCAACCTCCCAAACTGCTGGGATTACAGGTGTGAGCCACCGTGCCCAGCCTGATTATTCTGATTCTTAACCTGAAAATTGATGTTTGAACCTCTCAGACATGATGCGTGGTCATCAAATCATCTCTCTCCAATAACAGGAACTTGTTACAATGCATTTGGATTGTGTAAAGGAGAAGAAACGAAACTAAAATAGACAGTTAAAAGGCAGCGTTGATATTGAAAAATTTTCAAAATACAAGAGCAGACATTCCAGATGAGCAGGTTTAAGCATATTGTTATGTGGTATTTTCTGCTTATAATTCTTATCACAATAACCACAACAACTGCTGCTGCTACTTAGTGAGCTTCTGTTTGTATCTGGCAATGTGCCAAGTGCTTTACAGACATCATATCATTGAAATCTCATAACTCTGTGAGGTGAGTACCATCATTATCACCATTTTAGAGCTATGTAAACCATGGCTTAGAGGGATTAAGTGATTTATCCAAGGCCACACAGATAAAGATAGTTTAAATTCATGAGTTTATAACTATACCAAAAGGAGCAAGTAACCCAAAAAATTGAATTGGTCGCTGTTAGAAAATACTAGGGAACAAATTCATTAGTTTAAAAACTGGTAAATTAAGGAATTAATCCTGTATCTTGCTCATTCTTTAAGAACACTACTGGCAGGTGACCAAAGTGTAGAAGAGAAGACATTCTCTACATAAAAGTCTTCAGCTCAGCCTGAGCAACATAGTGAGACCCCCATCTCTACAAAATAAATAAATTAAATAAAATAAAGTAAGTTAGCTCAGCTGGGTGGCATGCGCCTGTAGTCCCAACTACTTGGGAGGCTCAGGTGGGAGGATGACGTGAGCCTGAGGGGTTAAGGCTGCAGTGAGCTGTGATTGCACCACCACACTCTGGCCTAGGCAGCAGAGTGAGTCCCCATCTCAAAACAAAAATAAACAAATGAATAAATAAATAAATAAAAGTATTCAGCTAATAATGAAGAAGAAATAATAGAATATCAAGGTTTTGCAACTTGTTTTGGACTGAGTGTTTGTATCCCTCCCAAATTTGCATGTCAAAGTCCCAACCCCCAGTGTGTCTGTATTTTGAGATGGGGCCACTAAGGTAGTAATTAAAGTTAAATGAAGTCATAAGGATGAGGCCCGATTTGATAGGATTAGTGCCCTTATAAGAAGAGACACCAGAGAGCTGACACTTTCTCTGTCCCTCTCCACAGGCTGAGAGAAGAGGCCTTAGCACCTTCAGCTTGCCAGCACCTTCAGCTTGGATTCCCAGTGTTCAGAACTGCAAGAAATAAATTTCTGTTCTTTAAACCACCCAGTCTAGTATTTTGTTATAGCAGCCTGAGCTGGCTAACACACAACCTTTCATGAATTAATAAGTCTAAGCACTGATGTCTAATATCACAAAAAGAGAGGCAACCAGATGTTACATACCACTAAAGGAAGATGACCACACCAATAATGAAGTATTCTTAGCAAAAAGAAAAAAAAAAACAAATCCTGAATTTGTGCAAGCCTCTATGTCCAACAGTAAATTTATAGGGAATATAGGAGAGAGAAGAAGATGTGAAATGACACCGCAAGAATGAAATCAGCAAAACCCAGGCCCTGAGAAGTTCTCTAGGGGAAGCACCTTGTTTATTTAAGTACAACAGCAAACTACAGAAAGTCCAAAAGAGAAAAGAAAAAGAGAAAGGAGGTGAGAGAGAGAGAGAGAGAGGAACGTCTAGATTAAAAGGAGTAGGAGGCTATCGTCCTTAGCAAACTAACACAGGAACAGAAAACCAAATACTGCATGTTCTTACTTATAAGTAGGAGCTAAATGATGAGAACACATGGACACATAGAGGAGAACAACACACACTGGGTCCTTTCAGAGAGTAGAGAGTAGGAGGAGAGAGAGGATCAGGAAAAGTAACTAATGGGTACTAGGGTTAACACCTGGGTGATGAAATAATCTGTACAACAAATCCCTGTGACACAAATTTACCTATGTCACAAACTTGCACACATACCCCCGAGCTTAAAATAAAGTTAAAAAACCAAAAAGGTCTTAAGGGACGTATCAACCAATTACAATGTGTGAATTAAAAAAAAAATTTAGATTCAATAAACTATAAAAATATGAGATTAAGTGAAACATTTGGAAATGTGTAGATATTTGATGACATTGAATTATTGCCAATTTTTGTACGTGATATATTGTGGTATTTTTGTTTTAAATACCTTTGAGAGATACATAGCAATTTGTTTATGGGAGGAAAGATATATGCCTGGGGAGAATGTAAGGATGACAGTATAAAAGGAACAACATTGCCTGTGAGGTAATTATTTTTGGCTAGACAACAAAGAAGCAGAGGCTCATAATATTATTTTGTGTTTCTTTATATATGTTTGAAATTTTTCATTAAAATTTTTTAAAATTAAGATCAGATTATTAAGCAATCTATAAGTGAATATATATGTATAGACAAAATCCAATAGTTTTTTGTTCAATATATATAGTTTTCATGCTTTTTAAAGAATATTCAAAAATAGTATTAATCTAGATTCCCTAGAGGAACATTCCTTAAAGTAAGGAAATTTCACTCTCTTCTATTATTATACTATTGTAGGATGTAGAAGAAAATTTATTCTCTTTTCTTTAACAAAATTTTCTTTGTTAATAATCTTTTATTGATTGTGCTAAGGACCCATTTAGTTCTGCCTCATTATGGGAGAGTAGCTTTTTCTCATTATATTTTAATGAAATGAAGGATCACCATAGCCTAAAGGGCTTTATATTCCATGTAAAAGACATTATTTTTTAGGCAATAAGATGAAGATCCTCGCCATCTTTCAATAATGTCTTTCTATTGATTAAATCTAAGAGGCAATAAAATGTATCAAATTACTTAATGTTTAATATATTGGTTTTAGTTTCTGAGTACCAGTGATAAGTGGAGTTCACATGGAACACACTAATGAGCATAGACATAAGTATCCCATCAACTCCAGCACTGCAGAAGAGACTGCAGGGATGGAGCCATCTAGTGATTCTGTAACTAAAAGACAGAGTCACCTTTTTAAAATAATTTAGCTTTGGGCTCCCAAATTAAATGTATACTGCTTTTTAACACATCTAGCAAGGTTAAAATACTGTCAGAGACATCCTATTTGTTGATGGGAACCAAAGACAATGATGCAAAAATTAGTGACACAATTCTAAAAGAAATGATTTGCATGAGCTGGAGAAAACTGGAAGATGTGGGAAAAGAAATGTAAGTGGGAAGTGCCTTGCAAGTAGTAGTTGCCCAGAAAGTATGTGTCTGATGAAAACATGAGAGATAATTCTTTCTCTAAGAGATAAGAAGGAGGCATTGGATGGGGCTCCGAGAAGTTACGCTGAGTTGGAAAAAAGGGAAATTGAGGGTCTTATGCAAAAGGATCTTATTCTTAGTAAAGGAAGATGTGAAGATTAGGTATTTGAGGAAGTAGAAAAAAAGTGGAATACCTTCGGAAGAGGTGAAAATAAATTAAGTAAAAATGAAACAATTAAGAATTACAAAGAATGCAGGATGCAATTACATAATTTTCCTTGCCTGGTTGAAAGCCCTTTGAGGCAGGGACCATCCTTTGTTCATCTCTGCAACCCCCATACAGTGGGAGTGTTTGTAAATTAAATTCTTCAATGAGGGCCAGTAAGCCCAGAGCAAAACTCCAGTCAAATAGGCAGTAGAGGTAAGTTAAAAAGTAGGAAAAAAAATTAGAGAAAAAGTTCTTTGCAGAAAGTAAATAAAAATCAACATGACAGAACTAGCATCAGAGCAAACACAATGCACAACTCATAGCAAGCATTTAATATTAATTTGTTGAATTGGAAATGCATCCCTTCTTTACTCTAAACAGGGTGAAACTCACAAGTGTATATGAAAGTGCCTTAGTGGTACTTTGGTCTACTAGAAGTGGTTACGTAAGAGACAAAAGTAGAACTAAATGTTACGAAAAAAGGCATCTACATAAAATGTGAAGACATATAAGTGAAAGGAAGCAGAATCAACATTACAAAAAAATAGATAAATAAAATTTACAAAAATTGAATGACAAGATTCCAAGGTGTGAGATTATCTTGGAAGTTGGAATAAGATGAACTTGTTTGGGAGAAAATTTGATGGTGGTCATCTAGGAAAGTCCTGATGAGAGGAGATGAGGAGTATCTGTGGGCTGGTGTTTAAGCTTAGTTTCCCCTTTGGAAACCTCCTGAAAGCTATGGACTTACTCCATAGAAAATTTTTCATGTGTGCATATATTAAAAAATTGTCATGCGGACATGGTGGATTCAGATACTTCTCAGGATTCTCTAACAGACCAACCCAGAGATTCAAGGACCTCAGCCTAAGAACTTCTGCTCTGACAGAGAAGCACAACTTATAAGGTGACACAACTGGTGATGGACTATGGATGCCTCCTTTGAAAACCTATCCCTCACATTCATTCACAGCTACTTTTGGGGCAGCTACTATTTCCAAGGAACTTTCCAGATCTACTGTCCACTTAGGTTTCTGATTTCACACCTTCCACTTTTCTTGGATATTTACCATAAATCAGGTCCTTTAGAATCATGTCACCAGTTCCATTTTTGTTATTTCCATGTGCACCAAAACTGTATCTATTAAGAAAATCCAGGATCTGGATTTTTTGAGCCAGTCTGCTTCTTAGAAGGGAGCTGTCCTGAATGAAAATCACTTCATTGCAACGGTAAAATAAAATGTTCCACAGTAAAGTGACATAGCTGTACCTTTTTCCCTCGACTGTAAAAGAAAGTGACAGAATCCTTCTGAGAAACCCACTGGCACACATGAGACCTCAGTAACTATGGGTGGCATAGAATTTATTTCTAATGGAATAGCCTAGTCTCTGAGGACTGTGATTTGTAGTGGCCAAAACATCATATCAGTGGCAGCTGAATTGTGCATCTGCAGAGCAAAGGAGCCTGACAGGAACAGTGGAACCCAACATCCATTCACCACTCATTTCCCTGGTGGCCAGGGCCTGTATGTTCACACAAGCACCTTCCCCTTACAGGAAACTGAAAACAATGCTCAACAGGCTGGTTGAGGGCATCAAAATTTTATGGTGTTTTGACTTCCTTAGCAGAGATTGGTTGTAACTGCATATTATAATGGATGCACACTGAAGTATGCAAATAACAATTTTCCAGTCTAATGTTTTCATCTCTTCCCAGTCATAATAGATGAAGAGGATATCATCATTCCAAAGAGATAAATCTCAGCCCATTTTATATCAGTGTACAATTTAGGAGGGGCATCTTCCCATGACCTCTGTTATCAATGACTTTAGGAAGCTAGTACTCATGTCCTGGGAATAAAGTATAACTCAGCGACCTAAATTGGAGGTTAATGAATGTAAATTCACACCACTGACTTCAAGGTTTTATTTGATCTATGGCTCTTTTGGGGACAGTCTGTATCCAATTTGTTTTATCAGAGGTATGCAGACATTTTTCTTAAAATAAAAAATGAACATCTTTTCAGTGTAAATATTTATTGACTGCACACAAAGTAGGAGGCATTGTGTAGGTACTGGGTGTATGCGTATTTATTTATGTATATAGCAAGAAATGAATAGGCAAATAAAAATAAAATTGTGATAAAGGAAATTAAGGTACAAGGAGGTACAATGGTAGAGAACAACAGTGGGGTCTTCTCAGATAAGGTGAACAAGGAAGGCTTCTTTGAGGAAGGGTCTGTCTGGCCCAAAAGACAGAAAAGGAGCTAGTCTTGAAAAGAGTTAGACATAGATGAATGCAGACTCAGACAGAAAATTCTGTGAAGGGCAAGAACTTGACAGGCTTGGGGAAAGGAAAGGAAGCTACTGTGGCTGCAGTGGCCAAGAGGAAGCATAGCATGAGAGGAGGCTTGAGGCAAGACGGGATGGGTCTTCCTAAGGATTCTGGATATTTGTTATTTCTTTATAAGTCACTCTTTGGTAATTATTAATAATAAAATACTTATAATCAAAAGAACAACTAATGTTTGGGGAGCATTTACTATGTTCCAGGTCCTGAAGAAACTGCTTTACATCCATAATCTCAAACGATCTTCCCAACATACCTGCAAGATGGGTATTATCTCTGTTCTACGGCTGGGGAAACTGAGGTTCATAGCATGGTAACTTCTGTAACATCACATGCAGAATAAGTGGTAAAGCAAGGAGTTGAGCCCAGGACCACCTCTCTTGAGTTCTTAGCCAAATCCAGAGACACCCTTCTTATCTTGAACTGCATCCATACATTGAAGTAAAGACAAGCAGAGCCTGGCATAGGGTGAGAACTTGGAGGGACCTAGATTTCTTTGGATGCCACTCAGCCTCACCACTGTATTTCACAGATGCTGGGATGGGATACAAATCCCTAACAGAACCAGTGGTTTGTGGGGATAGAATTAGAAGAAATGTTTTGACACAAATTCAGAAAAAGCCCAGGACAAAGATGTAAGAAGATGTCAGACTTGCTCGAGTAAAAGGAGGCAGCTGCTGCTTGACTTTGATTCATTTATGTGTTTACGTTTCCTGGAAAGAACTGGTAGACAAATGCCAGAGGGAGTAGGAGGAGCTGGGTAATGTAGAATGTGCTTCATAGGAAGTGGATCTCTTTAATGATAATGATTATTATAATGTTCTCATTTCTTAATGCTACAAGTCCAATGAAACATTAGAAATGAATCAACAAACCCATTTATCATGTACTATGAGAATTTCTGCCTGGGTATGGCATTAGGATGTAAGGTTTAAAAAGCATCTAAAGGCTATGCTCCTTTTAGGATATTTCCTAGAAATCATGGGAATAGTCTTATTTGAGATGTGCCCAAGCGCAGCCCATGGTACCTCCCAAAGTAAAAAAAAAACAAACCTGAGAGTCATCCTGCATGTCTCTTTCCATCATCTCATTCAGTAAGTTACCTAGCTTTGTTAGTTCCACATTCATAATATTGATTATATCTGTGTACATCTCTGTATTTGCCTGCTAGTGCCTTAGTTCAGGCCACTATCATCATTTGCCCAGAGTGGTGGTCTTGTCAGCTGTACCTGCCTCCAGCCTTGCCCCCAAACATCTATATCCATGCTGCCACAAGGGCTGTCTTTCCAGAATACAAGTCTGACTGTGTCGCCTCCTTTTCCCCACTTTTCACCATTCAGTTGTCCTCCATTGCCTGCCAGATAGATTCTAAGTTCCTTAGCATGGCATTCAAGGCTTTCGGTCTTCAAGTCCTTGCTTTCCCCTCTAGCCTCCTCTCTCATTGTCTTTGCAAATAGCAAATTACTTGCAATATTGCCTTACAAACCAATCTTGGCTTTTTTTTTTTTTTTTTTTTTTTGGTCTACCAATCCTCACCTATGCTGTTGTCTTTGCCTGGATTATGTTCTTCATCTTTGGGTTTTAAGACTCAGTTCAAGTGCTAAAAACCAAAGAGGCTTTCTGGCTTCAAGGAGGTTATAGTTTGATGGAGGAGAGACATTGATTAAGTAATCAGCAAAATAATTTGAGTTGCCCAAAGGATGCATAGAAATGAATGAAGGGCAGTCAGGGTGAGAAGAGTGTTCTGGTGGAAATTACGGTACATGTAAAGACTCTGTGGGAGGATGGATCCTGGTGTATTTGAGGAACTGGGCTGCATAAAGCAGTGATGTAAGGGGCATTACAGGAAGATATAATCTGGAGAGACAGTCAATGGCTAGATGCTGCAGGGTTTTATGGATCTGCTAAGGATATGACCTTTAATCTAACAGCAATGCAAATTTACTCAAATGTGTTAAGCAGGATGAGCAGACTTGAATTCAGAAATGACCTCTCTGGTTGCTATGTGGAGAATAGCTTGGAGGAAGGTGTGAGTGGGCAGAAGAGTAGAAAACAGTGAGAACTTTTATGGGATGTTGCAGTCATCTGAGACAGACAGCGAAGTGAGAGTGGAGATGAAGAGAAGTAGACAGATTGACGGAAATTGTGGAGGGAAAATGGACAGGATTTAGTGCTGAACTGGATGACAGTGGATGAGGGAGGTGTCAAAGATGACTTTGCTGAATGACGGATGGCAGCATTTTCCTCTGTCTTGGTGTAATAGAAATCGTTTTGTCAGTATTAAGAGACTACAGAGTCTGTGTAAAGAATGTGAATCAGTTCAGAGTTTA
Organism: Homo sapiens; assembly: GCF_000001405.40. Lineage (NCBI taxonomy): Eukaryota > Metazoa > Chordata > Mammalia > Primates > Hominidae > Homo > Homo sapiens. The sequence continues at coordinate 63,459,761 of NC_000003.12, read as the reverse complement.
GGGACCCATATTCCTTTCCGGGGCCCCTAAATATTGAACTTGATGAATCACATAGCTTTTCTGCTTCTTAAAATGATAGGAAAAATCATCTTCACAAAGGGGATGATTAAATGAAATTTGAGATTTAATTCAATGAAATAAGTTTTGTTGAATATCTATTTTGCCCATACCCTGTCCAGTGAGTCCTGGATAATCTAAAATGAAGATGTGATGTGTTTATTCTCAAGGAGGCCAAACTTTGCTGCAGGAGCCAATGCTAGTGCCCATGAATATTGGGATAATTTAGGATGAAACGTAATCACATGGCAAAATATGTAGTGCTGCTTAATTACCTAACAGAACAGGAAGGAGAGAAATCTCTGTGACTATTGCCTTTGGCTCTGTGCAGAAGGAAATGTGGTCTGAGTTATGGAGGTGGGTCAGAGTTTAAAAGTCAAAAAGGATGGAGAAAAACATAGTGTGAATAAAGGCATAGAAGCAATTATAGAGTGATTGAGGCCAGTGAAATGTCTCATTTCACTGAGGTATGAAAATCCAAATTGGTGAATAGTGGGAGTAAATCTGGACAGGTAATTTGGGCCAAATCAGGTAGTGTATCTGGCAGAGAAGGTTGAATTTGTCATAGTGAATTAGTGGAAAGTTTTGGAGCAGAAAAGAGAAGAGATAGGTGAGATTAATTGGGAGGGGGTGTGCTGGAAGTCTTGAATGAAAGAACAATGGGAGACAAAGAGATCAAGGAGAAACTTAAGTGACGGGAGAGGAGAGATAGAGAGATACTTCAGAAGGATTCTTATAGCATTTGGTGGTTTTGGCTATAAAGAAAGTGGGGAGAGGAGAGTGTAACATGAATACAGGACTTTCAGTTAAGAGCCTGGGAAAATGACACTTTTTACTGACAGAAATAGGTTACAAGGAAAGAGAGACAATAGTTAGGCCTGTTTTGAAGAGGTTGAAACTCAGGTAAGATTGAGATAATCAGGTGAGTGTGCTCTGGCAGTAAGGTAAGAAGATTGGACTCATAGAGATGATGACTGAGTGCTAGACAGATTGTAAAAATAATTGTAATACTTTGGAGCAACTCCTGCCAAGAAGTGGAATCTATTTCCTCAACTCTTGAATCTGGGATGGGCTTGTGACTTGCTTTGACCAACAGAATGTGCAAGTGGCATTCTCTGAGTTCCAAGCCTAAGCTGTAAGAGATCTTGCAGTTTGCTTGCTTGCTTAGAACCTGGTGATTGCCATGAGAACAAGCCCAGGCTAGTTCACTTGATGACAGGTAAGGGGTCCAATTATCCTCATTTTTCTAATCAATACATAGCTAATCCTTAGAAAGAACAACCACTTTATTAATCAGAGAATCGCCATAGATACATGAGTGGGCCCAGTCAAGATCAGCAGACATGCTACCCAGCTAAGCTCAGGCCAAATTGCTGACCCACAGAATCATGAGTTAGATAAATAATGTAGTTTTAAGCCATTAAATTTTGGGTTGTGTTGTTATGCAGCAAAAGCTAACTGATACATACACTCCAAGAGAGAGTGTCAAGATAGTGAAGCAGAGAAGAGTGCCATGAAAGTAAACTACATAAATTCAAGGAGGAATTAATTTTGCTAGCAGATTTCTGAGACTTTATTAAATGCAACAATTTAATTACCTTATCGTATATCAAAAGCAAAGTTTAGTGCCCAAGATACCCAGATTTTAATAATAGCTGAATGAATAACTGGGATTAGGAAGACAAGGTAAGAATAAAATTAAATGAGAATCTGGGAAAGAGATTAATTCAAAAGAAGAGGGTTAGAAAATTCTATCATTTCAAGTAAACAAAGGCAAAAAGAGTAAATCAGTATCAAATTTATCATGTCTGAGTTATCAGTAATATCCAAAGCATCACCCAAGATTAAGGTAATCATGTAGTCTTACACTTCTAAGGCATGAGCTCAGACAAAGCAGTAGGGTCTTCTCCCTTCCTGGACCAAAGTTCGCTAAATATTCAATGTGTCTACAATATGGTTTGAGCTCTGTGGGTCTGTATAATTTTTCAGGTGACCTTCTCCCTCTTTTGTAGGTAATACAAATTAGAATTTTTCTCCACTGAGACTTCTGATCTTTCACTAAGTACACAAATTTAATTTTCTTAAACTTCAGTTCTTTTCACTTTTTCCTGTTATCTAAATAATAAAATCAGTTTGTTAGGTGTTGCAGCACTTGAAGATCTCTTCAATCTTATTTTGATCTAATTTATTTCAGCAGATGCAAGACAAATCCTGAAGAGCTCATTAAAATGAACCTTCTGTACTTCTCAGTGCTAATGCTTATTGGTGAGACATAAATATCCTAGAAAGTTCTAGGGGAAAAAGAGTGACATCTTAAGATCGTAAGGAATAAAAAATAAAAAATAAAAAAAGGATCATTATAAGTGGAAATCTAAATTCAATAGAATGGCATGACTAGAATAAAAAGTATCAGCTGTCTGGAATTGAAAACTGTCCTTGTGGGAGGGGTAGTCAGAGTTTACTCAAAGAGAAAGCACTGAAGAGTTCATCAGGAAGTTAATTCTTATCTTGCGAGAAGGAAAACAAGAGGATTTTAAGTATGCATCGTGGCACCAGATAACTTCCCGAGAGGTACTTCAAGGCAAGCTACAAAAGGCATTCTTAGCTTGGAAGGTGATAGCCCCACTTAGGGAGAAACAGGCAAAGCTTATGACTATATACAGCGACTTCTTACCACTCAGCTAGGCCACCCACAAGACAGCCCAGGTCAGAGGCCCCGCTGCAAAGAGGAGAGCTTCTCTGGACCCACCAACTCTGATAGAAAATAAAAGGCAGTTTTTGTTGGTGTATTCGTGTTTGGTCCTCATTTGAAGTGGAACACTTCAGTTATCCCAGGATGGATTTGAGGATGAGGACTTAAAGGCATCGGAGTGGGGAGAAAACAAAAAACAATGAGAAACTAGCCAGGATGAAGAGTGGGTTCACCAGGATGGGACAAGCGGCAAGACCTCAGGGAAAGAGGCGTGATCATGAATCAGATCTGCTCCTTTCCAAAGAGTTTGTGCAGTGGTTAAGAGCATGGATGGTGGGTTTGAGCTCACCTGGGAGTAAAGTTTACACCATCACTTCCTAGTTCCACACTCTTAAACAAATTTCTAAACCCATCAAGTCTTCTGTTTCCTTCTTTGTAAAATGAGAGGGTGATCCCCTGTCTCACGGGGCTGTTGTGAGAATTCAATGATTAAATTTATTTAACATAGTCTACCTTGTGCCTGAAGGGCTCAAAAAAATGGAAACTGTAATCCTTACCCCTCCCATCCCATTCCCATATCCTTATGACCAATTTCATCAAATTATTTACTCTTCACCCAGCAAGTTGGCCTGGAGAGGCTTAAAGGTACTGATGCAACAGAATGCTCCTTGCTCGGAGTGTGAATTCTAAATGATTGTCAATTATTCAACAAATACTTAAGGGCCTACAGTATGCCAAATGCCATGTATTAGACACTAGGGAGGTGATATGATTTGGCTGTGTCCCCATCCAAATCTCATCTTGAATTCCCACAAGCTGTGGGAAGGACCCAGTGGGAAGTAATTGAATCATGGAGATAAGTCTTTCCCCTGCTGTTCTTGTGATAGTGAATAAATCTCATGATATCTGATGGTTTTAAAAAGAGGAATTCCCCTGCACGAGCTCTCTCTCTCTTTGCCTGCTGCCATCCATCTAAGATGTGACTTGCTACCCCTTGCCTTCTGCCATGATTGTGAGGCCTCCCCAGCCATGTGGAACTGATAGTCCATTAAACCTCTTTCTTTTGCAAATTGCCAAGTCTTGTGGAAGGTCTTTATCAGCAGTGTGAAAATTGACTAATATAGGAAGAAAAGAAGGGCCTTGATATTGGAGGTCTGCTTTGGAATAAACTTAACGGGAACAGGATAAAGCAGTTGACATTTGACTTTGAGAACATCTGAAGATCCACACACACACACACACACACACACACACACCCCAAACATGACTATGTACAGAAGCAAAATCAGAGAGGGAAATTGGGGACTTTTTTAGGCTTATTTAACTAATAATCTTCAACCATACTTGTCAACTAAGTTGACCCATTTCTGGGTGAACATCTGCCCTGTCAGAACTTTGGAGCCACATACGTTAGGAAATGATTTGTACTACCACTTTAGCTATTTGTATCACTATCAAGGATGGCCGAACATCCTAGGGTGTTTCTTATTCTTTCCCAAATTTCATACTCCAAACATAGTTGGGGGAAAAATGTAGCAGCATGTGTGTGAAAGAAGCAAAGGCATGACCAATTATGATAGTTTAAAATGTCATTATTTCACTGTAGAAATAATTCCAAGTAGAGTTTGAACAGTGTAATGTGAATTTTAACCTCAATAAGACTGGAAAATTAATCAGGCCATTCTAGAGTCCAGGGATGGACACTGCTCTCTTGAAGCCCAGTGGTATTCTAATTGTCCTATAAGAGTTATAATAATTAGAAATGATATTTTTGTCTCCTTTAACATATTGGCTCAAATATTTCAATTATTAAGTAATAGCATTGTTTGTGGACCAGAGAGAATAAGGAGAGAGGTAACATTTTCAAGGTACCTATTGGACACTTAGCTGGTAGAATTCACTAAACTATAACGTCAAATTAGGGCCAGTAAGAATAAAATTATTCCTAAATTAAAATCAGAAAGTATTAAAAAAGATCTTATTTGGATTGAATGTTTAAACTTTCCATTCTAAAACTTAAGTAAAGTTGAGTTTGGAAAATTCCGTTATAACCTAATATGTTTTCCACATATAAGTCTAACATTTTCTTGAAGCTGATGCTCCATGGCTCATAAATTCCATTTGCCTTTATATCATTTATTTTGTTTTTATCCTCAACACCTTCATATTTAGGCAATGGTAATAGTTTAAACCTACAATAACCTCAACCATTCCCCACCATGCAGAATAATCACATCACATCACATCACATCACATCACACAGAGATCTCTGCCACCCCAGAGCCCTCACCTTTGTTTTATGGGAGGTTTTCAAGGGATTGACAAATAAGTAGAGATCCTGTGGTAAAGTCCAAGTTGAATTTGGAGAATGAGGACCTTTGTCTGTGTCTCCCACATCCCTATTAACCAGTGGTAAAATTCTGATCCATTGGAAATGGCCTTCCTGAGCCATAGTTTCTCTCCCTTAATGGAAAACTCAATATGCAATTCACCTGTTTGTTTCATGGGGCTATTGTTAGTATCACATAAAATAACGAATGATTTTGTTAAGTATTAAGGGTCATAAACCTGCAATAGTTACACATTCTCTGGGAAGCAGAAGAAGTGGTGTTGGTTGGTCAACAAGCTTCGAATCAATTTAAAATTTTCAAATACTGAGTTTCATTTAAAAGAAAACCTAGAGAGAAAATTGGAAAACTCACAAAGGTAAACATAGTTATTTCCAAAATTTTTCTGTAAGTTTCTTCTGATAAATTTACTGTTTAATTCAATTATTAAAATATGTATTTGAAAGAACAGCCCATCCCCTTTACCTGATTTGTATTTTTCTATAGCTCTTATTCTATCTAACATTTTCTGTCCCTCATTTCACCCCTCCATATAGCATATAACACTACTGCATTCCCAGTGTTTGGGCAAGCTCCTGGTACTTAGTAGACTATTAATAAACATTTACTGAATGAATAAATTAATGAATGAAGTAACAAGAACTGTATGCTAAATTAAATTAAACATTACTTCAAAAGTTATTCTAAATAGGTTTCTATCTACTGCAATAATGATTATATCATGATAATACAGATAATTTAAAAGTAACTTTTTGTGAAATCTCTTTATGTTGAATAACCAATAATAATAGTTGTGATTTATTTATTGTAGTACTGTTTACCACATACTTATTTACGTTATAAAGAACCTCAAAAGAGCTGCTCTCTTTCCTGAATGGTGAGAATTTGCTCCTCTTTTAACAGACGAGAAAACGGAGGCTCAAAAACGTAAGTCACTCAAAAGTCACACAGGTAGTGGGTAATGGGAGCAAGGATTTGAACTTCAAGTTTGGGTGGATCCAAAGTACCCATTCCAGTGTCAGTTCCTCCCAAAAGGAGATTAATCAAATGTGAAGTTTAGATGTCATTTAATGTTTGTCTGATAATGACTTTATTGCATCCTTATCCCAGATAAACACCTTGGGAGAGATACTCAATTCTCATCTAACAGCCATTTTCTCTTGGTGTTTGAAGACATTATGACACCCTATTTTTGGCATTTATTGCCATTCTGACAGGTCTACTTTTAATCTGAACATCATTTTTAATAAACTCCCCAGATGATTTTCATGTAGGTGGTCCTTGGACTACTTAGTGAGAAACTGATTCCAGAGGTAAAAAAGAGTCTCTGAGTTTCTGTGGAATCTTCCTCCCCAGGCTCTTCTGTTGGGGGGTTCCTGACTCCTCTGTGAAGAGAGCTGAGGTCATTTCCACTGAAAAGGCAAAGAAAATCTGGGCAGGTCAAACAACTGGTCAGTTAGCATCACAACCAGGGCTGGAAGCCTATTCTTTTAACTTGTGCTAGATCTGAGCTTCTCAAACATAAGTGTGTATGCAAATCATCTGGAGATCATTAAAACGTAGATTCCAATACTCAATAGGTCGGGATGGAACCTGAGACTCTGCATTTTTAACAAGCTCCCAGGTGATGCCCACGCTGCTGGTCTTCAGCTCACCCTTTGAACAGGAAGCTGTTACATGGAAATATGCTTAAAGGTTAAGGATTCGACACTCTCAGTACATACAAAGTTCCATTTTATTTCAAGAACGATTATTGTGGCTCTAATTGAGATACACATAAAAAGATCCATTTTTTCCCTCCATTTTACCAGTATTTACCAGGACATAAACTGTATGAGGAATATTTAATGTCAACTTTTCACAGGTTAACATAATGGGTGAGAGCCTAGACTTGGGGTCAAACGCACCTAAGCTATACTCTCAGAGTCACCATATACACAATGTGTGGCTTTGGACTAGTGGCTCAGGCTCTCTACGTCTCATTTTCCCCATTCTTAAAATAATGATAGTGATCTTTCATGGTGCTGTTGTGAAGGTTCAAGTCCTGTGTATGAGGTATAGAGCATGGTGCCTGGTAAACAGAAAGTGCTACATAAATGTCATCTATGCAAACTCTTAGCATCTTGTCCTGGTGTATCATCCTCATTCCAATATTCACAAATTTACTAATGGAGTCTATGCCCTTCAGGTTTTATGGGCACTAATCCTCTCCTCTTTTAACTTCCTCAAAGCATAGTTGCGAGGCTTAAATGAATTAATATGCATAAAACACTTGGATCCGTGCCTGTCACATAATTAGTACCCAAGATGGCTTAGCTTTTATTTTTAGCACTTACTATAATGATAATTAAATCACTTTTGAGGGATTTTTAAATTGCCTGTCCCCCCGACTAGATTGCAAGTCTTACGTGAGACCATGTTTGTTTTAGTTACCTCCGTATCCCAAATCTTAACCCGGCACCCAGTGGCTGCTCAGTATTACATAGAATGCACAAATGAATGAACATACGAACAAATGAATGAGTGAGCAAATAAGAAAACATTCTTGCCTTTTTGAAGAGATCCAGAGAAAAAACGTTTGAGAAACCCTTTCTTTGAGTGTGAAGGCAGTGGGAGAAAGAGAAAAAAATTATATCAGGGAACTGGTCTGGGGGAGGAAGAAAGGAGGGTGTCTTCCAAATGCCTCAGAAGTTGAGGAGTTTATAAATACCACTCAGAGTGAAGAGGTGAGCTGAGGGAAGGAGCCTGGGAGAGGAATGCCAGCAGATAATGGTCTTCAAAAAAAATTTGAGCTAACCGAGTTTTCTGATCAAATGTATTAGGAGATGCTTTGAGGTAAATAAAACATGAGAAATGAGAAACCCTTGAATATCCTATAGTGGGGGCTAATGAGAAACCCAGAGCAGGCAAAGAGAGGCTTTCTCCGAGCATCTGTACTTGGGGAGAAAATTATGACTTGTCAATTCCCCTGAGGAGCTTCCAGGATCATGTGGAGAGGGGAGAGCGTTGAAGTCACAGTGTTAGAAACTGATGGGCAAGGTCCAGGTCCTGTAAGTCCCTGCCGCCTCTGCCCTGACTCCACAACAAATGGGTAATGGCAAGACTGATGGGGGTAACAGGGTCTTAAGAAAGTGGAAAGGAAAATTCAGGGGCACTACTAAGATGAGCTAATCATAGGGAATGGCTTTATACATATTGCATTTGGTTTTATTATAGTTATTCTTCAGTGATGATTCTCTCTTCCTGCAATTTATAATAAGGCATAAATCTCCCCTTGAGATGGAATCACCCAGCAAAGCATTTCCAGACTACTTTAAACCCATCCCATAACTGCAGTGAGTTTCCTGGTAGACTGGGGAAATGGTTCCCCTAACCTCAAGCACTCATCGAGGGCATGGAATGAAAACTGATAGCAAAATGGACTTTGACTTACAGAGGAAGAAAATAACAATGCTATTGTCCAGGCCTGCACAGTTTCAACAGTACTTTCCTATTTCATCTATGACAGCAATCTTCTTCATAACTCTGGGAAGTTACTCATTATTACTCATAATGGTACTCATTATTTCCATTTTGCAGATGAAGATACGAAGGCCCCAAGATGGCAGATGAATTGTCTAAGGCCATACATACCCCTATATCGCAGAGCCGGGATTTGGACCTATTTCCTCTCTTTGCAAGTTTGAGTGCTCTGAGGCAATGCAGGTAGAAGATAGTTTTCTTTTTGGGAATGCTGCCAGAGCAATATACTTGAAAGGCCTTTTATCTTGGCAAATGTGCCAAGGGTCTCGATAATTACAGATACCTTTTAACAGCTCATCAAAAGATCAAGGATATGGGCCCACAAACAGTGTGAGCCCCATCTCCTGGCAAAGCCCTGCATCTATCCAAGCTCAGGAGCATGTGTGACAAGCCCACTGCAAACCACCACCTGCCTTTTATGTGTTTTTCATGTCTACCAGTCTTCTAAGAGCCACCTAGGAGTACATGCTCTGCATCCTTTAGTGAGGCTGAAACTGGCTAAAATAACCCCCAAAGATGTTTGGGTACGTCCAGTTGAAAAACCAGGAACCTGTCTCAGGTACCTAGACATCTGCTTATAACCCAAAACACATACATTTCTGATTTGAGCCAGATCCATATGCCAGCCTTCCTCTGTTTAAAATGGTTCTTCAGCTCACTAGGCTGGAAGGACATTGAGCTCTTCTGTTATCTTCCTTTTGTACCAAATTCACCATAGAGCTTGGGCAATTCAACTCATCTCTTGGGGCTTCAGTTTTCTGACTTAAATAAATTAAGTTTTAATGGTGTAGAGTCACCAGCAAGAGATCAGATAGTTTGAAGGTGTTATCTGCTTCCTGCTTGGATGCTGACTCACACACCTGATCCATCCGACTTCAAAACCCGCACTCTCTCTACTGTGGTAGGCTGATCTCTAGGGCTTCTTGCAGCTTTTGCAATAATCACTCTACATTCCGTGAACTACTGGGGAGACTCTAAGAATGTATGTGGGCAGTCCAAAACCACTCAGCTAATAAATGCTGAGTAAGAAAGCCAAGCCTGTAGATCTCAAATTCCCTAACTACTGCTGTGCTGCCCTTATTGAACTGCTTCAAAGAGTAAAAGTATGCTTTAACTCTGCTTACCTTTTTCCCCATGAAATAGTATAATTGTGTAGAAAAACACTGGTTTTTAAGCCAGGACATGTGAGTGTGAATCCAGGTTCTATCCTTTATTAGCTGTAAGAATTTGGGCTTGTAACCATCTAAATGTCCATTTATTCACTTGTTGAAGGTGATAATATTTTAATATTGTCTTACTAGTTGACTGCTAGAATCAAATGAGATAATGTAAGCTACACAAATGTGGTAAAGTGTTATGCAAAGGTAAGGGATAGTAATAGTAAAAGGACTTAGAGATGCCTTACTTGTCTTTGTTGGCAAATGGCACTAGTATATTCGGGGAAAGCAACTTAAAAACCCTAGGGTAAACTGTGCAGCAGAGTATCTGAAAGAAAGAAAAGTAGAAATATGGTGGGAGGATTTGGTCAAAGGTGGTGGCAATTACTGCGTTTCCTGTACTGTTCTCAGCCAGGGGCAATTTGGCAATGTCTGGTGGTAATTTTGGTTGTCACAACCTGGGGGTTGGGTGGGGAGATTGCTACTGACACATAGTGGGTAGAAGGCAGGGATGCTGCTTAACATCTTATAATACATAAAACAGCCCCCTAACAATAATGAATTATCTGCACCAGAATGTTAATAGTACCAAGTTTGAGAAATCCTGGTCTATTAGAAGTTCCATGAATTCAGGAACTAGTGTATCTTGTTTATTTCTGTGCCCTAGCATCTAGTAGTGTACTTGGCTTAAAGAGGGTACCCAATATATAAATTTATTGAATAGATAGATGAGTGAGTGAATACCCACAAAAAACCAGATAATACAAGTTAGATCTATTTCAGATTGCCAGGGAAAATCATAGTTTCTTTAGGCACCTTCTCTGTTTATTCTTTATCTTCTTTACTTTTCTTTCCTTTCAAAGCTTTTTTCCCTTCTTTCCTCTCCCAATACTGTCCAAGAATGAGAATGGCCTATCAAATCTGAGAATGCCTCGAAGCAATAAATAATGCTTATAAGACACACACACTACAAAATCTTTTCCAGCTCCCTGCTTCCTACCACTCCATTTCAGCAGACAATAATCACATCAGTAAATAAGTGGATTCACTCTTGTTCCTTCACTGAGTGTGAACATATAGGACCAAAAGCACACATTTCCTGCAAATGCCTTACTAGAACAGTTCAATTATGCTTTTAAGAAAACACATCCTGGGCCATGAAATAGAAACTCAGTTTAGGTGAGAAAATGGAAAAATGAAGGCATTTAGTTCTGGGAATGCAGAAATTATATATATTTGTTCATCATTGTATCTCCCATGCCTAGCATGGTGCCTGGCACATGGTAGGCATCCTTAAATATTTATTAAATAAAAAAAAAGTGACATCCACATTCCAGACTTTTTCTAAAATCTTCCCCCAATTAAAAAAAAATGTTTTTCCTCTGCCATTCAATTTCATATGAAGGTAGTTTGAATGTCACAGGTTTTGGAAAATCTTATCCATTTTCCTCCCTCATGGAGATCTAAAGCCAGATAAAGATGTGTGGGTTCAACATTGAGAAGTGAATGTCAATATGGTGACTTAAGAAGTCCTTGCAATAATAATTCATATTTGACACATATATTCTGAAAGCCATATTTTACCAGAAATAAAATGAGCCCAAAATATTTGTTATATCTTTGCCAGTAAGTCTACATTGAGACAAGGTGTGGTAATTTGGGAGGATTTAAAGATTGTGTAAGGTTGGGAATGATGGCTCAGGCCTGTAATCCCAGCACTTTGGGAGACCGAGGCAGGAGGATCACCTGAGGTTATCAATTCAAGACCAGCCTGGCCAACATGGTGAAACCCCACTTCTACTAATAATACACAAATTAGCTGAGCATGGTGGCACATGCCTGTAGTCCTAGCTACTCAGGAGGCTGAGGCAGGACAATCACTTGAACCCGGGAGGCTGAGGTTGCAGTGGGCTGAGATTGCACCACTGCACTCCAGCCTGGGAGGCAGAATGAGACTCCATCTCAAAAATAAATAAATAAATAAATATTCTGTAGGCAAGGCTAAATAAGTCCCCTGGGGAATACCAGTAGAAACCTTTTATGCCCAACACATCATTTACTCCAAAAGAAAATAATGTCATGATCATCCACTTAGATTGGCCAACTCAAAGCTCCATGGTAAACTGATAGCCTGTGTTGTGAGTAAGCTTTCTAGAAACTATAAGAAAACATGTTTGGAGTTGCCCCTGAACAATTTTCCAATAGTACTTTTGGCTAGAATTTGTGTTAAAAAAAAAAAAATCACAGTAAAATATATTAATTATGCAGATCCATTAGTCTGCAGAGTGGAGAGACTGAGGTGTTTCCATTTTCAAACCCTGAATCTTTAAACATTTAAAGACACACTGATGACCAAGAGCCTCTTCTAGAAGATTTAGTGCTTCATGTGCTGATTTCAGGCTCAAAATATTCACTGACTTATTTTCTTACACAAGCATGTAACAGGACCACCAGCTCTATTTGTACACCAGCCTAGAATGTTTAACGAAAAATGCAAGATTAGTCCAAAACTAATTATGTGTTAACACCAGCTGCTTTCTCCATACTTAATAGATAATTTTTAAGTGCTTAATGATCAATATGTTTAAGTACACACATCTGTAGCCAAAGAAAGGGCAGGTTGAAACATAGGCAAGATGGAGTACAATCCTCAGTACTATTGATTTGGAATTTAGTCACCCCTCTGAAGAAAGCAGCATCTTCTAGCTAGGGACTGAAATATGATATACTTTATAAACTTGCCTATAAGATTAGTTTTTAGGGATAGTCTATATTTGATGAACACTGTGGTTGAGCACAATATATTTTATTAAAGTAAAAGTTTTCGTTTGATGGCCGTTAGTATATTTAGAACTCTCATAAATGCTGTTGGAAAAAGCAAATTGATTTGAATTTATTTATCAGTATTGGCTCTAATACCACACTTTCTGATTAAACCACCCAATTATGACTTTTTTTTTAAGAACAAGAGAAAGACATAACCCAGAATTGAGGAGTTAACCAAGCTTGCCTCTGACAAAAATGACTATCATTTTGGAAATGTATTTTATTGTGTACTGCACTCTGAACTTTTTTTAACTAACTGGGTGCCTAACCAAGAGTAGCTCAAAAGCTGTTGCTTATTAGACACAGCAGATCACACCAAGAACTCAATATTGTGTTAACCACTTCAAAACTTGACTCTTAGTTCTTCCAATTTGTGGTGGGTGGTTTTTGTTTGCTTGTTAGCGGTTTGTTTGTTTGTTTTTAAGATCCCTCTGAGTTTGGGTAAATTTAGCAAAGGTGTTGTGAGCTAGGTTCTATCTTCTAGCAACATTTTCACCACTCATAATCCTTTCTCATAATGCAGCATTTTACAGGCTCACTTTATGACTAGAATGCCCTGCTTCTCATCCAGAAGCTGCCACTTGAAGAGAAATTTCAACCTTATTGATTCTATGTCAGTTGCATTTTCCCCCTATAAAATCCATCTGAATTTTATTGGCTCAAGTGGATTTAAAATGGGGAGCCCACTGCTCAGGTGCAAAGGAATGCATTTGGGGACTCTGAATTTCGTCTTTGTCACGCTTCTCAGCATGCTTATTGACAGCTGTGTTCCTTTTTAAATTACCCAGGTGAGATAGACACTTTGCAATATTCAACCTGAAGTGCTACCTCAGCCCTTTCCAGCTAGCCAAAGAATAGAAATTAAAAAAAAAAAAAAAACATGGTGGGAGTGAGTAAAGGGAAGGTGAGAATTTTGTAAAGCTCTCCAAAAATGATTCCGTTGGAATTGCTTTTTATATTTTGCACCAATGACGAACCAGCTGCCTTGAGATATTGATATTTCTAAGCTGTCATCGCATCTTTATTTTGACTATGTCCAAAAGACTGAAGGTCAAAGGAATTGATTTACTTTGATCAATTAAAAGAACTACTACCTTGATTTATCCACTTCTGCATAAATTTTACCCTAGGTGGGCTCATTTAGTCACACTCATATCTTTGTATCTGCTCAAGTTGAGTGGAAATAAAACACATATTCTTCAGTTTCAAAGACATACTTAGCTTGGAATCATAAAGACATAGTCTGAGAGGAAGGAGACTACCTTGTATCAGAATGGGGAAAAATAGGATGTTTAACTATAGGTCCCTGGAAATCATTTCAGTCTAGGCGTTTGTTGTAGATTGTACCAATGACAGATGGGAGGTAGGAAGAGCAGGACTCTGGAATGAGCCTGCCTGGTTCCGAGACTCATCCCGCTCACTGTGTTTCCTCAAGTAAGTTACATACTTGTCCTATGTCTCCATTTTCTCATCTGTAAAATGGAGAGGTAATGTTATGGCCCTCATAGAGTGCTTGTCAAGATTAAAGGGGATAAGCCATGTAAAATGCTTAGCACAGTGCCAGGCATATAGGATGTACTTACTAAATGGAAATGACTCTTGCATTCTTCATTATGCTAAAAAGAAGAGAGGAGCTGATTATGAAATTTTAAAAATCCCTTTATTGTTTTCCCCCAAATGACAAAAGTCTTTAATGCTTGGAAGAGATTATGACAGATTTTCTGGTTATGATATTATGGACCTTTCAGAAGTGATACTTGTAAAAACTGTGCACATTGGCTCTAACTCCAACTAAGGATCCCGACCTTTTAAAGATACAGATGCCTTTTTGTTCTTCCTTTGTGGGCCTGAGTATGCTTGGAGCCCTAACACTTCTGTAAACTAACAGACTGGAGGAAAAGGCATAACTTTCACATGCAGAATGCATGCTGCCACCTCAAGTTTCATTAATTTATATTACTGAATAGCTTCAGATGATGATAAGCTCTGTCTATAGCAAATGACTTCACATACAACCTGTTACAGCCATGAAAGGAGAATGATTATATAAAATATATTATATAAAATATTAAAGGACGTTGAGGGATTGGATGTGTGTGTGTTGGGGAGGGGAAGAGGTGATGTTCCATGCTGGTGAGTTTACTTAGCAGTAATTGGCAACAGCCCAAGGATAAAAGTTTTGTTTGTGTTTTGTTTTGTTTTTTTTCCAACAAATTATCTGCTAAGATACACTTGGCTCCAGCTAAGGTTTGTCGTCTAAGACTGACACTAGGCACATGCTTATTGGGACCAGTAACAAGGCAATATAATAACTTGGGTGGGTTTGGGGGATTAGTGTATTTTTGAGGCTGAGTTAGATTGATCAAAATTCAGTCTGTTTGTCAAAATGAGTAGCTTCATTGGAGTGTGCACAGCGTGTGTGAGTCGTGGCACGTCCAAAAGGGAGTAGATATGAAGGTTAGTGCACTCCCAGACAGGCATTCTGAGCTGTCATAAGACTACTTCAAAATCTGAAAAATTGCTATCCTGAAAAAAATCTATGCCTACGAGCCCTAGGCCTGCATGATATTCCCAACTTTACTCTCGAAATCTCTGAAAAATGTATAGTCAGACCTCGTCTTGCTTCACATGCCATGGTGCCTTTAACTTTCATCACAAATCTATTCTCCAGCTCGTTTCACCATGAAAAAGACTATGCAGATTTGTTGATTGTATAACAAAAAGAGAAGATTAAAGCATCAGTTTGTTTCCATTAAAGCAATTATTTAATCATCTTCTCATCCCTGTCTAGAATAATTATATTAAAATACTTTTCCCCAGACTTCTGAATTAACAATGAAGAATTCAGAGCATCTTTTACTCTCGAACAAAAAGAACGCAGCTAACCAGGTAATGCATTTAAAAATCATTTCCAGCAACGGTGACCGGACAGTCATTTTGCAGTAGTTAAATTTAATAACAGCAACTTTTCTCCTGATTAGCTTCACATATAGAAACACAGGAGCCCGGACTGGGCATCTGACAGATGGTGGCAGAAATACACAGTGCAAAGAAAGACGAAAGAGAAGCAACAGCCACTTGTGATTGTAGCTTTTCATGGCATGCTAGGACTTCATTTAGTGATCTGAATACTTTTTCTAAATTCAGTCCTTTTAAAGGTGCATGCATCCAATCGTAGGGGAAACTCATTCTTTCTACATACTGCTATAAGACCTTATAAAACTAGCACCTTTCAGCACAACATATAATATTTGGTAGCTGTATATGGAGTTTAAGTAATTTTCACTCTGACACTGATGAAGAAACTTTAATTAAAATGGTAAGCAGGTTGCAGCACAATGAATGTATTTAGGATATTAAACACTCCAAGGAAGGAGGGGTAGGGTAGAATGACATTACAGTTTTATAAAGCAAATATAAGTTTGCTTAAATAGTTTCCTTACTATGTTCAAAGAAACCCAGCACATACTTAAACAGCTAAAGTAAGCATTTCAGTATCAACACAGCCTCTTTGGTTTAAACATACAAATTACAAGAAAGCAAAGTCAAGAAAAATAGAGATTATTACTAGAGACTTAAAAACTGATACTTGGAAAGAAAAGTGTACAATCCAAATGTGCCTATGGAGACACATACATGCACACACATATCCCCACAGCCAGCTGTAAATCAAGATAGCTGTAAACTTACCGGAGCAAATATCACCATACACATTTACAAAAGAATTGATAATCCAACTTCCCTCTCCTGAAAGAAAATAGAGGTTGTCTCATACTAAAAATAAAGCTTCTCTGTCCACAGCACCAGCCACTTGTCCCTCTTTTTATGAAGCAAAGGAGGAGAAGAAGAAAATCAATGCAGAGGGAAAGTGAGATGTTATACCAATCAGATAGCAGCTTCAGCCTCATTTGCAGAGAGATGGCAAAACGGTCATATTATTAGACAGTGACAACCCACAGCTGAGTACAGGAACCTGATACTCCCCTCTGGTGAACGCTGCCTGCTTGGTGGGGAGGTGGCTGCCACCATGGTGAGCTCCCACACTTGGCTCTTGGCTCACAACTGGAAGTGCAGGACTGCTTTGCACGAGCAGGCTGCATCACCAACAGAGGCACCATCTCCCCTTTACTCTGCCAGCCCCCTCCTCCTGCAAGCACAGTGCTTAAAAACAAACTAGGAGATTTTTTTAAAGCCAGAATTTTGTGTTTTAAGGGTATGGGGAAAAATGGTGGTTTTATAAAATCTTACGAATAGATTTGCATAGATTAAGTAAATGTTGTTATGTTTGTTAAATAAATTGCCCTCATTTTAATGTAAATGCATAGCTGTTATGCATAATCCCCATTTGGGAAACTCGTACACTGTCCATAAATAATCATTAAGGTGATGTACTGGAAGACAGGCTTTTAAGGCTCTGGCAACTGTAGAAGGGACAGATTACAACTTGGTTGCTCACTCGTCACAGGAGTGTTACTTAAAGACGTCTCCTGCAAAACCTCAAAATTAAAATGGTTTCAGAGGCTTAAGTGCGACATGGATCTGCTTTCTTCTTCAAATAAACCTCTGTAGGAAGGAGTTCAGCTCGACTACTTCGAAGGGCCGAAATCATAGCACCTTGAGGCAATGTGTGTTGGGGGCATTTGTATCAAATTCTTGGAGAGGCTGCCACAGGTGACATGTTCTCACACTGGCATCGTGGACAATGTTTCCCCAAGGCAGATACCGCAGCACAGGGAGAGGAAGTCTGTGTGCCTCTCCTTCCCGCCCCCTACTTTGGGTCCCCACTCGGTGCGGGAATGTTGAAATGCACATAGGCTGGCCACATTTTTTATAGGTATTAATTTGTTGTTAATTTGGAGTTGTCCAAAGTCTTTTTTTGAGGTCCCTCTCTCTGTCTCTCTCTCTCTCGCTTTCCTTCCTATCTCTGTCTCTTTGTATCTCTGTCTCCTTCTCTCTCTCTCTTTCATGCGTGCACACACACACACACACACACACTATCACTACCATATCATAGCCACCACCATCATCTCTCTTACTCCCTTTCTTCCTTTTCTTATACACACAGTAACAACTTGGTGGATAGGGGGAGGTTGGGGGACCAAACCAACCAACCAAAAAACCATAACGAGGAGTCAGGCAACTTGGGTTCTAGTCCTGGTCTCCCACTTACTAGTCATGTGGCCTGCGCCTGAGCCTTGGTTTCCCCTTTGTAAAATGGCTACACTTATGCCTCATAGAGCTGTGAGTGGGAAGGTGTGGGGAAGAAATGAACAACGGGCAAGGCAGTGCTTTCACCTACACTACACACCTGCAAACTGGGCTCAGGGAGTCCAGCTCCCTCTCTCCTCCATCTCTTTCGATCCGCTTGTTGCCTATGCCTGAGCTTTTGGGGTGCTTACCAATTCTTCAAACTGTACATGCCCCATGGCCCCTTTGAAATTCTGATAGGAACCTTTTCCTCCCCACTCCCCTGTGGCCACCCCTCACCTGCTTATTGACAAATCTCTGCACTTCAATGAGAGAAGTTACTCAGGGGAGTAAATTAAGCAAGTGAACACATCTGAAGCAGGGAAAAAAAGCCTTAGAATCACCCGGCATTTAAGTGAGCACTCAGTAAACATTTACAGAATAAATAAATGAAGGATTGACTGAAAGAATAGTGTCTCTGTGCTGAAGGCCACAGTTCCTCCAGGTGGCTGATAAGGGGCAGAGTCAGAGTAGGGTCAAAGAGGCAGCAGTTTCCAGCAATGCACCTGTAGGGTAGAACCATACTTAATTGTTTCTTCACGGAGCCCAGTGAGTAATTCTCATTGGCTCTGAATATTAAGAGTCCCATTGCAAGTAAAAGGAAAAAAGTTCTGTCTTCTACATAATAATAGTGAAGATTTCTTGAATATTTACTCCTTGCCAGATACTATTCTATGTGGGTGTTTTTGGTATATCATTTTATTTGAGCCTTACAAAACTACGAGTTACAATTTTTATTCCAGGGTATAGGTGAAAAAACCAAGACCCAAAGAGTTAAGTAACTTATCTGAAAGTACAGAGTCAATACCTGGTAAAGCTAAAATTTGAGCCTAATTGTATGCCATTGTCTAAGCTATTAACCACTCTGCTTTGGATGCAACGTGATGGCACTTATACTTTTGTTTATTCAGTGTACAGGGTATGACAAATCCACATTTGGATGCATGGACCCTGCAGTAACTTCTCGGCTGTCCCCATTATGCAGATTTGCACCAGAGATTGGAACTTGCTGGTGTAGAAAGAGCCCATGAAATCCACGCTCAGGCCCTGCTGGTTTCTGTATGGCCTTGGGCACTTTAACATTTGGGAAGATAGGAGGTATGAGGCTCAGTCTTGGGTTTGCTAGCGGTTTGCTCTGTGACCCTGGCTGTGTCCCAGAATTTGTCCACGTCTCTGTTTTTCTCAAGTTTAAATTGAAGGGTTTCTACTGAATTATCTCTAAAGGGCTTTCTGGGTCAACTTTCACTAAATAAGGTTCTAAGGCTAATAGGCAGATTCTAATCTGCTGGTTGGGTTAGCTCTTTCTGCCTCGTATTTTTTTCCAGATAGAGCATTAACATTTTCTAAGTCTCCCCTGCTACCACCCTTCTGTCACCTCCCTGTGGACCACTGCAACAGGCTCCCTTTAGGTCTCACTGCTTTCACTCTTACCCCTAGAAATCTCTATTACCCATGTTGAGCCATTTAAAGCATAAATTAGATCATATCACTCATCTGAGAAAAGTTCAATAGTTGTCCAGTAAGTTTACAGTAAGTAAAACCCAAACCCTTTCCCATGCATTTAAAGTGTTATGCAGTCTACCTCTCATCTATCTTTTTGTTTTATTTAATTTCAACCCTCTCCTTTCCTACTCTTCAGCCACACTCACCTTCCATGCCTTTGCGCTAGCTATTCTGCCTGCTTGGAACATTCTTTCCTCAGATCTTTTCCTGCCCTCTCTTCCTTTGCCACTCAGTTGTTAGTTCTACTTTCTGTTTCTTAGAGGGTCTTTCTTCCCCAACCACCTAACCTAAAAACATCTTTCACTTTCTCCAGTAATTCCTCTTTTTAGTTTTTGCACTTTATTGCCTGATACCTTCTTGCTTATTTATTTGTTCATTTATTATTGACTATCTCCATTTACTAAGACGTCCACAAAAGCAGGAAACTTGTTTGTTTTGCTTAATACCATATCCTTGGTGTTTCAGAGAGTACCTGCCACATAGTAGGTGTTCAATAAAGATTTGGTGGATAAATGAATGAATGATGAAATCAGTGAATCAACTTGAGAACAATTTAGGTTTGAGATGGTGGTGAAGAAACCTAATTTTTTCAAAGGAGGTTAGCCTTGAAATACAGAACAGATGAATAAGGGCAATTGATTCATTCATATTCATAGCAGATACAGATTATTTTTACCTCTTCATTCAAAGAACATTCTGGAAGGGTTGCAAATTTCAGTGTCATATTGATTTAATTGGAAGGCATGTAAAAGATGGTGGAAAGCTCCTTTTGTAAACTATATTGATCAGTTGCTTTTTTAGAAGCTTGGGTTCCCAGGGTTTTGCTTAGCTAGGCCCACATACAGTAGCTGATTTTTTGATACTTGCCCATATATTTGTCATTAGAGAAATAATCTTGTCAGCTAGCCACTTAGACTGTCCTAACCTTCCAATTTATCAGATAGCTCAGACAGTCGGCTACCACTCTCTATCATAGAATTGGAACTGACAAAAATAAAGTGATATGCCAATATTTGATAGTTCTTGTTTGAAAAATGATATTCACATTGTTGCTACTGCCTTTAAAATAACATTTATCCATTATTAGATTATCAGAAATAGAAGTACAATGTTTTCTAAGTCAAGTATTTATAGAGAAGGTTAAGTAGATTAAAATAATCTGTGATTCTCTAAAAACCTCATTAGCAATGCTAATTTCTAATATGGTCAGAGCTTCAACTGTGATCTTTCAGTTGAGCAATGGCCTTCAGACAACTTCAAAAGAATTTTTTTTTCCTCTGAATGGAAAAGCTTCTCTCCCCTTTGGTGGACACACCTTCTGGTAAATGCAACAGTTCCTTTGCCTTATAGCTTCTATTTCTAAACATCTGGCCTCTCAAAAGGGGTCCTTTCAGGCCTGTCTGCTGGCCAGTGGGAGGCCTAGCTTTCTAAGCATTTAGCAAACACAGAGAGGAAAATCCAGAGCCAGAGGATTTCTTCATTGCAGTAGGAGAAAGGAGGCAATCAAAGATAAGGCTACTTTGGCCATACTAATAAATGACCAAGAGAGTTAGCCAAGCCTCTTCCATTTTGCTTCAGGAACAATTTCAGCTCTTTCAAGCTATAGCAGTGAGAGCACTTACATCCAATTCACTTATGGAACAACCTTGAAATCTTTAATGGTGCCTTCCTTTCTCTGACTGAGCACAGCTCCTAGCATGGGTAAAATGCAATGTATTGTGATGTGAGCAGGTATATAGAATCAGAGCAGAACTTTCTAGACCTCTTATCTTTTATTTTCCTTGTAAGAGAAAGTTGTTTTCTCCAACACTGTCTCTATTCTTTTTCAAATACTAACGAGATAAAAATAATATTAATATCACTTGAAGATTTATTAGATCATTAGCTTTCCTCAGTAGGCTTCAAATCTGTCTGAAAGAATTCTAAACTGAAGCTGAGAGGTACAGTAGCTCAGGCCTGTGGTACTGGAGCATAAGGTAGGCAAGGCCGGGAGTTCGAGACCAGCCTAGGCAACATAGCAAGCACTCATCTATATGACAATAAAACATAATTTTATTAAAAAATTTCTACACTGAAGCTGAAAGTAGAGGGAAAAGTTTGTGGATGCAAGAAAAGCTAAGGAATATAGTGGAAGAAGATTGAGAAAATTAGGATTTTTGGATGGAAATGTAGTCATGCTTGGGAGATAAAATGAGAGAAAATGGTAGTTAAAATAGCAGGTAAAAATGTGCAAGACATATTTTCTGAAGACCGTGAGTCTAAGCTCTTCAAAGACACAATATCTTACTATCTCTGTATCCTCAGCCCAAAGCAAAGTGCCCAGCACAGAGCGGCCAAGCAATGACTATTTGCTGAATAAGGGATAAACAGAATTATTTGGAGACAGAATATATGTGGCTAAGCATGCTCCCCTTTAGGCAGACATTGTGCTGGAGAGCTTTTGTTTGTCCCTCTAGAGTCACTTTCTTGCCTAATCTGTGTCCCAGCAGGCTGAACTAATGGACCCCATCAATAAGCTCCCTTTCTTTGAGGCATCCTAATGGGAGGTGCTAATAATAAGAAATACTGCCAGGTAATTAGAGGGTGAGAGGAGACTGAGGTCAGGGTATTTATTCCCTTAGTCCCCGTGATGGGTTCTGAAGTTGGCTACATTCCTCTAGCGAAGGCCACAGGTGCTGTGAAGTGGCCCTCTCCATACTTACAGCTTCTTTCTCTTTCTTCTTTCTTTCCTTCTTTTTCTTTCTTTCTCTCCCTCCCTCCCTCCCTACCTCCCTTCACTTCCTTTCTTCCTTCCCTTTTTCCTTTCTTCTTTCTTTCTCTCTCTCTCTCACTCTTCTTTCTTTCTCTGTCTCTCCTCCCTTCCTTCCCTTTTCTTTTTTGCTTAAACCTTGTTTACCTCTTTTCAATTTGCCCCTTCAAAAAACTCCCCTCAATCACTCTGTGTGAGTGTGCCAGCTATTTCCTGCCTGAAACCCGACTAACACAAACAGGTGGATTCTAGTTCCAGCTCTGTATATTACTACTTGTGTGGTCTTGTCACTTGCCCTAACCGATAAAATTGGGCGCTTGTAAACGAATGCATACAAGGTGTTAAGTGCATACCAAGCATTTAACATCTAACAATAATAAGGATGAGAGTGATACCCTTTGCCAGGTTGTTTGATAGAGATAATACTACATGCTGTTTTATTTTGTCTCTAGAGGAAAGAGCTGTTCATGTTTTAGAAAGAAAACGGGCCAGGCACGGTGGCTCATGTCTAATCCCAGCACTCTGGGAGGCCGAGGTGGGCAGATAACTTGAGGTCAGGAGTTTGAGACCAGCCTGGCTAACATGATGAAACCCCATCTCTACTAAAAATACAAAAATTAGCCGGGCGTGGTGGCAGGTGCCTGTAATCCCAGCTACTCAGGAGGCTGAGGCAGGAGAATTGCTTGAACCCGGGAGGCGGAGGTTGCAGTGAGCTGAGATTGTGCCACTGCACTTCAGCCCGGGCAACAGAGCAAGACTCAGTCTCAAAAAGAAACAAAGGAAAGGAAAAGGAAAGCCCATACCCTGTAGAGAAAGATTTAACAGTCTTCCCCCGCTGGAATATCAGGGAGTATGGAAATCCGATTGAGGCACATGGCTTGAGGCAAATAAAGATTTGTTGAAACTACTGGCATTTCTGAGTATTCAGAGACTCAGTCTATGGATTGGGTCCATGAAGAGTTGCTTGTTTTTGATTCTTGCTGGAGGGCTGTCCATGGATTCCTGGATGTCCATCCACAGGCCCTGGATCTCAGGCAATAATTCCAGATCATTAAGTGCTTTCATTTCTGTCCTAAATATTTCAAGCTAATGGAGGGGCTGAGTCCCTTTAGAAACTCCCTAAATATCCCAAAAAGACTTTGACTCAGGAGACAAGGCGACTCAGGTTTTACATATCACAGCTAAAACCATCATTCTTAGCAAACTATCGCAAGGACAAAAAACCAAACACCACATGTTCTCACTCATAGGTGGGAATTGAACAATGAGAACACATGGACACAGGAAGGGGAACGTCACATACTGGGGCCTGTTGTGGGGTGGGGGGAGGGGGAAGGGATAGCATTAGGAGATATACCTAATGTTAAATGATGAGTTAATGAGTGCAGCACACCAACCTGGCACATGCATACATATGTAACAAACCTGCACATTGTGCACATCTACCCTAAAACTTAAAGTATTAAAAAAAAAAAACTCACCTGGGGGCTCACGTCCTCAATAGGAAACAACAATTCTCAAATCCATGAGAAAGTTGTTAATCTTCTAAAGTAAAAGGGCAACCATTCATTCACCTAAAAATTTCAGTTCTGCAATTGTTTATGGCGTATGTGTTATATGCCATGCACATGCCATGTACTGTATCACTCTGTGGATACAGTGGTGAAACAGGTAAACATGGTCCCTGCTGAAAGGAACTTAGAATCTTTCTGAGTTACTGTGCAAGCCAGGAACTTACGGGCCTGGTATATAAATAATTCTCAATACACATTGTTACATGAGTGAATACATAATGCTGAATTACTCTGACATATTTCTTAATTATAAAGGTAGGTATATGAACATATTGGCCTAGACTTTCAATGTTCAAAATGTAAAATACAACCATCAAATATTTTGATGAAATTTGTGTATATGTGAGAATATAGATGGTACATTCAAATAACCAAATCATCTCAGCTTACAATGTAATTACAGGCATAATATTTAATAGCTTAGTTTTTTAAGCCGAACGCCAGGAATTCCATGGAGATGCTCCAGGGCACACCATGAAGATGGGAGGGTGTGCTAGGGGCAGTCAAAGGAACCAGGGTTCCACATCCCTTCTCTGCTTCAACCAGCCCACTCCACTGTTTTCTCTGTATCCCAGGTTTCTGAACATGACTGCATTTGAACAAAATGTTTTAGATCTTAAATGAAAAACTGTGGAGAACCACTTACGTAATGGAGAAATTTGGCAGTTGTGATTTCCTACCATGGACCTTTCTAATTCCAATAATGGTGCTAATATTTGTTTCTGGGTATCAGCCTAAGCGCTGTTCATGGATTATGTCATTTGATTATCATTCAACCTGATCTACTAGAATCTATTGTTATCATCATTTTACAAACGAAAATGATAAGGTTTAGTGCGGTTCAGTAAGTTGCCAAAGTCTGCCTGGATAGTAAATATTTGAACAAAGGCTTGAACCTGGGTTGTCTGTTTCCAAAGCCCAGGTTATAAATCTCCACATTACCCAGTCTTGCGAATGTGCGCAAGTTTAGCATATACAAGGTGGGAGATGGGCATTTCCTTCCTGACAGTTGTTTAGAGATTAAAACAATGTTGTATTTCAGTTGTATAATTTCTGGTGATAGATATAATTATCTACTCTTCTGGTACAGGGGATTAAAAGTGGTCCCACCATAAACTGCTGAGCAGTAGATTCACTCTTTCTGCCGTCCTGCATAGCACACAATATTACATTGTTCATAGTAGGCACTAAATAAGTCTTTGCTTATTATTAAAGAAGAGAAAATAAATGACTTTTATGATGCCTATTTTCATAATTCTAGTCAAAAATAGCAGAGATACATCTGTTTGTTTTCCTTCTATTATTTTTTATAACAGGGAGAGCTCTATCAGCAAATTGATGGCTTAGGAGTTTGGCTGTTCCTAACACACATTTCTTAAAGCCTGGTATGGAACCAGAAGATGAATAGTTGTTGCTATGATTAAGGATTAAGACTTTATATCAGAAAGAATCCCTGAGGTCCAGTTTTTACAAGAATCTTGTTAGTACTGTAATAAGAGTGAAAGAAGAAAAACATGGAAACCATTTTCAATAATCTTGCCCAGTACACTGAGATATGAATAGTAAATTTGATCAAGAGGTACTTGACTTTTTCGCTGATCATTTCCCCATGAAGGGGGGGTGTCATAGCCAACTGAGTGTATTGATGAGACTCTCTTAGCCTTTCCAAACCTCTGTTTATTCACCTATAAAATGGGAATAAAAATGCTGAGGTATATAAATAATACACAGCTGAGGCTGATGGAAATTACAATGACACAAGTGAAATGTACTCTCTCTCCTAAAGCTACAGGCAAGATACATTTCAGAATCAAACACTTACAAAATGGCTTTCTGGTTTTTCTTTCCTTTTCAACAAATTGAGTTAAAAAAACCCTGTTAAACCACTATGCCTCCAGAACCCAGACCAAATTACAGCTCTTAATAAAATAAGGCGTGGGTAGGAAAGAGGATGAAAGTCTGTTTCTCCCCATGTAGTTTATGAAACGTAGAGTGTATAACATTTGAGTGTTTTCATGGAGCTCCAAAAAGCCTAGTCATGATCTGCTTGTTTAAGATTCCATCTGAAAGCACTCTCCCCACTCTGCTCTCAGCTCCTGACCCACCCCAGTCTTAGGGAGGTGTGTGGTGATGATGCCCTGCAGCAAAGGAATGGAGTTGGTCTAAAGGGATCTGGGGCATTATTTTAATTGGAGTGCTTATAAAATATTTGTAAAAACCTCTCTCTTTTGATGAGTATGTCTTACGCCAGAGGTGTTTCTGCATCCCTATGATATGAGGGTAATCCATTTAGCTGGCAAAATTTCTACAATTTTATTAACCAAAAAATCCCTCCTATCTGGGTGAGGCTTCTTATATTTCTAATTTACACCTTCCCGAACCCTCGGATTCAGGGCTGCAAGGGGAGGCGCTGCAGCCCTGGTATCCGATGGGGCAGTGGTGAAGCCACCACGAAGCAGCTCATGCGAAAGTACTTTGAGAACCGAAGCGTGCAGTACTAAGTACAGTTATTCTTAGTTTCTGTGTTCAGTGTCCCCTCCATAAATATAAGACAAAACTATCTTTCCTCCAATAGTTGATTATGTATTACTGCAGGCCTGTTTAGAACAGTCCAAAATGCCATGTGAACTGTTCATTCTCACGCAGAGAAAAACCAGTTTTCTTTCTTCAGCTGTGCCTCTATTTTTAAAATAGAATGTCTTACCAATGTCTTCCTTAAAATGTTAGTTCCTTCTTACACCATCCCCAAGTCTTTAAATGATACAAATTAAGAGAGTCAGTCTGAAGAACAGGACATTCTGATATTTCCAGAATGTCACTTATCTCAACTCTAGGAGCAACACTTTTCCTCTCATTTTGCTGAAAGTGTGGAGACAAAAACTCCCTGTAAGGGGCTGTAGCGCCACTTGTTCTGACATTAGTTAGAAAAGGAAAGTCAGCCTTAGACCCTATTCAGAAAAAGCTTCCACCCTTTCTGTTATAACACGCAATACTCTGTGATATGGATCCTGGGGAACAAAGCCACATAGCAATGTGGTTCTCAGATTTGGCTGCCCATCAGAATCACCCGAGCAGCTTATAAAAGAACGTGGATTATCAGTTCCAAACCCTGACCTCTCCTGAATCAGAAGCCAGGAGGGTAGAGTACTTAGAAATCTGGAATTACCAACTCCCCCAGCTCCCTTTTCCCACAGGGAACTTGACAGGGAATCTTTGTACAGCACATGAAGCTAGTGATTACATTGAATGATCATGAAGAAGGCCACCATAACTTGTCACACAAGGTGAGTTCCATGTTCAACACAAGCTCTGAGCAGGAAGGGGAGTCTCACCAAAGGTGAGAGAAGCTGCCTGCAGGCATCAGCTCCACAGTGTGGAAACAAGATCAGTGAGGCCTCAGGACCATCTCTCCCTCTCCTACCTCTTTCTTATCTGGGTCTGCCTCTTTCAGGGAGCATGCTGCCACACACCAGAACAAGAGGAGGGGCTAATCTAAAAACAATAAGAGCAATGACAATGTTGAAATGTATGCACCAGGCCCTTTCCTAAGCAATTCATAGGAATTAACTCATTTAATCCTCCTGAAGATACAATTAAATTTACAAAAATTAAAGTTCAAAAGCACATGGAAATACTCCCAGAACCACTTCTTAAAATCAGCTTCGATTCTGCTGTCTTACCTTAAACCATCCCTAATCTTTTCCATGTCAGTTCATCAACACTGCTGCCCTGTGTACCACCAGAAGGCTTAAACAATGCTGTCTTGGGGTTGCCTCTCCCCGAGAATGTCCTCCTGAGAGACAAGGACATAAATGCAAGTAGTTTATTTGGGAGATGATTCCAGAAAAGAGAGTGGGGAATTGAGACAGGGAAATGAAGGGATTTGATAAAGAATGCATCCATGAGCAGGTGCCTGTGGTAGGCAACTGGGGCTACCTCACTGGGGTGCTCTGGAAGATAGTGTGAACATGCTTCAGAGGTATTATAGGAGGTGCGGGAAGCAGGTGAATTTATCCTCCAACTCCTTTCTCTTATTGGCTCCTGCAAGCATCAAATTCCCTGCCTTTCTGGTCTATCCCTCTTCACAGCCTGAAGCCCTCAGTTAGAGAGAACTGGCCTACAGACAGAATGCTGAAGGCCTGTGTGGTGAGTTCTGCAGGTTTAGGTGCATGGCCTTAACAGTGCCTGCTGCAATGCATACAGGGGCTTTGGAAAGGTCTAAGTCACAAACAGGGAAGAAAAAAAAAAAAAGAAAAGGGAAACTATGACTTTTTTTTAATGAGGACTCCAAGGAAAGATTATGTTGGTTCTGGCTGTACTTCTCAGTGATTTTTTTTTTCTTTTCGTTTGTTGGTTTTGTTTTTAATGGGCTTGATGATTCGTGTAACAGTTCACACTTTCTTTTTCTTTCCTTTGCAGCCATGTGCTTTCAAGCCTCTGCCCTTGGTTTATGCTGTTCTCTCCACATAGAATGCTTTGCTTCTCTCCTTGGCCAACCATGACTCTACTTTTCCTTCAAAAAACCAGATAAATTACCACTTCCATCCTTTTTAGTTTTTTCTCATGTATAACCCTCATTTCATCCTGTGTCATAGTTAGCCATCTTCATGTTTGTCTGTTCTCTTAACCCAATATTTTGCAAGTGAGAGGTGATAAATATATACCCATTGAATGAATGGACAGACCTAATCTAAATAATGAGATCTCCAGCTTCTTATTTGTAACACCTGATTTAACTTCAAACCCTGCGCACTTGATTGTGGAAGAAATATTCCACTCCCCCTTGTACATGTTCAAAATTCTGCTAGGTCATTCAATGTTATTGATTTCTAGTGTTTTCTTCTCTGTCCTTCCTATCAGGGTAAATTCCACATCACTATTAGGTTGAAATGAGACCTCAAATATATCTTGTTAGTGAAGTAGCACCAGTGAGTTCATAAGTCCACTAGGTTAATGAGCCAACATTATTAAATACAGATAAGGAAATAGAGAAGTGTTGGTGGCTCTGCTGCCCAGGAAGCAACAGCTTCACAAATCATCTTCCAGTTTTAGAAGCAAATGCCCATATCTCACTCTGCTGAAAGGCCACTTTCCCTGTGGGGGATTCATGATTAGGTTTGTGAACTCCTACTCATCCTTCAAAACCCAGCTCAGTTGTCACCCACTCTGTGAAGAGGAAAAGAGGAAAGAAGCTGATACTCATGGAACACTTACTTTTCCAGCTACTGCCTGTGACACTTTACTTGTGTCATTTTATTTTATTCTTCCAACAGCACTGCAAGGTAGAAGTTATCCCCATTCTTCAGAAAGAAAAAAAAAATGGAGCTAAGCAAAAATCCAACAAATAAGTGATGAAAATAAGCTCTGAATCTAGGTCTCTCAGATAGCACAGTGTTATACTTTCTGTTAGTTTAGATTGCCTTCCACATTGTCTATATAATAAACTTTTTTGAGTACATATGACTTCACCCTGTGTCACAATAAATCCTCAGCAAAACATCTGTTAATTGGATATTACCAACCACATTTTACAGGGATGCAAAGGTCTAGGAGGTGCTTTTCTTCCTCCATCTTACGTACTTCCACACTGGCTGATCTGTTTCAGTTATACTGTTTGTCTTAAGACTTCACAATTATGTACATCTATTTCTATCTTCCAAACAAGAACACAATTTCCATGAGGATAAGGTTGTGTGTGTGTGTGTGTGTGTGTGTGTGTGTGTGTATTCTCAGTGTAGGAGTGAATGAATGAAAATATGGAATGAACAAACTCACTGATACCCTAAAATAAAATGTAAAGACGTGTTAATGCTTTGAAAAAGCCTTTAATTTATTTGAAAAACTGACCTTTGACAAAATAAGGTTATGGAATATTTAATGTCCTAAGTACAATTAGCCCACATTGGATGCATTTTATTTATTCACTCAGGTCATGCATATCTGTACTTCCTTCACATCTGGCAATGTGCCAAAGTTTCAGATTCCCAACAACCTAGCTCTTGTCTATGTTTTGATACAGGCAAGAACCAAGAAAAAAAAATCAGACGAAGGATATGTCACCAAGCCTTTCATACACTAATGACCATGTATCTTACTCAGATGAGAGGCTCCCTGGTCCTTACCTAGAGCCTAATTCCTCTTCCTTGACAAATAGTCCTAATAAGGTTGGTTTTTCTAAGTTGACAGCATATTAGAAGAAGCCAAGTAAAACAGAACAAACTGTCAGAAGAAGGCACACTTAGAGCCCCATGGGAACAAGAGAGAGCACAAAAACAATGAAGGAGCAGAAAGAAGAACTTGAAAGCATGGCATTCTCAGAATATTTTACATAAGGGCAAAGAAACCCTGCTCTGCTTCACAGGTTCTGAGGATGTCGTTGCATTCTGGCAAAGAGCAATGTTGTCAAAAAACTGTTAAAATGTTTTCCATCAACTCTATTTTAAAACACAAGGATGTCAACAAGTTATACATTTAACTAATAATTTCTATTTAAAATAGTTACAGTCTTTTTTAAAACAACTTGAAATTTTGGTTCTTAAATGACAAAACTTTGACTATCAGAAATCATGTCTATTAAGGAAGAATTGTTCCCTAGGGATTCCAAAGATGGCTAAAATGTTGCAGTCCTAAGATGGTGCCAGTCCTGGTAATACGCAGAGTGAGCAGAAGTGCTAAGAATAATTGGGTATCTCATGACTAAATTCCACTTCAGATCCACAGCCATTGGATATATTTTGGAGACCTATTTAACTTTAGTAGTTTGAGGCTCTTTCCATTGTTACCCACCTACATGCTCTACAGAGAAGAAGGCTACATTGGTTTATGATATGCAAATTATTGATACAATCCTTTCAGCATAGTAATGTAGTTGTTGATCTTATGCTTGCTCTGGCTCCTCTTACTGTTTTTTGCTCTCAAACATTGTTTGTTACACCGGCAGGATTATAACCACCTATATGAAATAACAAACATACAAAGAAAAAAGAAAAATCTTTCACAGCCCTAACTTGCCAACACATCAGTTCTCTGCATTTTCCATATGCCTTCCAGTTCTCGTTCATGTGTGTAGCATATTGATTGAACAAAATGACCCTATTATTCCTTTTCCTGTGTCCACACTCATTCTATGTGACTTTGTGGCTTTTCTTATGCAAGAAATAGAGTTGATTTTCTCACTCCTTGAATCTGGAGTCACCTCATATCTTTCTCTGGCCAACAGCATACGGCAGAAGTGAAATCGTGCACATTCTGAGCCTAGGTCTTAAGCTGCCTTGCAATCCCCAATCTCCTGGAACTTTTCCAAGTCATCATGGGAATAAGCCTAGGCTAGCCTGCTGGATGACACTGAAGAGACACATGATCTATTATCCCGTTGTTCCAGCCAATAGCCAGTTGACCACTAGACATGTCAGCAAGGCTGTCTGTCCTAGCCTAGACCAGTCAGTATCTGGCTGACCCAAATGCTGACACCCAAAAAGCCCAGCTGATCAGCAGAACCACTTGTTTTCCCATAGACAAATGAGCAATAATAAACGCCTACTGTTTTAAGCATTGAGTTTTACATGATTTATTATGCAGCAATAGTTGATAAAACATGCATACATAGAGTTGACCTAGTCATATTCATATTGTAAATCATGCTTCTAATAGCTATCTTATGTTTCATACAGTGAACATACAATAATTTATTTTAATATTTCCCCAAGTTGGGGATATTTAGTCTACAATTACTAAACAGAGGCAATAATGTGATATAAACAGCACATGTTATTGATCTTCTAAGAATGATTTCAAATCCTGAATTTTCTGATCATGAATTCTGTGGCTTTGACCAACTTAGCCTCAATACACCTGCTTTTTAAAATCTGTGAAAAGAGAATAATGACTCTTTGAGATTTCATTTTTAATACTCAAGATGATACATAACAGTCTAGTGTCTGAACACAGTGTAGTTAATCAATAAATGGAAGATATCATGTAAACAACGCTGCAATTCATTTAATTCCCAACTATGAAATTGTTGGTTCAAAGATAAGGACAATAAAAAAGATAAGGAAATTAAATGAGCAGACAGAAAATACATTTTAAAAAAAACTAGTGCTTAGAGGTAATTACTGACTTATTCAGTTTCCATTTCTGGAGTTGAGAGGCACTGAAGGAATCATTATTCTGCCACAGTACACTTGGCTTGGACCTTGGAAATCAGAAATCATCACTCTGGTGGTTATTAAACAAGAGTATGTGGTGAGAACTCAGAGAACTGTATGAGAAAGAGCTAATGAACTTGTTTAATATGCAGGTTCTCAAGCCACATATCCAGAGGTTCTGATCCAGTAGATCTGGGTTTGAGCCCAAGAATCTCTGTATGCTCTGAGCTCCCCTCTAGGGGATTAATCAGAATCTACCAGTTTGGAGAACCACTGCCTTATTTCCACCCACTCCTCCATTGTGGAGGGAGACCAAAGGCCAAGAAGGGTTAAATACGAAGCTTCTGTCTCCTCAGAGACAACCAGTGGCTGAGCTGGGGCGTGAGGGCCCTGTCCTATGGATTTCTGAGCAGTGGTTCCATGTGGCTTACCTGAGCTATCCTGAGCTCATCAAAGGACAGAAATCTGCTGAGACCCTTGTTCTAAGTATGTACTTTTCTTCCCAAGGTCAGTCTCTCTCTCATCCTAGTTGATACATACTTTATACACTGGGGAAATGATTAATGTGAATACATTATTTATTCTTTACTGAGAACTTGTCCTTTGAGCTGTAACCAAAGTAACTGACTTTCAGACAAGTTGAAATATGCCAAGAAATGGTTTGTCTTGTATATCAATATATAGCTCAGTGTTGGCTTTCAAAAAAAAAAAAAGCAGTAAATAAAATCAAGGTAACAGATCCTTTTACATTTTATTGTCTCCTTGGGGCTTTGTAATACTTTTTTTTTTTTTTAAAGATAAAGAACATGCCATTTTATATAACTCATCCTTTCAAACAAGTAGCTTGAGACCGGTTGGTCTTCCAAGTTTGAATTTTAGGAGGACACTCTTCTGTCATGTCATTTCTTGAAGAAATGCAGCTGTCAGTATGGATATACCCAAGAAGCATATTTATTCTGGTAGAACTACAAGGCTCGACATAGTTTTAGAGTTATTTTAAAATTATTTTAAATTAATTTTGAAGTTGAATTTGAATGAAAGCAACTTAAATTCTTTGCTGAGACAAAAAAAGAAATTCTGTCACCAGAACTGCCCTGCAGTGGAAAAACTTTAGCTGTTTTTTTTTCTTTTAGTCTCTTTATTGATAGGCACAACAGCTTGAAGAAACCAAATGGACTGGATGCCAAAAGCAACTTTGTGACCCCCTATCAGAGGAAGTCAAGACTGGTGAGAAATTGGTGCAGACCAAAGGAGGTGACCTCTAGTTACTTTTGAATGATTAACATATCATTATCATACTAAAATCCCCTCTGCTAAGTGAAGATCACCGCCATTTTGTGTACATGCAATGTATGGAGAAGTATGTTCATGAATTGCACCTACCACTTGGAACTCCACCCTATACGTGCCTGCATACCTCCCCCTACATTCAACTCCTTAAAACTCCCATACCCCCCATTGCCTGGGAAGAGGTACTTTTAGATCATGAGCTCCCCTTCTTTGGCCACTGAATAAAACCTGATTGCCTTTCTAATTTGACATTCTTTCTTTGTGGCTGACATAAAGTAGGGAAAGAATGCAGGTTACTGGTGACAGTTCCAGCCCAAGTCAAATGTCTGCAGAGCCTTAAGCTTCATGTGCCTAATTAGTGAAAGTAATTTGTGGTACAATGATTAAAAGAATAACGTTTGAGAAGACAAGGGTTTGAATGCTTCCCCACTTACAGGCATATAACCTTGGAAAATCACTCAGCTTCTCTAAGCCTTATCATCTTCATCCACATAATGGGCATACTTATAGCAAACTTTTGTTGAACACTTATTATATGCTAGGACATTTTTAAAAGTGTATTTCTGGCGGGGCATTGTGGCTCATGCCCGTAATTCCAGCACTTTGGGAGGTCGAGGCGGGTGGATCACAAGGTCAGGAGTTCAAGACCAGCCGGGCCAATATAGTGAAACCCCATTTCTACTAAAAATGCAAAAAAAAATTAGCTGGGCGTGGTGGCGCATGCCTGTAATCCCAGCTACTCAGGAGGCTGAGGCAGGAGAATTACTTGAACCTGGGAGGCGGAGGTTGCAGTGAGCCGAGATTGTGCCACTGCACTCCAGCCTGGGTGACAGAGTAAGACTTCATCTTACTAAAAAAAAAAAAAAAAAGTCTATTTCCATAAGTTCATTTAATATTTATAATAATTCCATGAATAAGTGTTATTTTTATCCCTGTTTCACATATCTGAATACTGCGGTTCAGAGAGATTAAGTAACCTGCCTAAGGTCACACAGATAGTAATGGATGAAGCCTGAATTTGAACCTAGGCAGGCAGATCCCAGAGCCTAAGAATTCAATGAAAATAGTCCCTGCCAAGAGCTTGGAAGTGTGCTTATAATGAGAGCTCAAAAATGGTATCTTAATATTGTTATTGGAGAAGAGCACCTTGAATCTTATTCCTACATGAGGAGTTATCTCCTGGGACTGTAAACCACCTTCATATCATTGTTTACCATTAATCATTTGTAGCATGTATACCCATAATAACAAGTTAACCTATACCTCCCCTATCTCTTTTCAGTCTCTTTAAGTAATGTCTATTATTGTCTGAAAAACACAAAAACTATACAGAATAAAGTTTACTGTATACCACCAATCAGCTGACTACTCTTTGGGTGGAGAGTTTATCCTTACAGTGTTTTCTCTTTGCACATGAATATTTGCTCATTTCCCCCCAAAATGTGAATTACTCTATAGATAGAGTTTAATCCTGCTTTTCCTCCCTGATGTTTATATCGTGAGCATTTTTCCATCTCATGCACTGTTCTGTGAAAACAGGATTTTTGTGATGGCACAATATTTCATTTTAAAGATAAAATGGAGAGAGGTAAGGGCAGCAGGAAGACCACACTTTCCCCTCCTCCCTGCTAACAGGATGGATCTAATGTGATTGGGATTGGGCACATATGCTAGGAAGAAGGATCATTGTGCTAAAAAAATTTACACACAAGGGTTGTACTTTCTCTTCCTTAATTTAGTTGAGGAAAGATTACTGTCTTTGTCTGAAGCTTTTCCTTTCTGTCCTTCCCTCTCACTGAATAGTGGTGTAATGAAGATATTTTGGTCTGAACTTATGAAGAGTGGTAAGGAAAATTCACCTAAGAATAAAGAGAATAAAGTCCAGTAAACTTACTAATAGCTCCCCTCCCTCCAAAGTGCCCCATATTATCAAAGGGATTGTCGATATTGTGTACATTTTGGTGTGTGCTAACAGAGTGATTGCAAAGCGAAGCTTGTTTATTTTTTTTAATCCGGAAGGTTTAAAGATACTATGGTTTTCTTACCTAATAATCAAAACAAACACATTTGATATATATAATAATACAATAACTACAATAAAATGGAAATAATAAGTAATTGTTATTGAGCCTTTACTATGTGCTAAATGCTTTATGCATTCCTATTTAATGTCTCAATCATTCTCCAAGGTAGAGATTGTTCTCATTTTGCAAAAGAGGAAATGGAAGCTGAAGTAGTCTCAAAGGTGTTGTGGGCATGGGTGGAGGGGCCAGGATTTCAATATAGACTGGCCTACCTTCAAAATAGTATTTTCCTACATGACACCCCACCAAGATGTTTTCTTTGAACTATAGGTGATGATTTTTTCAAAAAAATAAGCTCTTCATTTTAAAATAGCTTCAGATTTACAGAAAAGTTGCAAGAATATAACAGAGAGTTTCCATATACCTTGCACCCAGCTTCCTTTATTTTCGACATTACTAGGGTACATTTGACACAATTAATGAACTAACATTGATATGTTATTACCAACTTAAGCTCATAATTTATTCTGAGTTTCTTAGTTTTTAACCTAATGTGCCTTTTCTGTTTTAGAATCTTACTCAAGATACCACATTACATTTATTCATGATGTCTCTTTAGACTGTTTCTCAGATTTTCCTTGTTTTTAATGACCTTGACATTTTGAAGAGAACTGGCAAAGTATTTTATAGAATGTCTCTCACTTTGGATTTTTCTGATGTTATTCTCATATTTAGACAAGGGTTATTTATAGGTGATAATTTAAAAACAAAATAAAGTGAAACTTTATGTAACTGCCAAACCAGCCCAAACTGGCCCTGGCCCTATTCTGCTGGTAACAGAATGTTGCATTGGCTTATAGGCATTAACAGAGCCAAGACTGCAAGTGATACAGCCTAGGCATGTGTAACAGAAACAGCTTTGACCTCTAACAACATCCAGAACCAATGATTCCTCCTCATGGAACCAAGAAGATGGGACATGACCAGAACCTGCTGCAATATGACCGCCGGCACTCTTTCAAAGCAAGGGGTCTGTTGGCCAGGAAGATCTGGGACTAAAATCTGCGTCAACATGCCTTACTGTAAATGGTCAAATTTGAAGACCTCCAACTGGACCTTGCCAAGCCAACATTTGTAAATCCTTTCTCTTGTCATCCAACCCCTTAATACTTGCCCCAGGCCCCAAGTGAGGGAGACTGATTTGAGTCCTTCTCCTGTCTCCTCGCTGGCCAGCCTTGTAACAAAGCCTTTCTTTTCTCAAAAGCTGGTGCCATAGTATTAGTTTCTATGTGTGTGGGGCAGGGAGTCCATTTGCTGTATAACAGTCGCTCAATATCCACCACCAGCATGAACAAACACTAATGTTTTCCATACTTGCTTCTGAATCCTTTAAATGAAAAAAATAGATGATGAAACTGAGCTCCCTTTTAGGTCTGTCTCCAATTTTATTCCCTTTTCTCCCAAAGTCATGAATGTGTATTTTTTCTCATCCATGTTGTTATGTACATGTGTTACCTATATTTTTCAATAAATAGCATGCAGCAATATTTTGCACTTTTATTCCATAGATGTTATCATAATGAACAATCGATCTGCAATGTGTTTTTCTAGACATTAGATTTTTAAGATCTATGTTGATATATAAAGACCACTTTATTCATTTTTAACTCCTGAATGGTGTTTCCTTTTATGAATATGTCATGCTTATTCATTTGTCTAATGATGGACATTTAAGTTGTTTTCAATTTTTGTTATTGCAACAATATACAATGAGTATCCTTGTATTTATTCTTGGTGGAAATGGGTGAGTTTCTCTGCAATATCTATATAGCAGTGAAATTTGGGGGTATTAAAAATATAGCCATATTCGTCTTTTTTTCTAGGTAGGACCAAAACCATCTGTAGTTTAT
Organism: Homo sapiens; assembly: GCF_000001405.40. Taxonomy (NCBI): domain Eukaryota; kingdom Metazoa; phylum Chordata; class Mammalia; order Primates; family Hominidae; genus Homo; species Homo sapiens. The sequence continues at coordinate 63,422,715 of NC_000003.12, read as the reverse complement.
ACACTCCTGCCCCGGCACTGTGTTTCCATTATGTCCCATCATTGCTTATACTTGGTACTTTTAGACTTTCAATATTTTGCCAATCTGATGGGTGAAAATGTTTTTATTTAATTTATGACTTTATTGAGGCATAACTGATGTATAACAAACTGCATATATTTAAAGGGTACAATTTGATGAATTTTAAGAAATGCTTATACCCATAAAACCAGCACCACAATTGAGATATTGAAGATTTCCGTCACCTCTAAGTTTCCTTGTGCCTCTTTGCAATTCATTTCTTTCTCAATTTTTTATTCACTCAATGCGCTGTAGACGTTGATCATCTTGTTCTTAAAATAGTATTTTTTTTTCATGTGTCTACATGATGGAACAATGAAAAAGGAAAACCAATTGACATTTCCATTGTATTAGGGAAAAGGTCCCATTTTAAAAAGAAGGGAGAACACATAGCAATGTAGAAAGTAGTTAAGAACACTGATAAAATGAGACTGCCTTATTTACATCTTTCCCTCCACTTCTGATCCTGGGTGTGGTAAACAGGAGATGGCCTCAAGTTTCCCACCCCTTGGTGTACAAACCCTGTGTAATTTCCTAACCTGAATGTGAGTGGAACCTGTAAAAATAATGATACAACACTCACTGATTAGCCTACATTATGTGGCAAAGGGGAAGAGTTCTTGCAATATGTAATGAATATCCCTAATCAGTTGACTTTAAGTTAATCAAAAGAGAGGCTATCCCAAATGGGCCTGATATAATATATGAGCTCTTTAAAAGAGGTTCTAAAAGTCAGAAACAGAAGCCACAAAGATTTGAAAAAGCAGGCAAGCTGTCCTGGTAGCCTGGAAGAACCAAACTGCCATGTGTGAAGAGGGCCCTGTGGCAGAGAAGGGCAGGGCCTGTAGGAGTGTGGGGCCTCAGTCCTCCAGCTGTAAAGAACTGAATCCTGCCAACAACCAAAGAGCTTGCAAGAGGACCTAAAGCCTCAGATGAGATTGCAGCCCTGATTTCAGTCTGAGCAGAGTGCCTGGGTAACTCTTGCCCCATGGAAACTAGGAGAAAATAAATGTGCGTTGTTTTAAGTCTCTAAGCTCAAGGTAATTTAATATGCAACAATTGGAAATGAATATACAAGGCAACAACTGATCTGTTTTCTTTTAATATAGATTAATTTTCATTTTTTAGATTTTTTAAACAAATGAAATAATATTATATATATATATTTAGTCTGAATTTTCTCACTCAGCATAATGATTTTTGAGATTCATCCATCTTTTTGTTTATCAGAGCTTAGGTTTTTTTTTTCAGTGTATGGATATACTATATTTTGTCTATATATTTATCTTTTAATTAACAGTTGGTGGTTTCCAGTTTTTTGGCTATTACAAATAAAATTGCAAATCTTTGTGTGGATGTATGTTTTTATTTCTCTTATTTTAATTTGACGTTTCCTGATTACTAGTAAAGTTAATTATCTTTTCATATTGTGTTATCTACCTGAGCATCCTCTCTTGTGAATTGCCTATTAGAAGCTGGGCATAGTGGCTCATGCCTGTAATCCCGGCAATTTCGGAGGCCAAAACCGGGGAATCACTTGAGCCCAGGAGTTTAAGACCATTCCTGGGCAACATAGGGAGACTCCATCTCTACAAGAAAATTTAAAAATTAGCTGGGCATGGTGGTATGTGCCTGTAGTTACAGCTAGTTGGAAGGCTGAGGTGGAAAGATTGCTTGAGCCTGGGAGGTTGAGGCTGCAGTGAGCCATGATCACGCCACTGCACTCCAGCCTGGGAGGCAGCAAGACCGTGACTCAAAAAATTAATTAATTAAATTAAAAAATTGCTTCTTAGTATCTTCTGCCCATTTTTCTATTTGTATTTTTTCTCACTGATTTATAAGTTCTTTAAACATTCTGAATACAACTCCTTTGCCCATTATAAATGTTGAAAGTATCTTTTCCCAGTTGACTATTGTCTTTGTTTGATATCCTTCGTCATATAAAAATTTAAAATAAAGCCTAACTTTATCTTTAAAAAAATAACATTTGCTTTTATTACTTGTTTTAAGAAATTCCTCCTAGATCTGAAATTATAAAGATATTTTCCATTTTTAAAACTATAGTTTCAGAGTTTTGTTTTTCACAATTAGGTCTTTAATTCTTTGGAGTTTATTTTTGCATAAGGGAAGGTAGGAATACAATTTTTTTTCTATAAAGAAAGATAATTTCTCAGGTCTACATATCAAGTAGTTCATTTTTGCACTGATTTGCAGTTTCAGATACAGCAATTTCCATATATGCATTTATCTATTTTCCAGCTTTTTGTTCTGATGCACTTGTGTATTTGATTACTGCTATACCAATACCTTGCTGTTTTAATTATAATATCCTTGCTATAAGCCTCATATATATTATAACATTGCCCTCTCTTTTGTCTTCTCTCTCAGAATTATCTCGGCCTTTCCTGTATTTTATGCCTTTAGATTAAGTTGAAAATAAATTTACCAGGATACCTGAAATATTTGGTACATTTTTAATTAAAATGTCATTGAATTTATAGACTAATTGGGGGAAAATTTGCATCTTTACAATATTGAATCTTCTCATCCATGATCATGTTATATCATGCCATTTTTCTTGTCTTCTTTTTCAATGCATAAATAACATTTTACATATGTTTCCTATAAAGATCTTGCACTCCCTTTGTTAGATTTACTACTAGGTAGATAAGGTCTGAACATTTTATGCAAACCATCATAGCTATTTCCCTATGAAAGTTATAATGTGAAAAAACTGGAATCTTCACCAAATAGACTACTTTCAACAAAGAAAATGAATATAGAACTAGTATTGCTTATGAGCTGATGTCTAAAATGATATGTTCTCTGTTCTGTGTTAAGAAAGAAGAGCCCTTTTTGATCCTTCACATGAGAGCTTCACATGCCTTTCATGGAAAATCACCTTCTGCAGTCTGTGCTTAAGATATCAATAGTCTCTAACTTCCCTGACCCACTTCATGGGGCAACTGCTACTCAGCTCCTGATCATATTGCAATTGGGAAATGTGGGGGACCATAGTTGCTAGATTTTTTAGTTTTTCAAGAAAAGCTGACAATCCAGATTTTTATATAAAATCTTCTTACCTTTAAATATTAGTAAATTAGAAAAAAAATAAAAAACTTTATATTTTGTGGGACAAACTAAGCAGGCCTTAGACCTGATAGGACATGAGGGCTGTCTGAGTTCAATCTTTGGGGTAGCTCTGTCACCAACAACTTCCAGTTCAGCTTCTTTCCCTTAGACCACAACCCTTTGCCCAAGAGGGACATGCTTTCCAACTCTAAGTATTTGGTATCACAGAGTGTGAGCTGTAAGGGATATTAGAGTTTGTCTGGTCCTAGTTCAGTTTTGATGGCTATAGCAGTTTTGAGGCTGGGGCAGGGAGGCAACTAGTCTGGCTTCACACAGTGACCTGAAGGCAAGGCCAGGCCTAGAACTCAGGTGGGCTGAGTCCACATCCAGGGGGCTTGCCATCACTTACACTGCCTGATTACTTTGCAAAGCCTTCAAGGAACAGGCTGTGACCCTTCCCATGATGTCTCAAATAAATAAGAGTTTGTTTGACAAGTGAGACACTATTAAGATACCGTTCTGTTTGAGGATGCCTATGGAGGAACTCTAGAAAAAGTGGAGAGAATGTACAGTCACATAAATGTTGCCCTCTAAGAGGAAGTTAAAAATTCATGAAAATTATTAAGACTCTATTAAACCAAATATTCTACTAATTCTTAGTAGCTCCTGGGCCTAAATTCTAAGCAGTTGTGACCAGACTTTCCAGATTAAAAGGTGGAAAGACTGAGTGATATGATTCAGCTGGGTCCCCACCCAAATCTTATCTAGAATTCCCACAAGTGGGAGGCACCTGGTGGGGGTAATTGAATCATGGGAGGAGGTCTTTACCATGCTGTTGTGATAGTGAATAAGTCTCACGAGATCTAATGGTTTTATAAGGGAGAGCTTGCCTGCAAAACTCTCTGCCTGCTGCCATGTTGTGTAAGACGTGGCTTGTTCCTCTTTGTTTTCCACCATAGTTGTGCGGCCTCCCCAGTCACGTGGAACTGTGAGTCCATTAAACCTCTTTTTCTTCATAAATTACCCAGTCTTGGGTATGTCTTTATCAGCAGTGTGAAAACAGAATAATACAGTAAATTAGTACTGGTAGAGAGGGGCGCTGCTGTAAAAATACCCAAAAATGTGGAAGCGACTTTGGAACTGGCTAACAGGCAGGGGTTGGAACAGTTTGGAGGGCTCAGAAGAACACAGGAAAATGTGGGACAGTTTGGAACTTCCTAGAGACTTGTTGAATGGCTTTGACCAAATTGCTGATAATGATAGGGACAATGAAATCTAGGCTGAGGTGGTCTCAGATGAAGATGAGGAACTTGTTAGGAACTGGAACAAAGGTGACTCTTGCTATGCTTTTTCAAAGAGACTGGTGGCATTTTGTCCCCACCCCAGAGATTTGTGGAACTTTGAACTTGAGAAAGATGATTTAGGAAGAAATTTCTAAGTGGCAAAGCATTCAAGAGGTGACTTGGATGCTGTTAAAGCCAGTCAGTTTCATAAGGGAAGCAGAGCATAAACGTTTGGAAAATTTGCAGCCTGACAATATGATAGAAAGAAAAATCCCATTTTCTGAGTAGAAATTCAAGCCAGCTGCAGAAATTTGCATAAGTAATGAGGAGCTGAATGTTAATCACCAAGACAGTGTAGAAAATGTCTCCAGAGTATGTCAGAGGGCTTCACAGCAGCCCCTCCCATCACAGGCCCGGAGGCCTTGGAGGAAAAAAGTGGTTTCATAGGCTGGGCCCTGGGTCCCTCTGCTGTGAGCAGTCTAGGAACTTGGTGCCCTGTGTCCCAGCCACCCCAGCCATGACTAAAAGGGGCCAAGGTAGAGTTCAGGCTGTGGCTTCAGAGGGTGCAAGCCCCAAGCCTTGGCAGCTTCCACATGGGGTTGAGCCTGCCAGTGCACAGAAGTCAAGAATTGGGGTTTGGAAACCTCCACCTAGATTTCAGAGGATGTATGGAAATGCCTGGATGTCCAGGAAAAAGCTTGCTGCAGGGGCAGGACCCTCATGGAGAAGTCTGCTAGGGAAGTGCAGAAGGGAAATGTAGGGTGGGAGCCCCCACACAGAGTCCCTACTAGGCCACTGCCTAGTGGAGCTGTGAGAAGAGGGCCACTGCCTTCCAAACCCCACAGTGGTAGATCCAATGACAGCTTGTACTGCATGCCTGGAAAAGCTGCAGACACTCATCACCAGCCCATGAAAGCAGCCAGGAGGGAGGCTGCACCCTGCAAAGCCACAGGGGCGGAGCTTCCCAAGACCATAGGAATCCACCTCTTGCAACAGTGTGACCTGGATGTGAGACATGGAGTCAAAGGAGGAGATCATTTTGGAGCTTTAAGATTTTACTGCCCTGCTGGATTTTAGACTTGCATGGGGCCTCTGGCCCCTTTCTTTGGGCCAGTTTATCCCATTTGGAATGGCTGTATTTACCCAATGCCTGTACCCCCACTGTATCTAGGAAGTAACCAATTTGATTTTGATTTTACAAGCTCATAAGTGGAAGGGACTGGCCTTGTCTCAGATGAGATTTTGGACTGTGGATTTTCGAGTTAATGCTGAAATGAGTTAAGCCTTTGGGGGACTGTTGGGAAGGCATGACTGGTTTTGAAATGTGAGGACATGAGATTTGGGAGAGGCCAGGAGTGGAATTAGATGGTTTGGCTGTGTCCCCACCTAAATCTCATCTTGAATTTCCGTGTGTTGTGGGAGGCACCTGGTGGGAGGTAATTGAATCATGGGGGCAGGTTTTTCCTGTGCTGTTCTTGTGATAGTGAATAAGTCTCATGAGATCTGATGGTTTTACAGGGGGGAATTTTCCTGCACAAGCTCTTTGCCTGCTGCCATCCACGTAAGATGTCACTTGCTCTTCCTTGTCTTCCACCATAATTTTGAGGCCTCCCCAGCCACGTGGAACTGTGACTCCATTAAACCTCTTTTTCTTTATAAATTACAGTCTTGGGTGTGTCTTTATTAGTAGCATGAAAACGGACTAATACACTGAGGAGCATAGCAATAACTTCTGTGTTTTTTTTTGGTTTTTTTTTTTTTTTTTTTTTAAGACAGAGTCTCACTCCGTCACCAAGGCTGGAGTACATTGGCACAATCTCAGCTCACTGAAACCTCCACGTCCCGGGTTCAAGCAATTCGCCCACCTCAGCCACCAGAATAGCTGGGACTACAGGCACGCACCACCACGCCTGGCTAATTTTTCTATTTCTTGGTAGAGGCAGGGTTTCACCATGTTGCCCAACCTAGTCTCAAGCTCCGAACCTCAGGTGATCCACCCTCCTTGGCCTCCCAAAGTGCTGGGATTACAGGCGTGAGCCAGAGTAGCCAGCCAAAGGCATTTTTGATCCAGATTCTGTGTATGGGTGTTTACATGTGACTGCACGTAAACACACACATATAAATAGAATGAAATACAATAAAATGCCAGCCTTCTTACTAAAAACAGTCTTGTGAACTGAAATGTAAAGTTCAGTGATTCAACAGAAGAGTCTCAGTCAAATTAAGTGTATCTTACTCCAACCAATTGGCTTCAGCTTATTTGAAAGATCATCAGTGGGTTGATGAATAAGTAGATGCCTTGTTTGTAATCATCTGTTGCTTTCTGAGAGTAACAGTATGGCTAAGTGAATCAGGCAACTTTAAAGTGCTTTAAAACCACACAACTTCATTTCACAACTGCCATTACATGATTGACCAAAGAGCATTCAGAGATGGAATTTTCCATTTAATATAACTGCAAAGTGATTCAAATTAGCTGTGTTGCAATTTGCTGCAGGGAAAGGGTATTACCTAGATCTAAATATTTATTACAATTATAATTTATTGATTAGAAGGACGCTTGCAGAACACAGACTTAATTATTTGTGTTTGCAACTTACACCACTGGTTGGAGAACTATGGCCTGTGGGCCAAGTAAGGCCCACCAGCTGTTTTTCTTGAATTTTTATTGGAAAACAGCCGCGTTGATTTGGTTACATATTGTCTATGGCTGCTTTTGTGCTACAATGGCTGAGTGGAGCAGTTGTGACAGGTTCTACAGGGCCCATGAAGCCTAATACATTTACTACCAGCCCTTTAAAGAAAAAAACTGTCACATATGATCTGTCACATATTTTTCTTTTCTTTTTTAAATAACCTTTAAAAACGTAAAAAAAAAAAAAATTCTTAATTCTCTGAGACAGGATTTGGCTTTTTGGGCCAAATTTTTGGCCAGATTTGCCAGTCTCTGGTCTAGACAATTAAAACAATAAAGCAAATTTTAATTTATGGCATTTGCCTATTTCCATGGTGTAAATGCTATCAGCATGATTGGTTTTGAGCTACCAGCATGCTGTTGTTGAATGCTGTGTTGTGAGGGGATGTATAGGAGCACACCATTTTATAGTATTTTAACCATAAAGATACGATATGCATAAAGAACTGCAAGAGCATAGATAACAGTAAAAAGTAGGAAAAGAATTCATAAATAATATATTTTCAGCATGTATGATTTTTTTGTTATAACTCATTCAATTTTAAGTTTATGTAATTTACTTTTTAATAGTGAACTTATTTAACAACTGGATCATAAAATCCTTGAAAATTTAACAGTGGGCTCTGGTGAGCCAGTAAAAGCCTGCAGTAGCACATTCCTGAGTTTAGAAAATTTTGCACTTTTAGAGATAAAACGAAAGTATACAAATGACCATACTGTAAGTTAGAAAGTGGTAAGATTCAAAATATACATATGTATATAAGGAGAAGACTTCAGCATAAACACATTGGCTGACTAACTTCATTATATGTGCAAATGATATTCATTGCAATTGGGATCTATATAGGCTGGAAAGCTTCAGTTTATATAGACAGTTGGTAATGAGACTTACATATTCTCCTCCTCCAAATAAATTTTCTTTTAGCTTTAAGAAAAATAGTCAGTAGCAGGTAGATTTGATCTTGACTGATTCAAAATATTTAGTGGAAAAAATTCCCTATCTTTTTGTTAGTGAAGGTTGTTTCTGAAAGTTTTTGCAATCAATCTGAATATTCACAATATTTCTGAATTGCAATAATGAAAAGACAAAGACAGGTTTGTTGCAGCATTGTTGACATCTCACTGTCACTGTTTTCATGCTGAAGAAGACACTTGGCCCATTTGTTGCAGGAAGTCCTATTTTACATTTCTACAAATTCAATACACTTGGAACCAAGGCTGAAGTGACACATTTGCAACCTAATAAAACTCCAAAAAGTAAGAAATCCATCAGATGTGCCCCTATTGTGTGTGAGGTTTTTTCAAAAGATATTTAATGTTTTACATTTGTAAGAAAAAAGCCCACAAAACTAATTACTGTCAACTACATTTTAAGTTTTCAGATATCTAGCCAGCAGAAAGCTGTTATTAAATCACTGTAAGCCTTTTTTGCCTTTCTTCCCACATAAGAATCATTATCTTATTCACAATATTGGCTTCAAAACAGAGGTTGTCAATCAAGATACCCAAGCTACTGCCTGAGAAAGAACAACCAGGGGCCTTTGTTTTTCAGATCTCTCCCTCTCTGTCTCTCTCTCTCTCTATATATATATATATGTATATATATTTATATATTTTTTTCCCTCTCCTCTTGGGGTTTCTTATACTCACACCCAACTGTTACTAAGAAAATAAATGGAGAAAGGCTCCTAATTTGAGGATACTTCAGCTCCTAGCTTCTAAAATATCATTTTTTTTGATAATGTTCAACTCCTCCATTATCCTTCTAGGGCAGTGGAGCCTTTCACATCTGGGCAGCATGGAAAACAGTTGGTAAGGGATCTTTCTTTCCAGTTCCTCTTCCCCAAGCAGCAATCACCATCAGCAGCTGCCAGCAACTTACATGTAACAGCAGACAATAAAACAATAGCTCATAGTGATTTCAATGGGGTAAGCCAAAAGTATGCAGAGTGTTGCTATTTAAAGTTCTAGCTTAGCATAACTGTACTCTGCCAAAGTGGTATTTGAGGCTCTATTTGTTCTAAGGGTCTTTTCTTGATTTTTGTTCTCATCACTCATTTTAATGAAGGAAAATAGCTTTTGTCTAACTAGCAGAAACTTGATTTCCTATCTCGCTTTTTATGTGGATCAAATAAGCTATTACATAAGCCTTCAGGGGTTCCTTTTTAGAATTCTTTCTCAATTATTTACTCATTATTTAACTTAAGACCAAACGAATCTTAACTTTTACGTTAATAGTCTCATTGGCCTGTTAGCCTGTAGCAAACTGTGGCAAAAAGGTAACAGACTGTTACAGTTCAAGTCAGCTATAGTCAAAACATGGTGAGTCATGGAATATGATAAAAAGCAATATGCATCAATTAAAGAGAGATTAAAGACACACTGTACCTTGTTCCAAATTTGCTTCGTGATGGAAAAATGGTTTTTTAATGAGGAAGGTTATTTTATGGTTTCTAACAAGTGAGCAAGCCAATGTCATTTTTTGATCGTTATCTAATTTAACCATAAAAAGAATAAAGTATAATAGTACACTGATTTGTGTATTTTTCAATTGTTGTGCTTCAAATGAGATAAGATAATGACGTGAACACTTGGAACCCTGAAGGCACCAATAAACATAAAATCCACCTGCTAAAAAGATGCAATAGCAGGTTCCGAATTTGAGTGACATTTCTCAGATCTCTTATTAAAGCCATCCACCACGACTCCAGCAGAGTTATCTACCTAAAACACAAATCTGATCCTATTATCCCCTTGCACGAAATGCTTCAGTGGTACCTGGTAATCTTCAGGTTCAAGTTCAAAAGGTTTATAGGATGGCTGATCCCAGCCTTCTGCCTACATCTCTGGCCTTATCTTTTAATACTGCTCAGTTTCCAACTCTCTTCCTTCATCCAAATTTAATATTGATGATTCCTCAAGAACAGTGCCTGCTTCCATGACACTAAGTCTTTGCATTACTGTCTTCCCTTCCTAGAATACAACTCATCCCTGCGCCTCAACCCTAAAATCTACCCTACAATATTTGCCTTTTAAAAGAACCTTCTACACACCTTCATTACTTACAGTTTGTCTATTGACTTTTATATGTCTCAGCTATACTATAAACTCCTCTATGTCCATGTCCTTCTCTTGATTCTGTATCTCCAGTGCTTGGTGCAAGGTAGATGCTTGACAAAACTGCATGGAATAAATAGATGAATGTTCCAAACTTGAGCTTGAGTCTGGATTTGCTCAGATTCTAGCTTCAGCAGAATCCTGCTTTTAAGATCAATAAAGAAATATTTTCAGTGCAATACTCTTCCTGAAACTTCAGACCCTCATATCTGTCTACTTATTGTCTTCTCTTGAATGCTTCAGAGACACCCCAGTCTCAGCATGTGCCAGACCTGAAGACACTATTCTCACTCTTTTGCTGCCAAATCTGATACTCTTCCAGTGGTCCTTGTATCAGTTGCCCATCAGAAAAGCCAGTCACCACCCATTCTATATCTAACTTATTGTGAAGTTCCATTGATTTGCTTCCTAACTCTATCTCCAATCTACTCTACTCCTCTTCATCTCTCCTGCCAGTTCTGTATCCTGATCTAGTAATCCACTCTTGGCCTGCACTATCACAATTGTCTCCTTAGTAACTTTTTGAATTCATTCCATTCCTCTACCCCATCCACTGTTCCTACTATGGTCAAAATGGCATTTTAGAATGCACATCTGACAATGTTATCACAGGGCTTAAAACTCTTCAATAGCCTCCTACTGATTTTAGGAAAAAGATCAAAATCCTTAATAGATCTTCAAGACTCTGCATGTTCTTCCCTGACTCCCCAGTACCACCAAAGCCAGATCTTATTCCATTCTTCCCTCTTCTCTTCACTTCAAGTTCATCAGCTTTGCAGTTCTTCAAATGTGCCATGTTTACTCTGTCTCTAGGGTCTTTGAACATGCTGTTTATGTCTCCTGGAATACTCTTCTGCTCTCTTTCACCCGCTGGCTGTCTCTTGGCCTTCAAATCTCAACTGTAAAATCACTTCCTCAGGAAGGCATCTCTGACCTCCCACACTTGGTCGTTATGTGTATATAACTTTCTTTTATTATCAGTTTGTAGTTATATATTTGTCCATTGGTATGATCAGCCTTCCCATTATATAAAACTATTAGCTAGTATGAGAGCTGAGATTATGCCTGACTTACCCATTATTATATCCACCACTGCCTAGCGTGGAGCCAGGCATGCAGTATGTGCTCTGTAAGTATTCATTGAATGACTGCACAAACAGATCTAAGAGGACATAGGCCAGCAGAAACATGCTACCCACACCAATATGTTCAAAGTAGAACTGAAGCTCACCTCCTTTTCAAGCCTTACCACCTTTGACCTCAGACTCCTCAGACTTTAACTTCCCACCCACCCACACACCATTAAGTTAGTCATTTGTTGTTCTCTTTACCCAGGATCTGGCTTGAAACTTTTCTGATTCAGTTTCCACATTGCATCGGATCAGGTTTTTACTTAAAGAAGCAGAAGCTGACTGCAGCTCATTAAGCAGAAAACAAGTTCATTAAAGAACAGTGAGTAGTTAAAAGATACTGGGAAGTTGTTTAGAGAACTGGGCTTAATGCCAAATTTCTAGGAATAATGCCCCAAATTATGCTCCAAAACTAGCCTAACAAGATGAATTCTGCTGCCCTGCCATTGGTACTATTGAACAACTTCCTGTTCACACTGCAGCCTCATAAGTCAGGCACTCAACCCAACCATCACTGTCCTCCTCAAAGTCAGGGGCTTCTGCTGCCCCTCACCAGCTAAGTAGATACCAGTGTAAGCATTTTTCCTCAGATTACTCATTTCTGAACTGAAGTCTAGTGGGGGTGAACCTGATTGGTGGAGGATGGTCACATGCATATGTTCTAGCTGCAGAGGAGGCTGGAAGTGAGTTTTTAGGTTCCTACTTTGGAAACCCATCAGTTGGAAAAATTCTGCAAACATAATAGGGTGTTTAAAAGATACAAGGCAGACACAAACATGAGGGAAAACATGACCAATGCCTACTCCATAAATCATGATCAAAATTTTGGTATCTTGCTCATCTTCCTTTTGGTAATGAGCCTATGGCAATTTGCTTTACCCATTACACCTGAACTGATAGTGCATTAGGAAATTAGCCTGCTATCTGCCTGACATAGAGCAGACCCAGACCCAGAAAGATTTTAAAAACCAATTGTAAACTCTATGAAATTTCTATTTGAGATGACAGAAAGCAGTATTTCAGTGCATAAGCTCTGGAATCTCATGACTTGAATTTGAAACTCAACTCCATCATTTAATTAAGTTCATGATTTCAGTGGACAAAATACCAGAGATGATAAAGACAATTGTCATGTCTTGTTTTTGCAGTACCTAGTCCACATCTGGCATACAGTAGACAGTTCATAATTGCCTGTTGAATGAATAAATGGATAAGTAATTGCATGAATGAGTGACTTCCATATTAATCACAATGAGCAAGGTGAAGCTGTGTTAACAAACAATGTGTAAGTCAGTGGCTTGAGACAACAAAGTGTTTTTTTTGTTCTTGTCCACTAAAGAATGGATGGGGTTCTGCTCCATGTCACCTCTTCCCAGGATGCTAGTGAATGGAGTTTCTACTCTCTGGAACGCTGTTGGGGCACAGGGAAAGAGAACACGAATTGTGCATTGGCTCAGAGCTTCCACGCTGATGTGACGTCTGTCACTTCTACTCATACTTTATTAACCAAAGCAAATTATGTAGGCACACCTAACTCCAGGTGGGTAGAGCAGTGCTCAAAAAGAGAGCTTGAAATATATAATGGACAGCAGAAATGATGGCCTTAACTTTTCTGAATCTCAGTTTACCCATCTGTAAAATAAGGACAATAATAACATCTACCTCATAGGGTTGTGAAGACAATGAATCACACATAGTAAACATTCAATACATATCTGAAGAACAATATATAAGCTTTGTGAAATTTATAAGGAGCATTATGATATAAGGAGTGTGTGAATTTTAGGAGAACTTGACCACCATGGTCCTCACTGTACATCTTCATGGTGGCAAGACAGCAGAGCCCAGGATTAATGTCAGCCAAGAGTCAAATGTAGGAATTAACCTGCTGAAACCTGAAAGTAGGACTCATAGTGAATGGATGCAGCACAGCAAGATGTGATCTGGAAGCATCAGTTTGTGTGCTTTTCTTCCCATCCTTGTTTATGACCCTGCCTCCTATCACTCAGAGGCATCACTATGCCTCAAGGAGAACTGATGTAGTTACAGCAGAAATGTAAAAAGAACAAAAAAAAATCGATGTTTAGTTTTTCTGAATCCTAAAATATGTTCTTAAAGCCCACATGAGAAACAAAAGCTTTGAAAGCCAAAGCTTTTGATATATAAGGAGACTTGTTGGGAGAAAAAAAGGGCTTTTGAGAATGAAAATAGAAGGCCCTGAGGAATGAACAAATGATATAGGGTTTATGCCATGATAACATTGGAACAAGAAGAAAGAAAGCTGCAGATGGATTGATCTTTAGGGAGTCAGGACAAGGTTCACCTGGTTTGGAGGGGTAGAAAAGGGAGGAAGAGGGTAGAAGAACTTAAGATCTTATGGAGGTTGGTAGGGTTACAGGAGAGACTCCATGAAGAAGAGTGGAGGGCAGAGTTGGCTTGGAGACTGTGAAAACACTCCGTGGGCAACTGTTAACTTTAGGTGTCAACTTGAGTGGATTAATGGATTCCCAGATAGCCGGTAGAGCATTATTTCTTGATATATCTCTGAGAGTGTTTCTAAGAAAGATTGGCATTTGAATCAGTGGACTGAATAAGGAAGATCTTTCCTTGCCCCATGTGAGCAGGCACCATCCAATCCATTGAGGGCTCAGATAAAACAAAAAGGCAGAGGAAAGGTGAATGTGTGCTCTCTCTCCTGGAGCTGGGACACCCTTCTTCTCTTGTCCTTGGGTATCAGAATTCCAGGTTCTCCAGCTTCTGGACTCCAGGACTTGTACCAGCAGGCCACAAGTTTCTCAGGCCTTCTGCCTTGGACTGAAAATTACACTATCAGCTCTCGTGGTTCTCAAGCCTTCAGACTTAGATTGAGACATACTACCAGCTTCCCTGGTTCTCCAGCTTGCAGATGGCATGCTGTGGAACTCATCAGCCTCCATGATCACATGAGCTCATCCCCATAACAAGCCTTCCTTCCTTTTCTTTCTTTCTTTCTTTCTTTCTTTCTTTCTTTCTTTCTTTCTTTCTTTCTTTCTTTCTTTCCTTCCTTCCTTCCTTCCTTCCTTCCTTCCTTCCTTCCTTCCTCTTTCTTTCTTTCTTTCTTTCTTTCTTTCTTTCTTTCTTTCTTTCTTTCCTTCCTTCCTTCCTTCCTTCCTTCCTTCCTTCCTCTTTCTTTCTTTCTTTCTTTCTTTCTTTCTTTCTTTCTTTCTTTCTTTCTTTTCTTTCTTCTATTGGTTCTGTTTATCTGGAGAATCCTGACTAATACAGCAGCCAAGGAAAAGCCAAGGCAAAGCCTGCAGATTTCCACTGCCATTAGGGAAACCACTGCATGTCACCATATTAAGGAACCATGCTAGCTAGTTTTCTAAAGATGCCCGTGAATCATTCAATAGAAAGATGGCCTTAGTATGTCCAGTATCTTTGCCAAGCCCCAACACAACTGGACATTCCAATTCCTTTCAAATGTCTCAAGGTACTGTAATCTTCAGAAGACAGGCAGTTGATATCAGCATGGTAGTGTTGAAGTGAGAGCCCTAGCATCTGTACTTGGGTGGGAAAACAGACACCCACTCTGGGTTAGTCTAACTTCTGAGAACTCTTTCTACTTAACCCACCATTTGTCTTGCTCTCCAACAAGATAAAATTGTACTCCTGGATCCACCTCTCAAGGGAATAATTTCTACGTGGTATATTTTTTTCCTTGAGCAAAGATATTGTTGAAAAAATATATATGATTACAAAGAAGGCATTTAACTTGTATGATATTAATGCTGATAAATAAGTAACAGCTAAGACATATTGAGCATTTACTCCTTGTCAAGTCCTGTTAAACACTTTAAATGGAATATCTTACAATAGCATCATCTCCATTTTACAAATAATAAAATCAAAGTCAAGAGAGAAATGTGAAACAGGAAGCTAGGATGATTTGAATCTGGATTGGCTGATTTCAGCATCCACAGATTCGACCACTATATTACATTGCTCCCTTAGTATAAAATGATAAGCTGTTCATAACTCATGTAATCCTTCACTCATTCAAGCATTTTTTGAGCTTGCTGTAAATTAAGCACTGTGTTAATAACAGGGATAAAGAAGTCAATTGGACACAGTGTTACCACTCTGGAGCCAATCCTGGTCTATGCTGTAATGGTTCATTATTACTGCTGTCCTAAACTGCTTATGTGATTTCTCCACGGAAAATCAAGATGCAATGGAAATATCTTTGTTCAAATTTCACCACCAGGTACATGTTTGATCCAGGGAAGTAAAGAAATCATTTAACTTAATTTGTTACCTGTTAGATATTTTCAATCCTCCAATTATAAGGTCCTGGGACTAGGACAAGTAGCGCATGAACTCAAAGTATTATAAAGTCCAAAAAAGTTCACAGGCGAGCTAATATTCCTTAGATTCTCGATAGTCAACATGGACCGATCTGTGGCCATCCAAAGGGCACCAAATCTATTCTATCAGCAGTAAAAATTTTTAGACTGGAACTTATGTTCTGGTCATGACTTCTCATTGTTGTGGAGTTCAGTGTGGGCCTCTGAAGTTAATAGAACTCATTCCTGCCATCAAGGAACTAGGCAACAATGTTAAGAGAAGAGACTTCTTCTGTTACTCCAGTGAGACCTCGTTGTAAGATTGCTCAGCTTCAAATTCTACATCCAATAAAGCTTTCCTTTGTCTTTTCCACTTTGGGAACTTTTGTTTCTTTCTGACCAAATGCCTACCTGCCTTGTGTGTCTCTGTCTTCTTTTCCTCTCTGACAGGCAGTAATGTGCCACGGAGAGAGAATCAGAGTCAGGCTCGGCTCTGGCCTGTCCTAACTTGGACATAAAGCAAAATCTTTCTCAGTCTAGGTTCTTAATTTAAAAAAAAAAAAATGGAATCACATCACCTACTTCCTAGAGTCCTTGGAAGATTAAAAATAATACATTCCCTAAACCTGGCACAGTGATGAATAAAAATAAAGCATGTACTGAATACCTAGCCCATGCTTAAGTGTTCATTATTTGATTTCTTCCTTCTTTTTTACATTTCTTACCCCAAGCCAATGTTTTTTTCTACAACAAAAAGAATAAATCTCACTGAAAATACAGGGATGTTGGTCCTGAAAACTATACAGGGCATAGGTGGCTTTTTTTTTTTTTAAAGCTGCATTCTAAACCCACGCACCTCAAGACTTGAATGTTATCCTCATCTCGTTGTTCTCTAACATTGATTTCCAGTGAGAACACAGGCTCTGGAGTCAGACTGCTAGTGCCCAAATCCCAGCTCTGCCACCTTCTGGTAGTGTGATTCTGGGCAAGAAACTGAACCTCTCTGATCCTCGATGTCCTCTCTACAGGACAGTAAGAATAAACTGAATATACCCATCTCCAGGTGGTGTTGTGAAGATTAAATGAGAAGCAATGACAGAGTGTCTATCATAGAGAAAATGTCCAACCAGTGCTATTATTTGCACCATTGTTACTAAGTTATTATTGCTATTGGAACCAGCATGTTGGCATGTTCTCCAGTAACACAGCATTCAAACAAGGCTTTGTGGATTCTATTATTTAATGTTCTTTTCAAATCCATTTATGCTCTTCTATCCTCTGGCACATGCCACCCCATCTCTGACTCAGAATCTTGCAATAGTCTTGTAACTGCTCTCCCAGCCTTGCTTCCTCCACATCACTGTCCACATGGCAGCCTGAAGGGTCTGTTTTAAGCATTAATATGATCATCTCACACTCTTGCTCAACACCTTTCATCTGCTTTCTACTGTTCTTAAGATTAGGTTCTTTCTTTAACACAGTCTATGGGCCCTGTGCTATCTGGGTCTCATCTCTGTCTGTAGCCTCAACACAAAACAAGGCCTTCTCCATCCTTTATGATTCAGCCAGACACAGCAATTTACACTTCCTTGAAGGAGTGGAAAGCACAGAGCCTTCTGTGCTTTGCTGTTCACTCTTGCCTTACCTCAGCATTTGGTACAAGCTTCCTGTCAGTTTGTAGAACATTTCTTTGGAGAAGGTTTCCTTAACCTGTGTTGTGTGTTTTCCTTGTGGTTTCATAGCCTCACGTATTTCTTCTGTTAGACCACTCATTGCATGGTTTACTATTTTCCCATTGAATTCTGAAGCCCCTTTCCATAGACAGCTACAGAGAGAAATTGAGTCTACCTTGTTCATCACTGCATGCAGCCATGCTTCTCACTTGAGAAAGGGGAAGGACAGAGGAGTAGCTGGAGGCAGGGAGCCAGTAAAACTGATGTCCTGTTCCTTAGGAATGTCATCAAATAATGGGATGGATTGTTGTACCTGCTTGGTTCTCATCATATATGACACACAGTAAGTACTCAACAAATGTTTGTTGAATAAGTGACCAAATAAATGATCATATGTCCACCTACACTGCTGGCTGGTAATTTCTGACTACATAGAGTTAGTGCAATGCCACTCCCTTCTGTAGACTTTTAAATTCCAGCTTGAGAGGGGAGGTTAATTTTGTCTAACCCCTGAGATTTATGTGAAACGTGTTAAATACATGAAGCAGATATTCTATTTAATAATCAGGTAGCAATTGTTTGTATTAAAAGGAGAGTACTTTCAAAATAATAATAGGATAAATATTTAACAAATAACAAATATTAATCCTATGAATTATGATTTTTACTTGAAAATAAATATAATTAAAATATCTTATAAAGTAGAATGATCATGATCATACAAGTTATTTGAAGCACAGGGGTCTCTGTAGTGAATAAAAAGCATGTAATTAAAATTTCATTGAAATGATAGTTTATAAAAATGGCAGTCTGACCCAGTTCTAAGGAAAATCAGAAAGATACAGCTTAAAATGTTCCAGTGAAACCATGAGGCAAAGCTTTAAGATAATTGATAATTGATTTTCTTTTAAATAAGGGATCTTGTCTGAAAAACATTTTTTATGATTTTCCTTCATATATACTACATAATTCATGTGAGACTATTATCATTGTTGTAGTTCTTTGTTAAGAAATCTATTTCACTATAATTCTATTCACTGTAATTTCCTTAGTAACAGGCTGCTCTCTTCTTTTAAAAACTGTTAAAACATCATTCACATCACATTCTAGATGTGGATCCAGCTATTCCCAATAGCTATTCAAAAAACGTAATCACCATAATTATTGTTGACATCTAATTAACATTCAGCTTCCTTTCTACAGCATCTACAGCTGGACAAACCATCTATTCCAGGATAAAAACGAATGCTCTGTTGCCTTCTCTTAAAAACATAAAACAAATCAGGATCCTAACACCTGGGCTCAGTGTTTTTGTTCTCTAGTAAATGGTGGTTGGAGGTAGGGCAGCTAACATGAACACCTTTCTAAATATTATCAACTGATAAATTGAACCCAGTCATATGAAATTAAATCCACCCTACATGTGATAGGAATGCTGATGTTTACATCCAAGGTAGGTGTTGTGGTCGATCAAGGATGGCTCCCAGAGCCTCTCAGTGCACAGTTTTTTGATGAGGCTTCCCTTGATCCAGCTCCTTTCTCTCTGGCTTACTTCATCATTTGCTACCCTCTTCCTTGTTCTCTCTTAGGTTACATCCTGGTCTCCTTCCAGCTCCCCCATCATGTTCTCTCTCACCTCTGTGGCTTTGACTATGCTACACCTCTGTCTTCTTTCACTATTGTGATGGTTGAGGGGTGTAGGCCCTGAGGCTAGAACCTCCAATTTCGTGTTTCAGCTCTCCATACTGCAAGTATGACCTAGAGCACATTAGCTTAGCTTCTGGGTTCCTGTGCTGTCTCATCTGTTAAATGAGGATGGTATCCAATAAATGTACCCACTTTGTGGGGTTATTGTGAGGATTAAATATGCCTCTGTCTCATCCTCTCTCTCTATGTGTGTGTGTGTGTGTGTGTGTGTGTGTATGTGTATACATACGTATGAGAATGTGTGTGTGTGTGTATATATATGTATGTACATATATATATATTTATATAAAAGCAGTAACACAGTAATGCAGTAACACAGCACTCAACCAAGGCTTCGTGGACTCTATTATTTAATGTTCTTTTCAAATCCATTTATGCAATATTTAGGCAATTCATTTAGGCAAACTCATAGTCCAGACTAGGAACTGATAACACTTTTACTTCTACCTCTTTCAATCAGCCAGAGCATGTTATATGGTTGAATACAAAGACAAGATGCAAGAAAATACGCTTTAGTGGGAGGAACTACAGAATTAATGGCAGAATGTGGATATATAATTATGTTACTCGGGAAGAAGTAAACTATTGACACAATAATATATATAAACATTCTCTCTGTTAATGTTTACTGTATGGTCTCTTCTCCTGTCCAGAGCCCCTTGGTCTCATATTTGAGATCGTTATCTCTAGAAAGGCTTCCTTAGTGTTCCAGGACATTTTCTCTAGAGAATCTTCATGTTTCAGAAAAGTTTAGTTCTCCATCCTGTGTGCCCCCACAGCACCTGGTACTTCCACACTTGCATCACCATCACACTTGCAATGACTATGTCAAGTGCGCTATGCTTTATTTATTTGTGCAACAAATATTCCTCCAGCTGCCACTCTGTACCAGGAACTGGGGATATAGCAGTAAACGAAAAGAGTTCCAGGCAGAGGGAACAGCTAAAGCAAAGGTTTGCAAGATGGGCCTGGATTAGGCCTCTGGATTCACCTCTTTTCCTCTCCTTCAGTGAATGGCCACAAAGCACACTCCCACTGCTTCCTTCATCTTGGAGTCATCCTAGCTATGCCCACTGTCACAAATAGGCTGGCCTTTTTTCCTCTTAAGTTTTTGTCATACAGAGGGGTCAATCCCGATGAAATAGCAAAAGGACAGTGTTTCCAGAATCCTTTATGGTTCTTGTCATCACAGACCCTGGATTATAAAATACTAACTTGCTTTTGGGATAAGAACTAGAATTCATATTGAATTTCTATCCTCTGATTTTTATCATTTAGAGCAGTGGTTCTCAACTGGGGGAGATTCTGCCTCTCCCCGTTCTACCCTTAGCCCCAGGCCCCAGGGACATCTGACAAAGCCTGGAGACATTTCTGATGGTCACCACTTTGCAGGGAGCGCTCCTCATGTTTAGAGGCCCGGGATGCTGCTAAACATCCCAGAGTGCACAGAACAGCCCCATAATGAAGAATTATCCAGCCCAAAATGTCAATAATGGCTGATCTAGAAAGTGTCTTCTTCAAACCTCTCCTTCCTCCTTCTGGCTGCAGGGCCTCCTTCCTCTGCAACATTGCTCTTCATTTATGAGCATGTAGGCTTGAGTATATGAAATTAAGGATGAACAGCAGGGGCCTATTTGTCTTGAGAGAGAAATGCATCTCTCTTAGGATCAGCAAACTGGAGAAGACTTTGTTCTCTAGGTGTCTCTCTGGCAGAAGACATTGCTTTCTTTATCTCCTACTGGCCTCATGTTTCTCAACTTTCAGAGATACTGAGCCCAGGGATGACAAATTGGGTTCATCCTGCACTACCACTTCATTAGATTGGTAGCAGCTGTTTGGAGCACAATTTTGATTCCCACAAGGATTCCCAAGGCCACATTCATGCTCTGCAAAAAAGTACAATCAACTAGTGATGTCCATCAAGAATACAGGCACAGTACCAGGTATATGCCATCTCTTCATGAGAGAATAGCTCTGTCTTTTTTTTCTGTCATTAACCTGATTCCATAGTTCATTTTCTGCTCTGGGCTAGACACACGACTCTAAAAAGTTCAGCTAATGCCATTCAAAACTGCACAGACCTCCCAGGGCAGCCAGTGTGCAGATAACGAAGCTTTTCTGTGTTTTCTCCCTACCTTCTCATTCTTTGTCCTTAGGAACAGCATGGGAGGGAGGTAGACATGACCACTGATGTCCTGTGATTGGAGTGGCACTTCCTAGCCACGCCTTATACAGTTCTATTTGGCAATAGACATAATGATCATCACTGTCCTTTTCTTCTTACTTCTAATTGACCATAGCAATCGCATGCTCTTAACTAAATGGCTCTCATCAAGCATTTATTTGATTCGTGGATGGCCTGAGTGCATATACACCTGCAGGCCACTCATAAGAAAATTCAGCTATCCTTTTGGGTACTTACTTTGTTGTTTCCCTTACCCACCCCTGCGCCACCAATCTGCCTGCAGACTTCCTTCTAATACCTTTATGAGTACATGAATGCCATCGTTTTATCTCTTTTCCTTTTCCCACCTGCATTATAGGCCTCAAAGATGTTTTTGTAAACCACCTCCCTCTCGAGCTGGGTCCTCTTGTTATCATCATAAAAAAAAAAACCTTTTTTGTGTATTGCATCTAATTCCTATACCCCCATGTTGCCTTTGCCATTTGTTGCTTTTGTGCCAATTTTGCTTTCCTTCTGGACACCCTCAGAGGATTTTCCATCATATGTATCAAGCCATTCTGTGTTGCTATACCTCTTCACACACTGGCCCTACTGCTATTTAATTAATTTAGATTGCTCTGCTTCCCCTTCCTACAGAATCCTTGTTTTATTTTGGGAAATTACGTCTTCCCCATTTTGTTCAATTTGATGAGTTAACCTAGTACTTGCCTGTGGTGGGTTTGACATATGTCCACAAATTCTTTGACACTCCTGTCTTTGAGTGGTGGAGCCTAATTCCCCTCCCTTTAAGTGTGGGCTCAGTTCGGTGACTCATCAATGAATAGAATGTCATGACAGCAATGGTGTATGACTTCCCAGGTTATCTCGAAAAAGGCACTGTGGCTTCCTCCTTGATCTCTCTCCTGGGAAGTTTCTTGCTGTGTAGAATATCAGCTGCCATGTTTTGAGGACATACAAGCAGCCTTGTGGAGAAAGCCAATAGACAGTGAAATAAGGCATTCTGCCAACAGGCAGCTCTGACGTGCCATTGGTGTGAGTAACCCATCTTGGAAGCAAATCACTCAGTCCTTCAGGTTACTGCAGCCGTGACTGACATCTCGATTGCAGTTTCATGCAAAAACTCATATTAGACCCTCCCAGCTAAGCTGCTTCTGGACTTCTGACCTGCAGAATCTCTGTGGGATAATAAATGTCTATTGCTGTTTTATGTCTTTATGTTTTGGGGTATTTTGTCACGCACCAATAGATAACTAACATGGCGTACCTCACTAAGAAGATAAGAAGTAGAAAAGCCCATGTATCCATTAGCTACTGCTGTGTAAGAGTCGCAAAATCTTATTTTCATACAAATATCAGCATTCTTTTCTTTGTGCATCTATAGGTCATGAGGATGGCTCTGTTAACCCTGGTTGAGCTTGCTCATCCTCTGCAGAATGGGCTGGGGACTGGTTCACTTAAGTGGCTCTGCTTCATTTGACTCTCATTTCCACTGAACAACAGTCTGTTGTAGGCGCTTTTCTTTTCATGGAAATAGGATACGCACAAAATAATGAGCAAAAAATGGGGAAGCCTTTTAAGGTCCAGACTAGGAACTGACAACACTTTTACTTCTATGTCCTTCAATCAGCCAGAGAAAGTTACGTGGTTCAATACAAAGACAAGATGCAAGAAAATATGCGTCAGTGGGAGGAGCTACAAAGTTATATGGCAGAATGTGGATGTACAATTATGCTACTTGGGAGGGAGTAAACTTGGCACAATAACCTAGTCTACCACAGGCAAGGTCCACCTGCTATGGTCTGAATGTTTGTATCCCCCCAGATTCATATATTGAAACCTAACCTCCCTTTTGGGAGGTGATTTTGTCATGAGAGAGGACCCTTATGAGTGTGATTAGTACCCTTGTACAAGAGGCCCCAAGCTCCCTTCCACCATGGAAAGACATAGCAAGAAGGTGCCATCTATGAGGAATGGGCACTCACCAGACAACAAATCTGCCAGCACCTTAATTTTGGACTTCCAGACCGCCTATAGAAATAACTAAAGTTATTTCTAAATAAAGTTATTTCCCAAGGCCACATTCAGGCTCTGCAAAAAAGTGCAATCAACTAGTGATGTCCATCAAGAATACAGGCACAGTACCAGGTATATGCCATCTCTTCATGAGAGAATATCTCTGTCTACAAGCTACTCAGTTTATGGTTATTTTGTTGTAGCAGCCAGAAGGGACTAAGACACCCTCAATGCAGCAGGCACTGGGACTAAAACTGATCTAATCAGATGGCCTCTTGCAGGAATTTGAATCTTAAATGGTGCAAAGTCCAACATTTTGCATCTCCTTCATTCTAGCCATAGGTCCTGATGTAGCTTTTCCTACCATGAGAACATTGATGTATTCCTGCCTCCTAGCCCAAGAAATGTCTTAGTTTCTGCCTATTTTTAAGCCTGAGTCTCTATCCTTCATGTCAATTCCATGAGCATCAGATACTTTTTCAGTAACTGTCCTTCTGCTTAAGTCAGTTGGAGTCAGTTCTGTAGCTGGCACCAAAAGAATCCTTAAAAACTGCAACTTCTCTTCAGATATCTGAAGCCAGCTATATCCCAGGCCTTACCTTCTTCCCAGTTCACCATCTGTGGTCCCCTCAGATATTCCTCAGGGACTGTGGTTTAGATTCTCCCACCATTTAGTTACTGTTATCTGTTATCTTCTGAATACATTCCTCTGAAAGTACACTTTTTTTTTTTTCTTTTTTGAGACGGAGTCTCGCTCTGTCTTCCAGGCTGGAGTACAGTGGTGTGATCTCAGCTCACTGCAAGCTCCGCCTCCTAGGTTCACGCCATTCTCCTTTCCTTAGCCTCCTGAGCAGCTGGGAGTACAGGTGCCCACCACTGTGCCCGGCTAATTTTTTTTTTTTTTAATATTTTTTAGTAGAGATGGGGTTTCACCATGGTCTCGATCTCCTGACCTCGTGATCTGCCCGCCTTGGCCTCCCAAAGTGCTGGGATTACAGGCGTGAGCCACCGCGCCTGGCCAAAAGTACACTGTTAAGTGGCAGATTCAAATACAGGTCTCTATGTATATTTGACATGGCAGAGAATAAAGAGTGCATATCTCTTCATTCTAGATACCATGCTTTTATTACTGGAGCCTAAGATTCCATTTGCTTTTACTTCCAACCCAAAATCAGAAAACTTAACCTTTTTTTAAGGCAGTGCTGCCAAGTGCCAGCTCTTACGCTCTATCTATGCAGTTACTTTGTCTTCTTTTGAATTGGAAACCCCTTCTTAATTTAGGAGTTGACTTCATTTACAGAAGACAAAGAAGGACAATCAAACTTGGGGTGAGCCATGTCCCCAGAAGTAAAGTATTCACTTGATCATTTTGCAGCCCAGGCTCTTCTAAAAGGTTCACCCTCTTTTCTTCACCACACCACCCTACAACAGTGACCAGCTTTTCCATCCTCTGTCCATTCCCAAGAGTAACAGGAGATTCCATTTCCCATTATATCGTGAGTATTTTACATATATCAAAATGATTTCTTTGCTAAAGCTATTTCTATACTTGTCTCAATGTCACTTTTTATTTTCTTTAAAGGCAATTCTTAGGCCCCAAAAGATAAGAGAATTAATGTCTCTTGAATGCTTTTATGAGCCATTATCGTATTTTTTGAGGAAGCTATCATCTCCATTTTTCAGATGAGATGAAGGTTTTTATAGAGAAAGTAACTGATTTGTTCAAAGTCATACAGCTAGTCAGTGGCAGGGTATAGGTTGAAACTGAATCTGCCTAATGCCAAAATTGGTAGTCTTTCTTCTGCACCATATTAGATGGTCTAGTATTGACCTGGCTTCTGATATCACAGAACTTCAGAGCGAGTAAGACCTCAGGAATTGCTGAATGTAGTGGTTTTATAACTGTCATTCTCTGGGTCCAGGAGTTTCTCAAAAGTGCCTTAGAAGCTGCTAGAAAAAGGAGAATGCAGGAGGAATTAGGGAGAAAAAAAGAAGTAAGGGAATAAGTGAAAGGGAGGCAAAGTAGGTAAAACTCTAGACCACTCAGTTCTGTTTTCATCAGATTAGCTCAATTTCTGTTTTATACCAGAGTTTCAACTAAGATTTTTTAAGTTCTCTGCATTAAACAAAGTTTAAAAACTACCAGTTTAAATCAACCCTTGCATTTTCCTGACCTATGATTCTGAAGACAAGTTAGGTGGTTGGTTCCAGATCTCAGTAAATAATAGTCCCAAGATACTTTGCATCCCAATACAGCACTTTCTCTTCTCTGCCTCCCTACAGCCTTCTTGAATTAACTCCTCCCTTCCCCATCACCATATTTTTAATGTGAATTTTTTTTTTTTTTTTTTTTTTGAGACGGAGTCTCGCTCTGTTGCCCAGGCTGGAGTGCAGTGGCGCTATCTTGGCTCACTGCAAGCTCCGCCTCCCGGGTTCACGCCATTCTCCTACCTCAGCCTCCTGAGTGGCTGAGACTACAGGTGCCTGCCACCACGCCTGGCTAATATTTTGTATTTTTAGTAGAGACGGGGTTTCACCGTGTTAGCCAGCATGGTCTCGATCTCCTGACCTCGTGATCCACCCGCCTCGGCCTTCCAAAGTGCTGGGATTACAGGCGTGAGCCACCGCGCTCGGCCAATGTTAATGTTTTTAAAGTTTTAGGCTGTTCCCTCTTATTCTGTCTAGTACTCAAGAAGCCTGAAGTTATAGGCAGAGAGTTCTCTCAGGAAATAAAACAAAAGAAAATGCAGGTATGAAATATTTAAATGCTCCAGTTTGCATCTATGTCAGATTTTAAGTATTGATGGTCCCTGAGCTGAAGGAAGACCTCGGGCCTCCATCATACATCTTTTCAAACTAAAGACCTGATAGTCCAGAGATTTATCCAGGAGTGTTCTTGACATGTTAAGAAAAAGGATGTTGTCAATCTGGCAGCTGAAGATGTTGGCTAAAAAAGAGGTGATACCTGAACTAATACTATTTCTGAAAGGGATACTGATTTAGGATGTCTTGGGAAGGAGCGACTGAAAACTTCTCCCCTCCTTCCTCCCCCTAGACATGGGATATTGACTTGCTCACAGAGTTGATTTTATAATCTTCTTCCTCAGGTTTCACTTCTACAAAACTCATTTTGTCAGAAACGGAGCTCTTGAAGTTTCATTTTTAGGCTAATAGCTTTTCCAAGAAGCAAGATCTTGAGGAACCTTGTGATATGGATGAATCACTGATTTGAAGGGCAATTAGAGAGTCCTTTTATAGTGAGGGCATACCAACTCCAGAATTAATTGTGGAGCGGATATCATACAAAAGACTATGCAATGTGCAGGGGTAATCACTCCAAGGAAATAAGTTTATAACACGTCGTAGCTGTTTTCTGTCTGGTCAAGAGTTCAACCATGGATGTTGGTTGTGCCTGTGTGGTTATTATTAGGTAATAGCTAACATGATTAGGCTGCTTTCTATGGGCTAACCATTGCTTTGAATCCTTTCCATGTTCTTATTCATTTAATCTTCAAAAGAAATGAGGAATTTGAGGTAAAGAGATTAAGTAAAATGGAATGTTTTAGAACTTTTAAATCCCTCAAAAAAGGAAAAATGTAAAATTCCAAGGAATGACTTTGTACCCACCAGATGAGAAAAAAAAAAGAACATTTAAGTATGATCCTCAATGCAGATAAAGTTACAGTGATAAAGCTACGTACACTGAAATAGCTAACATATATATAATATGTATATACGTACAATACTTGGCATATATTAAACATTCAAGGTTTGTTATCTATCATAGCTAGTTATTACTATTACCTCACATGTAATGGGAAGACAGCACTAGCACAGGTAAGGTGAGCTGTGTGACCTTAGGTATCTTACTTAGCCTCTCTGATTCTCTGAACCTCATCATGTCCATTTGAAAATATATATAATTATAGTATTTTCCTCACAGGATTGTTATGAGTTTCAGGTAGGATACTGTGTATAAAGTGCTTAGCACAGTGCCTGGCACACAGCAATTACTGAATAAACAGAAGCTAGCATTTTTGTTACTGTTATTATTACTACACGTATTTTGCCAGCCACACTGAAAATGTGTGGAACCCTTCTGGAAAATCAGTAGGATAAATTCACATAAAGAGTCATAAAAAGATTTATTTCTACTTCTCAAGATTTCTTATAAGGAATAATTCAATAGAGGCAAGAATCAATGTGTAAATTGCATTTGGTAATATTATTTCCAATAACCTTTTGGTTTAGGCAGAGAAGAATAGCTATCCAACAGCTTTCTCCCTGAAAAACATGGAAACTGGAGCCAGAAACTAGCAACTGGTAAGTTTTTTTTTCCTAAAACACTGGAATTGTTTAATGATCAGTAGTCAGGCCCTGAAGTAAGTCTGTTTTAGGGCTTTTAAACCTATTAATATCTACCCTGTGTGAGTTAAGGGAGCACGCTGCTTTTCATAGGGTGGTATATATTAGTAGATGCATAATAAGTCTATTTTGATGGATGTATCTGTTTATACTGAAGATTTCATTAGATAAATTATGCCCTATAAATATGAGATAATTGCAAACCTTATCTGATACTAATACTCAGTATTCCTTTAGTAGTTAATATTTGCTTTTAGTGAGAAAATTTTCTAAAAGAATAATTGCTTAAGGTACTTTTGCTTCTCTGAACATATTGATATTCCCTCAGAGCTAAAATTCTGGAGAAATGATTCTGAATCAAATGAGACTCAATGTTTTAGCTTTGTATGGTTATATCTTGGCAGTGTGGCCTACAGCAAGTTAGCATACTTACTGCTTAGGGATATCTGGGGAGCATTTTTTCTTTGGAAGAAAGCTGAATGACGCCTCTGATCTAGAAAAGTTGAGAGCTATTTGCTGAAAAGGTAACAGATTTTGCCATTTTGAAGGAAAAAAAAATACAGATGCAATTGCCAGATTCTTAAGAAAGCAAATACAAAATGTTAAGTACATTTAGAGTTTCATTTAATGTCTGTGCTCAGGGACCAAACCAGGACAGCCCCATTGTGAGCGGAGCTGTCTGATTTTTCTAGTAATAATCCCTTGGAAGAGCCAAAATCAGATTTAATTTACAACAATTTCTGGATTAGAGTGAGTAAGGTTAAAGTTAGGCTCTGATATCATCTTAAAAAGAAAGAATGAGCAGAAAATAGAACTAAAAAATGTATTATAGTCAAGGAAAGTTAGATTAAAAGAGGTTAAGAGACTTGTTCAAGGTCACATAGGTAAGAAAGGATAAGAGCTAAGATTTGAATTCAGGTCTGTCCTATTCCAAAGCTCATTTGGAAGTGGAGCAAATATTTATTCTGTACCTACTATATATTAGTGCTACCACCTGGTAGGGGGGAAGTATTGGCTAAAATAAATATAATTCTGACCTTGGGAGATTACATTCTGACAGGGAAAATAGATTTGAAATATATCTGCTTATAAAATATTTGTAATAAAAGTGAGTACAGCATGTAAATAACTACTACAAGTCAATAACAAAAAGAAAATGTTCAGTAGACAAAAGATATAAACAGAAATGTCTCTCCAACAACGAGGCAGCAAGAGAATACCATTTATTATTCACTAGATTAACAAACATGAAGTTTGACAAAAGTTCCATAACAATATCGAGAAACAAGCCACTGCGGCTCACACCTGTAATCCCAGTGCTTTGAGAGGCTGAGGTGGGAGGATTGCTTGAGGCACGGAGCTCAAGACCACCCTGAGCAACACAGCAAGACCCCTGTCTTTACAAAACAAAACAAACAAACAAAAGATATTGGCCAAGTGTGGTGGAGCACACCTGCAGTCCCAGCTTCTCACAAGGCTCAGGTGGGAGAATGGCTTGAGCCCAGGAGGTCAAGGCTGCAGTGAGCCATGATCACATTACTGCACTCCAGCCATGGTGACAGAGCAAGACACTGTCAAAAAAAAAAAAAAAAAAAAAGAGAAGAAAGAAAGAAGGAAGGAAGGAAAGGAAGAAAGGAAGGAAGGAAGGGAAAACAAGAAGGAAAATGAAATAGTCATTCTCCAACAGTCCAACACTAATGAAAAGAATACATACAAAATAAGCAGCTACTTTGGAGACCTATGTACTCTGTGATTCACTAATTGTACTTTTTAGTATTTACCCTAGAATAACCCTCACATACATGCACAATGAGACATGTATGAGACTGTTTTTTAAGCCTTATTTGTAATACAGGAAAAAAGTAAAATATCTTAGATATTCATCATTGGGGGAAGAGAGAAAATAAGTTTTGGTGTGTTTGATTCTGTGCAATACCATGCAACTTTTTCAATGAGTGCTTTAGGTGTGTAAGTAACAAGCACATAAAGAAAATATATTTTTCAGTGACTTATTGTTGAGTCCAAGTTGTAGAACAATTGTTAGGGAATGCTATCATGTGTGTTTGAGACTCCCATCCACACCATTTAGTTTTCCACGGCCATAGGTATGTACAGAAATGGGAAAATACATATAGAAGAATCATAATACACTACTAGAATGAGTATGTTCCTTGCCCCTGAGGAAGGCAGGCAGGTGGGAATCAGGGCATGAATTGAGAAAACTAGAGATTTACCTTTGAGCCTTCAGTGCAGTTTTTTTCCAAAAATAATTTATCCAAAAATCACTTGTATAAACAAAAGTTAACTATAATAATAATAATAAAAAAGAAAATGTGTCTTACTGAGTTATAGCATTATCCGGTAAGAAATGGAGGCCTAGCTCATTACCACCTTCTGGAAAAAAAATGACAGTTTCCCTTTGGGCTGGATATTAAGGCTGAACCACCAGGCATCTGGAGTATAACCGAATTCCAGGGACGATAATGACAATACTGCTTTCTGTGTGTTCAGCACTTTGCAGTTTTCAAAGTACCTTCCCCATACATTATCTCCCTGGATTCTCACAGCAGCCTTATGAGGATGCAGCTCTATTTCCCAGGTGATACTCAGGTGGGTGAGAAAGATAACAAAATTCCATAAAAAAATGCACACACACACTAGCTGTCAAGGATTATGAGTAGCCTTATTTTAGAGGTTCTTTTGCGTGTATGGTCATTCCTTTTTTTGGCAAATGTGGGACAGAAAATGATAATTTGAAGAGTTTGTGTACAATGGCGTAACCTGAGAATCTATTTGACTTTTGCCTCTGAAACCAGAGAGAAGTAGCATTTCTGAAAACCTCACTCTTACTGCCTGGAATTAGGCAACCTAATATTCCACTTTGAGTATACTAATGCATGACATTAAAGAAGGAAGGATATGTGGTGCCATTTCTGGGACTGATTCTCATGTTTTCTCTTTTCTATAATAAATGTATCGTTACACAAATATTAATTATTGATAATGTATTTTAGTTAGGCGGTGGAGTTGCTAGTCCTAATAGAGTTGAAGATTACTTATATACAAGCTCACACCTAGAATGCTGGCTCACTGCTCATGTCTGAGAAGAGGTTGCGCAGCTTAGGAAGGGGCAATGGGATCTGGTCATTAAGAAAGAAATCACTAGAGTAAAGCACATCTGAATTATTATTTTGCTTCTGCTGTTTACTAGCCACGAGACATCGGGTACATACAATTACTTTCATCAGCTCAGTGTCCTCTTCTGTAAAATGGGGTTAGCACAGGAGTTAAGTGAGCAGACTCCAAACCCAGTCATCTGGGTCCACCTCTCAGTCTGCCACTATCTTCCTATATGATCATAGCCAGCAAAATCTTCCTTTGTCTCAATTTTCTCATTTTTATGAGAGGTAATAATTCTGCCAATCTTATAGGGTTGTCATCAATAGGTATGTATTATACCTATGGATACTGAGTATAGTATGTATCATACCTATGACAATTGGGTCAATAGGTATGTATCATACATGTATATATTTTGTGTGTGTGGCACATAATTCTCATAGGTGTTAGCAATGATTGGTATGCAGCACACACAATATGGTAGTGGATGCTTATGGTGCTATTGACACAAATGACATTCAGAAAGATAACTTTTCCAGTTCAGACAATGGTGATTATAGATTCCTTCATCCAGGGAAAGGCACAAAGTTGATGCTCAGTGGATGCCCATTACTTGACTAAGATACGAACATCCTTTGGAAGCCAAAATAAATGGCTATATGAGACTTAGAGTCACAGAGACACATTGGTGCAAATTTTATGGACTTCCTATGTCACAGTGAGGCAGATTCTGCAGTGGTCTAGGGTGAGTGGGCCCCCAGGGAGGGACCAGGAAGGATGAGTGGTAGATAGCTCCATTCTCAAGCCTGGCTAAGGCCCTGAATAAAGATAGAGAGATTTCCAGGAAGAGCTATCCCTAGATGTCTTCCTGTATAAACAGGCCAAAGATTATTATTAAGAAGGAATTGAGTCATGATGAAACCCAGTATACCTTATTTTGATGATGACTAATTCATTCAACAAATATTGAGGACTTACTACGGCCCTGCACTATTCTTGGCATTGGGTATCCAGCTGGGATCATAGTCGGAGTGATTTCCAGCTGCATGGGGCTGATGGTCTAACAACAGATGCAAAGAAGAGCGCGGAGGGCTCTGGAGGAGTTGAGTGGGCTATGAAGGTGCAATGAATACAGGAAAGCAGAGACAACTTCCAGGAAGGAGGAGGCCTTGGCTGAGTAGCCAGAGAAGTTAGAGATGAGCATTCCAGGCCAAAGGAACAATGTGGGGGAAGGCCCCGAGGAGGGGTGCATTTTTAAGACAGTTAAAAAAAATAATCGGTTAGCCTGGAGCCAGAGCATTACTGGGAATGTGTGAAGGAATGGGGAACCCGAAGCCCTAGGAATTAAACGTTTTTCCCAAGTTCACACAACAGGATGCATATCCAGGTCTGTCTGACCATAAGATGCACAACGGGCTCTATTTCGTCTCACATGGTACTATTGGCATTGCATCCCCACAATAGCAGATGAGATGTGTGTCCTCAGGAAGCAGTTGGTGATGACACCCTATCTTCTTTTAGGGGTCAGCTCAGATCCCTTTCTGTTAGGTGTACACTCTCATTTATCTCTAACCTTTCAGTGGCTCACATCAAAAGGCATCACACTTGAATTTCACATTCATTCCTCCTTTCCTGGGTTCCCTGCCTTTGATGTACTTAACAGCCACCTGGGTACCATTTAGAGGGTGTGTTCTTGCTATTTGGGCTTGCTAAATGTACCCTGAAGAATTCTATTTCTGTTCCATCTTTGGATTAAAATTCAAAAATAGGCAACAGGCACATTTGTTTATCATGATCCTTAGAGACAGAATGATTTTCTTGTTCCCAATTTGTGTGCAGGGTAAGAATGCTGAGATTTCACGTGGTTTTCTCTTCATGGTGCTAGGATAATATTAAATATCCTGTGAAAAGGTGGAAGTCATTTGATGCTTGGTCCAATTTAAAGGCTTTCATAGGTTTCTAACTGAAGTGAATTAATACTTGTGGAAACACCAGCACAGAGCCCAGAGTGGGCTTGCTATTAACTACAATGATAGTTTTTAGTTAATGAGCACCTCCTATAGTCCAAAGAGCTTTTATTTATACATTAACAACTATCCTCACAACAATCCTGCAAAGTCAGAATCATCTGCTCCACTTTATATGTGAGAACAGTGAAAGAAAGAGAATAGAAATAACTTTCCAAATAAAAGTGGCAGAGGGAGAATTTTCACCTTGGTCTGAAAAGATAGTACATGCCAGGTGTTCTTGACATTCGTTTATCCATTTTATGGTGGCAGCATGTTGATTTTCCCTCGGGAATCACCCCTACTGGATTTTCAATCTTCGTGGTTACAAAGGGGCTGATGGGGTGTCTCAGCTTCAGGGTGGGCACATAATACCCACGTGGTCAATGCAGATACCTTACCTGCCAACCTCAGTGATTGGTTCAGGGATGGGCATAAGACTCAAGTGAGCCAATAAAAACCAAAGAGTATCAGTCTCACAGAGCTGGCTGGAATTACTGGTAAGAGAGACACCTTTCTGCTCAGAACTGAATCTGGGATGATAAGTTTGCCACTTTCCATCGTTGGGAGAGCCTGCCTGAGAATGAAGCCAATGTGACAACATCATTTTAGACTGTGCTGCAGATACGTTGACCCTAACAATTCCTTCTTTCCCCACTTTTTTGCACTTAAGGTGTTGGTTTTGGTATTTTTTATGCTTAAGGTAGATTTTGTTTACTTGATTTATTCCATCCACTCAAATATACTATTTATTTTTTATCAACTTTTAAGTTCTGGGGTACATGTGCAGGATGTGCAAGTTTGTTACAATATACTGTTACATAATGCATTACGCACAAGAGCAGGCTCATTAAAGCACATTCTTTTATTCCTAATTTATCTGACTGCAACTCCAAACGGATCACTACTTTTACTCTTGCTGATCAAAATTCGATAAAAATAAAATCCAGATGTGGCCAAAACTCTAAATCTCCTTATGCAGAGTCCAAAAAGATCTAATTTTGGAAGTCAGCATGACTGTTTTATGAAAATATAACAAAAGCCACTTTTCCCCATCTCATTTTTTTCCTGTTTATGGGAATTTGTGTTGTGTGAGCAAGTATCAATTAAGGGCTTTGGAAGCCTAATATTAACTTTCTGGGTATAAATCTAATAATTTCTGGGGCCTCATGTGGCTTGGTCTCTGCACACTCTTACTTTAAATGCACCACTTAAAAATATTGTTTAAAAAGGAACTCCAGGCTGGGCGTGGTGGCTCACGCCTATAATCCCAGGCGTTAGCAACTTTGGGAGGCTGAGGTGGGTGGATCATGAAGTCAGAAGATCAAGACCACCCTGGCCAACATGGTGAAACCCCGTCTCTACTAAAAATACACACACACACACACACACACACACACACACACACACAAATTAGCCGGGTGTGGTGGTGTGCGCCTGTAATCCCAGCTACTCAGGAGGCTTAGGCAGGAGAATCGCTTGAACCCAGGAGGTGGAGGTTGCAGTGAGCCGAGATTGCACCATGGCACTCCAGCCTGGGTGACATAGTGAAACTCTGTCTTAAAAAAAAAAAAAAAAAAAAAAAAAAGAGCTCCAAACTTTACTTGGGTTTTGAAAAATATTAAATGAGGTCCAGTTTATAATTCACAGGATAGGGGATGCTGTGATATGCCTTCCAGATATCCCTCAGGAATTCAGGAATAAAGGACATATTATCTTAGCTTCTGGTCACACTGCTTGCTGGGAATGCTCTGCCATCAGCTCCTTCAGGAGTCACCTTAGTTGAGGAGGGCTGCCTCACTCAAAGTCACTCACTCTTCCTCGGACAACCCACATTCAGTAACTGATAATGGGTACCCAAGTTCAGGCCCCTCGCCCCAGCTGGAAAGAGCTCTGAGGGTCATCCTGCCTTTAGAACTCCCTGCAGGGTCCGCTCAGCTGCTATCTTTCCTGTGACTATGCTGTGGCTCACCTTCTTCCTCTGCCCCAGCCTGCTCCCATCCCTTTGCCCTCCCCAGGTGTTGATCCAATGATCCAAGTTTTCTCTGATCCATTTCTTCAGTCTAGTCTCTAACTGAGGGTTGGCTTCCTAGGCAACCCAACCTGTGCCACATAGCAGTCGGTCTCAGTAGCTTTGTCCCTCCGCCACCCAATTCTCCCGCACTTCAAGGCTGCTTTGTAACCTCTTATCTCAAATTCCAAATACCCTCAATAGCCTCCACTACATAATGCCTTTCTTGCTATTTCCCTCACTTATTCTTTTGGCCTAGAAGGATGAATCACCAGTGGTTAAGTGGTTCAACTTGACCTCTGTAGCTATGACTGAGTGTTCCTATATTCTTTCCCACTCTGCCTTTCACTACCCATTTTCCAAATTCTGAAAGAGGATTTTTTGTTTTGGCTGCTGAAGAGATGTAAAAAACTTAGAAAAGTACATTTTAAGTTGTTTCAATCACATAGGATCATAATGGTGCTAAGGTTCTCTTTAGATAGCAGTAAACTCAAGTATCAAAAGAGGTAGGGGCTACAGAAACTAGTGGCATTTTGAGGTCATTAAGACAGACATGCCAGTGGAAAATTCTAAAGGTTAAGAGATATGAGGTCCATTTACGGACCTCACAGATTTTTACCCTCCCTTCTAAACATTGTGGAATTCTGACATAACTGTATGGTAAAACACTTACCTTTATTTAAATAGAGTGATTGAAAGAAAAATATTGAGTTATATATTTGGATATAAGAATGGATATGGTGAAAATTGTAATGGTCATATGCAAATAACTAAATTATAGAAAACTCTTATGGGGTTGTTGTGGCGATCAAGCTAGATCATTATGTGAGCATAAACATTGTATGTCAGTGGAAGACACTTTTGCTCTTTGAAACATTGTATCATCTATTAAAGGATAGTCCTGATTCAAGAGAAGGCAATTTTCCTGATAAGACTACGAAGCCAAATAACAAACTGATCCCAGAGAAATGAGATTCTTGAGAGATCACTGCCATTTGTTTTGAAATATCCTAATTATCTGGAAAGAAGAGCAGAGGCCACTCAGCAGAGTCCCCACTGTCTTGGTGAGGCTTTCCTCTGACCTGAGCCACACCATTAGCCGCTGAGGGAGGCAGCGTGCTTTCTGTGCTGACCTACAGCAGTGCCATGCTGCTCTTTGCTCTGCGAGGTGCCTGAGCAGCCTCACTGGCTCCCACCAGGCTGACCCGGGCTGGAGGCACAGCTCCTCCCCTGGAGGCTGATCTGAGGTCATTCACCCAGAACTGAGGCTCATCAAAACCTAGTGAGTCATGATCAGATTTGTGTGCTAAGGAGGGAAAATAAAGAAAGGAAGGAAGGAAGGAAGGAAGGAAGTAAATATAATCCAACTCTGCTCTTACTCTCATGGAAGATAATTACAAACAAACAAGAAAATTAAATGTCAAAGTGCCAGACTATATTACAATTAAACAAACACAAAGCAGGTTTCGGGAACATTAAGAATGCCATCTGAACAATTCCAACAAAGCTTGTTGATGAGGAAGGCAGACACCTTTTCATTACTCCAGAACTTGGCACTGCCCATGCCTTCTAAGATGGCAGGCGGCAATAGAACAGGGGAACTCCTACAGAGTAGAATACATTTATTTCTTTGTGTTTGGAGTAAGACAATAAGGCTCAGTAGCTACAGCCAAGATTGTGGGGTCAATTGAAGCAGGGTTCAAAACTCACTTGACCAGTTAGCATGTGCATTCTCTGTGCCTCCATTTCCTTTCTATAGAATAAGGATTAATTACAGACAGTTGTGAGGAGGGTGTGATGCTGACGCCCATGGACCCTCATTTGTAGTTAGCACTCTATATGTCAGCTGAGTGCTACCAAAATAATTAGCACTGACCATAGTACTTGATGCATTACTGGGACCCAGTTTGTGTTGCAGGAGATAAAATAAAGATGAATAAACATCTAGCTATTCAGAATTACCCAAATGTAATTCAACACTTTTCTAGCAAGGTCTTGACAAGACTAACACTTGGCCTTGAGTCTTAGCTTCGATAGTCTATGCAAAACTTTTAGCTCTCTGAGGTTAGAACCCCCATTTGTTTTGTCTCAATAGAGTCCACAGCACATTGGTATGTGTTACATAAAGAGCTGTTGACAGCCCCCATCATCAGAAGCGTAAACAGCATACTGTACGTGTTTCCTCACATATGTAACCAGTGATTTCTCTTCCACCTGACCTCACATAAAGTTTATATACCTTCAGTCCTCAGCTACTAAACATTTTCTAGTTAGTACTGGAAAAAAACTAAATTAGTTTTAGGAGGGAGAACAGCTAGAGGTGCTATTAATGTTACAGCCAGGTTATGGATTGATGTTTCTTTAGTCCAAAGGGAAGAGTTGCAAAAGAACTTTCCAGTTTGCTGAGTGAGTTCATATCCATTGTTTCATTAGATTTTCACAAAAATGCTCAGAGTTCAAGCCAGTGAATCTCAAATTGTGGAGCACATACTTAAAATGAGAGGTGATATTAGGTGATGTACAATATTAAATCACATTGAATCACACCATCGGAAAATTACTCCCTTATCAATTATTTTTTAAATGTTTTTTAGTACATCAAGAAGAAAGTCTCAGTTTGGTGCCACCATGTCCTTAATACCTCCGTAACACTTGCTAACCTCTGAAAGAGAAAGGAAGGAAGCAGGGCGGGAAGGAGAAGAGGGAAAATAATAGTCCTGTTCAAAGCATTGTGGAGTATTTGGGAAGAATTTAATGCTATTATCTTCATTAGACTTATTTTCAGAGCCATCTTCTTAAAGAAGGATATCTAGTGAATATTAAGTAAATAATAGTACAGGAGGTATCAATACAGTGAAAAAATTGAGAAAGTAGGGTAGATGACTGAAGTTTGTAAGCATAGTTTGTATTAGGTCATAAAACTGTAGTTGTAAGAGCTGAGGCCATGGGGTCTTCTTAAATTGGAATCTCATGGTTTTTCCACCTCAAGCATGCCTCCTAAA
Organism: Homo sapiens; assembly: GCF_000001405.40. Taxonomy (NCBI): domain Eukaryota; kingdom Metazoa; phylum Chordata; class Mammalia; order Primates; family Hominidae; genus Homo; species Homo sapiens. The sequence continues at coordinate 63,384,954 of NC_000003.12, read as the reverse complement.
CTATTAAATTCAAATATAGGTCTGAATAGAGGGTAAGAGCTCTTCTTTCTAGTTGGAAAAATCTAAAATTGAATCCAGCCTCAACACCATGGCTATGCTTCCTTGGACAAGTTATGTAACATCTCTACATCCCAGTTTTTATCTTTTAAAAGAGGAGGAAATAAAAACAACTAACTCATAGGATTGCTATGGTGTTTTGATGAGAAAAATCAATGTACAGCATTTAACACAGTCCCACACACATAGTACGAGCTCCATAAATGTCTGCTAAAAATATTAATGGAAAGGCTTAACATAAGAACTCTGCCAAATGTTTGTATATTCTATCATTTCAATGAATGGTCTTTTAACTATCATGAACTGGTTTATCTTAGTCAGCACATATTGTTCGTTCCTTTTCTAGGATAAAACCTAACCATGGTTAGGGAATTATAAGGCTTGTTCCTGAGACTGACCGGTTGAGATAAAAGAAACATAAAATTACACACTGTAGTCAAAGAAAGACATTATCATAAATAGCTAGACTTTGGGAAAGGGAGAGAGCTGACAAATTGTTCTTAATTGAATCTCAATAAAGGATGCTCTGTGTAGAGGTAAAAAATGATATTCGTGGAGGATATATATTAATATCTAAAAAACCTCTAAGAATGTTTATTGAGCACTCATTCCACTAGATGCTGAATATACAGCAATAAATAAGAGATTTAAGCCCTGCCTTCATAGTGTTGCAATAAAATGTTTAGGACTCTAGCCTGAGGGCACACAATCCTCTCTGCACTTGTTCAGGAAAAAGTATAGCTGGAAAGGAGCAAATGAGTAGGCATTAGATGACTGAATTTCAGATCCAGCATTGGCTGCCCTCAAATTGATGTGATACTTTGAAGAAGACATTTTGCTTCTCTGAGTATTCATATTGATACAGAGATGTCATTAGATGTTTGATCAAGGTTTCTGAAATACCGAGCCTTTAAATATACTTACAATTATTGCCATATCTATATTCCACCATATTAAGCAACACATTCATCACCACACATAGTTACCCTTTTGTGTATGTGTGTGCATATGGTGAGGACATTTAAGATCTAGTACTTAGCAAATTTCAAGTAAGCACTACAGTATTAATAACTAAAGTCACCACTGCCAGCCATTTATTAAACTATTATAGAGGAGATTTTTATGAAGCAAAGATGTTCTTCTTGGTGTCATCATAGAGAGGAGTGCTATTTCCCACTCCTGTTCTTAGCTTCATACAATAGGAGTTCCATTAGTGTAGCTCCTGGCCTCTTTTATTTTTATTTATTTATTTGGAGACAGAGTCTTGCTCTGTTGCCTAGGCTGGAGGGCAGTGGTTCTATCTCGGCTCACTGCAATCATGCCTGGCTAATTTTTTGTATTTTAGCAGAAATGGGGTTTCACTGTGTTGCCCAGGTTGGTCTTGAACTCCTGAGCTCAGGCAATCTGCCCACCTTGGCCTCCCAAAGTGGTAGGATTACAGGCATGAGCCACTGCGCCTGGTCCTGGCCTCTTTTATTCTTTTGCTATGCTGCTCCAGGAGAGGTGGAGTGACTTGTCTGCTTAATAAATATGGAAAAGATAAAGGACACTCTTGGCTCAGCTCTATTCTTTTCTCTTGGGAGGTATTGCATCTTATTTTATGCTCTTTTCCAATTTAACCCTTGACCTCCAGTGCTACTACTTCATTTTATTATCAATTTGTTCAGAACGTGTTTGGGAAAAGGGTGTGCTCTTTTATTATGGCTGAAATAAAACTGAATACAAAAACCATCAGAGAAAGTTGATGGGAAACTATGCAATGAATAAGAAAACAAATCCTTAAGTCATGTAAACCTTAAACTCCCTAGGAGTGAAATGACTAAATGTTTCGCATCTCCTAGTGTGAAGATCTCTACAACACTTTCCATAAAATAATCTTGTAAAGAATTAAACCTGAAGTAAATCAAGTCTCTAGTTCTAATGAGCAGATTGTAGTAACAGAGGAGATAGAATAATGTATTAAGTGATACAAAAGAATACAACCATCCAATCCAGAATGTTGGAAATTCTTTAAAACAAACAAAAACCAAAACCCCTCCTCTCTTCAATAAGTAAATGAGAAAAAGGCAAGAGGTGGGAAAGTAAAAAACAGCACAGAGGGAAGATGGAGTGGACATAATTTTCATTGTTTCTCCTTCTAAGTACAACTAAAAACCCTAGAAATTATATATAAAACACACATAAGACGACTCCGAAAGGAGGAGAAAAAGGCAGATTGGCCAGGGACCTTGGCACCGATGAATAGACACAGTGGTGTGTTCCCCGAGATTTCTTTTTGCCTCATACATCTCAGATATGGAGATGGAAAAGCCAGCAATCTGGAAATACCAATGAGGGCAGACAAAGTTCCAACAAAAGCCTTCTTTTTCTAGACAAAGCACCACGAAAAGAACAACCTGGCAAGGAAACTTTAAGAATATAGCTAGTCTATGCCAGTCAAACACCACTGAAAACAACTGTGGCCTTACTTCTATCTGTGCCAGCAAAGGTCAAGTGGGAAACCCAGGCTTCCAAATTCACCAGGCTGTAATGGAGAACCCTAACTACTCCCTCACTCTCACCTCCAAATCCAACCTGGGTGGTGTCAGAGAAGGGTGAGTAGAGAGCCAGAACTTTCATGCCTTTGGGCAGTAACAATGGCCCTGGGAGAATATGAAGATCACCTTGGGAGCCTGGATTTCCATCCACACTCAGCAGTAATGAGGCACCCCTCCTGCTGGAGTTGTATCAGTGGAAACCTAGTACAGTCAGATTATGGGCAAATATAATACAGTTTCCTTCCCTTCTTGAGTTTTCTAAATTATGTTTGATGGTGAAAATAATAACATTGTCTGATGTAGTTGTAAGTGTATTTAAAAGAAATGTTTAAAAAAATTATAAACTGGGGATATAAAAGAAAAGCAGGAGGTAAGTTTTCTGTACTTTACTTGAAATGGTAAAATGTTGACACTAGTAGATTTCGTTAAGTTGTGCGTAAATAAATGCCTGAAGGAACCCCTAAAAAAGCCATACAAAGATGTACACTTAAAAGCATTAGTGTAAATCAAAATGAAATTTAAAGAGATGTTTCAGTAATCCACAGGAAGGCAGGAAAAAGGAAGAAGAGAATAAACAGAGGGAGTCAGAGAAACAATACACAGAGAGAATGAACAGAAAACACGAAATAAAATGGCAGGCTTTAACAGATGGATAGTAACATTAAATGTAAATGGTCCAAATATACCAATTACAAGAAAGAGATTGGAAGAACAGATTAAAATACATTACCCAACAATATGCTATCTAAAAGAAATTCACTTCAGCTATAAAAATGTAGGCATGTTGAAAGTAAAAGAATCTTTAAAGCAGTTTTTTCCAGTTCTGTGAAGAAAGTCATTGGTAGCTTGATGGGGATGGCATTGAATCTATAAATTACCTTGGGCAGTATGGCCGTTTTCACGATATTGATTCTTCCTACCCATGAGCATGGAATGTTCTTCCATTTGTTTGTGTCCTCTTTTATTTCGTTGAGCAGTGGTTTGTAGTTCTCCTTGAAGAGGTCCTTCACATCCCTTGTAAGTTGGATTCCTAGGCATTTTATTCTCTTTGAAGCAATTGTGAATGGGAGTTCACTCATGATTTGGCTCTCTGTTTGTCTGTTATTGGTGTATAAGAATGCTTGTGATTTTTGTACATTGATTTTGTATCTTGAGACTTTGCTGAAGTTGCTTCTCAGCTTAAGGAGATTTTGGGCTGAGACAATGGGGTTTTCTAAATATACAATCTTATCATCTGCAAACAGGTACAATTTGACTTCCTCTTTTCCTAATTGAATACCCTTTATTTCTTTCTCCTGCCCGACTGCCCTGGCCAGAACTTCCAACACTATGTTGAATAGGAGTGGTGAGAGAGGGCATCCCTGTCTTGTGCCAGTGTTCAAAGGGAATGCTTCCAGTTTTTGCCCATTCAGTATGATATTGGCTGTGGGTTTGTCATAGATAGCTCTTATTATTTTGAGATATGTCCCATCAATACCTAATTTACTGAGAGTTTTTAGCATGAAGGGCTGTTGAATTTTGTCAAAGGCCTTTTCTGCATCTATTGAGATAATCATGTGGTTTTTGTCTTTGGTTCTGTGTATATGCTGGATTACGTTTATTGATTTGCATATGTTGAACCAGCCTTGCATCCCAGGGATGAAGCCCACTTGATCATGGTGGATAAGCTTTTTGATGTGCTGCTGGATTCGGTTTGCCAGTATTTTATTGAGAATTTTTGCATCAGTGTTCATCAGGGATATTGGTCTAAAATCGACTCATCTGACAAAAGGCTAATATCCAGAATCTGCAAAGAACTCAAACAAATTTACAAGAAAAAAACAAACAACACCATCAAAAAGTGGGCAAAGGATATGAACATACACTTCTCTAAAGAAGACATTTATGCAGCCAACAGACACATGAAAAAATGCTCATCATCACTGGCCATCAGAGAAGTGCAAATCAAAACCACAGTGAGATACCATCTCACACCAGTTAGAGTGGCGATCACTAAAAAGTCAGGAAACAACAGGTGCTGGAGAGGATGTGGAGAAATAGGAACACTTTTACACTGTTGGTGGGACTGTAAACTAGTTTAACCATTGTGGAAGACAGTGTGGTGATTCCTCAGGGATCTAGAACTAGAAATACCGTTTGAGCCAGCCATCCCATTACTGAGTATATACCCAAACGATTATAAATCATGCTGCTATAAAGACACATGCGGATGTATGTTTATTGAGGCACTATTCACAATAGCAAAGACTTGGAACCAACCCAAATGTCCATCAATGATAGACTGGATTAAGAAAATGTGGCACATATACACCATGGAATACTATGCAGCCATAAAAAATGATGAGTTCATGTCCTTTGCAGGGACGTGGATGAAGCTGGAAACCATCATTCTCAGCAAACTATCGCAAGGACAAAAAACCAAACACCGCAAGTTCTCACTCATAGGTGGGAATTGAACAATGAGAACACTTGGACACAGGAAGGGGAACATCACACACCGGGGCCTTTTGTGGGGTTGGGGGAGGAGGGAGGGATAGCATTAGGAGATATACCTAATGTAAATGACGAGTTAATGGGTGCAGCACACCAACATGGCACATGTATACATATGTAACAAACCTGTACCTTGTGCACATGTACCCTAAAACTTAGAGTATAATAATAAAAAAAAGAAAGCAAAAGAATCAAAAAAGATATACAAACAGTAATCAAAAGAAAGAAAGAATAGCAATATTAAAATGAGATAAAGTAAACTTCAAAGTAAAGAAAATTAACAAAGACAGAAAGAGACATTATGTAAGGCCAAAGAGTTTAATCCAAGAAGACATAGCAGTTCTAAATGTGTACATACCAAAAAACAGAGCTACAAACTTCCAGTTGAAGCAAAAACCAGTAGAACTGAAAAGAGAGAAAGGCAAATCCGCAATTGTTTTTAGGGACATTAACACCTCCTTCCAATAATTGATGAAACAAGTAGAAAGAAAAAGGGCAAGGATAATAGAATAACTCAAGAATATCACCAACCAACAGAATCTAATCAACATTATGGAACTCTTCACCAAACGACAGCAGAATACATATACTTTTCAACAGCAGGATATACATACTTTTCAAGTTCCTATGAACACATACAAAGACAGGCCATATCCAAGGCCATAAAACAAAACTCAACAAATTTAAAAGAATTAAAATTATACAGAATACTCAATGAAACCAAACTAGAAATTCAATAACAGAAATGTAACATAAAACTTCCCCCAAACACTTGGAAACTAAAAAAACACTTATGCATGCTACATTTATGATTTTCAAAAAGTCTCAAAAGAAATTTTTAAAATACATTGAATTGAATGAAAATAAAAACACATTATCACAATGTGTAAAACACATTTTGTGTATTCTTAGCACGCAGTGCTAAGAAACATACTTATAATACAAACCACTTACATTAGAGAAGATTTTTAGAATCCTAAATCAGTAATCTAAACTTTCACACTGCAACTCTTAAAATAAAGGGAGCAAAATAAACCCAAGACAAGGAAAAGGAAGCAAATAATTAAAATAAGAATATAAATAAATAACAGTAGAAAAAAAAAGGAGAGGTGGCATATATTACTAATACTAGAAATGAGACAGGGTATATATCGCTACAGACCCTGCAGACGTCAAGAGGATAAGATAATACAGGCGTATCTCCAGCAAGATTTTATGTGGAAAGGCAAAGGAATGAGAATAACTAAAACAATGTTGAAACAGAACAGAATAAAATGAGAGAAATCAGTTTACCCAATTTCAAGACTTATTACATACTCATAGTTATCAAAACTCCAATATTGGCAGAGGGGAAGACATATAAATAGAATACAGTAGAGAACCCAGAAATAGACCAAAGCAAGTATGTTCAACTGATTTTTGACAAAGTTGCAAAAGGAATTCAAAAGAAGAAGAATAGCCTTTTCAATGAATGGTGGCAGAGCAACTGGGCATCCACAGACAAAAAATGAACCCCAATCTAAACATAAACTGAATGATTAATATAGGTTGGTTTATAATTCTACTGTCTCTATTTTTCTGTGTATTTACAAAGTTCCATAATAGAGTTTAAAGAGAGAAAATGTGAAGGAAATACCTTTCCCACTGTATAATTGAATGTTATTTAATGCTATAACTCTGGACACTCAAAGTTACATTACAAAATATTATACTAGATCAATTATAAGCATTTGTGTAGTTTATAGCATTATTATACTAAATACCTATAATTTATGTACAAAAATACATATGGAATTATCCTTTGTTGAAAATATTTCACTATATTATACAATTTTCTTTCTAAAGTTTTTATGCTCTTATAATAAATGCAATATGAATTTATAGGTCAACACTAAAAATTCATAATCTGAATTTTTATTCTTTACTTTCTGAACCAATACAACTTCTTATTGAACTTGATCTATTAATATTTAATGTTTAATGTCCTGGGGAAAAAATAATCTTATGCTTAATTTATTCTTATATGCTAAATTTCCTATACTCTCCTAATTTCCATTATACTTGTTTTATTAAAGATTCAACTTGGCAGTAAGAGGAAAAATCATGAAACATAGAACATTCTGAATAACTCTACAGTGCTCTGCTAAATATAAAACCATGTAATTAATGTTTTTGTTTAATAACACAGATCCCAATTTTCTAGAGAATTGTGTCTTCATGAAGCAGGGTTTAAAAAAAAACTAAGATGTATCTCACTTGGATTGTTCCATCCTTGCTGGTTGATTCTAATTTTTTTAACCTTTTATTTGGTAGCATACTGAAAGAAAGATCTTAACTCAAAGTATGGGATTCCATAAAAGATGATAGGTTGGCATGACGTACTGAAATTTGCTATTGTCCTGAAGCTATTTTACTGTACCTTTCCAGGCTGTCAGTTCTGCTTAAACCTGATAATTATAAAATAAGGCTTCTTTTCTTATCTTAAAGTGACTTCTAACATAGGAGCAAGTACCTCTTAAACCTAGAACTGTACATTTCATCTATTTAAGCCTCAAGAGCCTGGAGAACCACTGGCTAAAAATCCAGTAATAAAATGCCACATCCTGTTAAGAAATTTTGGAAGAAAACTTTATTTCTGCTGCTTTTAAGTAAATTGAGATTTATTTCTTATGTGCTCTTTCTTGAACGTTTAAGTCATTTAGCAGCAGATATGTTTCAGAATCTATTAACATTAATCTTGGATTTTATTTTAACCTTTTTGATAAAAACTTAAAAATGAAATCATTTCCTCAACTTATACATAGCTACATCAGTTGTACTTGGGAAAAACGGGATGTTGAAGAGAGAATGCTAAGGAGAGAAATTAGTGTAAGGCATGAAACTCACTGCAATAAAAATACAATGTTGGCATGACTCTTTAAGGTTTTGTTATGCACCAGGAGCCATTTTATGCTCTAGGAATACAATAGAGAATAAAACAGGTATGGTTCTTGTAAAGCACACATTTTAGTGGGGGAAAGAGTCAATAATCAAATAAATAAAGAAAAAATATCAGACAGTAACTAGTGTCATGAATCAAACAAAAAGAAAATGATAGAGACAGGGGCTACTCCAGATGAGACAATCAATAATAATTACTCTAATAAATTAGCACCTTAACTAAACCCTGAATGAGAAGAAAGAGCCTTCTTCTCAGAAGAATCTTCTCAGATTCTTCACAGAATCATTCTGTGAAAGAATGATTCACAATCACGTGAATATCTTGGGAGAGGTGGGTGATGAACAGGTCTGAGAGTTCAGCAACTGCAAAGGCACTGGGGTAGAAGCTTTTGCCCCTTTACAGAGACAAAAAGAAGCCCAGAGTGGTGAAAGAAAAGTGACTAATGTAGAGAGAAGCCTATAGTGAGGTAGAGAGATGAGAAAGCAGTCTTATCATATACGATGTTATAGGCCAGGATAAATAGTATTTTATCCTAAGTACGAGGAAGCCATTAGAGGTTTTTGAAAGGGGATGTTAACTAATGCAAGTTATAACTTACGTTAACTAATGCAAGTTATAACTAATACAAGTTATAACAAGATCATTCTTGCATATGTGTAGAGAACAGATTTTAGAGAGGTAAAACCAGAAGTTTAAAAGCAAAATTAGAGAAGACAAAACTAGAACGACTTAGAAGATTGTAGCAGGAACCTTCTTGAGAGATGGCAATGGTTTGGGCTAGGATGAGAATAGTGAACACACAGAGAAATAGATGGATTTCAGATGGGCCCAAAAAGTTCTATTGAGAATATTTGCTGATGAATTGGGAAGACAAGGGAGAAAACAGAAGAGAAACCAAGGCTGACTCCTAGGTTTGGGGCTTGTCTAGTTGAGTGGTTGGTGGTGCTACTTACTGACAGCAGAAGAATACTGGAGGAGAAGCAGGTTTTAAGGTGGAAAGCAATACTTTCTTCTTCAACATATTAATTCCTAGATGACTTTAGACACTCAAGTGGACATGTTTGGTGGATCACTGCACACTCATAACTGGAGTTTAAAGGGCAAGTAAAGGACAGAGATAGACATTTTGGACACACTGACATCTAGACAGTAATTTTTAAAAGTAGGAGTAAATAAAGTCACTATACTAATTATTATTATTATTATTATTATACTTTAAGTTCTAGGGTACATATGCACAACGTGCAGGTTTGTTACACAGGTATACATGTGCCATGTTGGTTTGCTGCACACATCAACTCGTCATTTATATTAGGTATTTCTCCTAATGCTATCCCTCCCCCAGCCCCTACTCTATGACAGGCCCCAGTGTGTGATGTTCCTTGCCCTGTGTCCAGGTGTTCTCATTCTTCAGTTCCCACCTACGAGTGAGAACATGCGGTGTTTGGTTTCCTGTCCTTGTGATAGTTTGCTGAGAATGATGGTTTCCAGCTTCGTCCATGTCCCTGCAAAGGACATGAACTCATCCTTTTTTGTGGCTGCATAGTATTCCATGGTGTATATGTGCCATGTTTTCTTAATCCAGTCTATCATTGATGGACATTTGGGTTGGTTCCAAGTCTTTGCTGTTGTGAATAGTGCTGCAGTAAACATACGTGTGCATGTGTCTTTATAGTAGCATGATTTATAATCCTTTGAGTATATAACCAGTAATGGGATTGCTGGGTCAAATGGTATTTCTAGTTCTAGATCCTTGAGGAATCACCACACTGTCTTCCACAATGGTTAAACTAATTTACACTGCCACCAACAGTGTAAAAGTGTTCCTATTTCTCTGCATCCTCTCCAGCATCTGTTTTTCCTGACTTTTTAATGATCGCTATTCTAACTGGTGTGAGATGGTATCTCATTGTGGTTTTGATTTGCATTTCTCTGATGACCAGTGATAACCAAAACAGCATGGTACTGGTACAAAAACAGATATATAGGCCAATGGAACAGAACAGAGGCCTCAGAAATAACACCACACATCTACAACCATCTGATCTTTGACAAACCTTACAAAAACAAGCAATGGGGAAGGGATTCCCTATTTAATAAATGGTGCTGGGAAAACTGGCTATACTAATATTAAACATAATTTGAGGGAGGCTGTGTAGAGTAGAATGTAACTGTAAACTTATTAGCAAATTTGATGTTAGGCTCTTTCATTTTCAAAAACTATATCCAAAATATCATATGTATGTAACTGGAAACCCTGAAAGATTTGAAGACTTGGGATATAAAAGTGATTGATCATACAATAGAATTTGGATTATTTAAATTCTTTTTTTAACTTTTATTTTAGGTTCAGGGGTATATGTGCAGGTGTGTTATATAGGTAAACTGTGTGTCACAGGGGCTTGGTGTACAGATTATTTAATCACCCAGATAATAAGCATAGTACATGACAGGTAGTTTTTTGATCCTCTCTCTCTTCCCACACTCCACCCTCAAGTATACCATGGTGTCTGTTGTCCTCTTTGTGTCCATGAGTTCTCATTGTTTAGCTCCCATTTATAAGTGAGAATATGCAGTGAGAATAAATGTGATTCATCACATAAACAGGACTAAAAACAAAACCACATAATTATCTCAATAGATGCAGGAATGGATTTGGATAAAATTCAACATCACTTGATATTAAAAAACCCTCAACAAATTAGGCATTAAAGGAACATATTTCAAAATAATAAGAGCCATCTATGACAAACCCACAGCCAACATCATACTGAATGGGCAAAAGCTGGAAGCATTCCCCTTGAAAATTGTAGTGGCTGGTATTGGCCTTTCCTTTCCATATTTAGCACTACTTTGGAAACTTGTAAGGTAGGTCCAGTGGTAACAAATTCCCTCAGCATTTGCTTATCGGAAAAGGATCTGATTCCTCCTTCATTTATGAAGCTTTGTTTGACTGAATATTAAATTCTTGATTGGAAATTTCTCTCTTTATCAATTCTGAACATAGGCCCCCAATCTCTTCTGGATTAGACAGTTTCTGCTGAAAGGTCCACTGTTAGCCTGATGCGGTTCCCTTTGTAGGTGACCAGCCCCTTCTCTCTAGCTGCCTTTAACATTTTTTTTTCTTTCATTTCAACCTTGAAGAATCTGATGATTATGTGTCTTGGGGATGGTCTTCTTGTGTAGTATCTTGCAGGGGTTCTCTGTGTTTCCTTAATTTGAATGTTGACCTTTCCAGAGAGGTTGGGAAGTTTTCATAGATATCCTGATACATGTTTTCCAAGTTGCCTGCTTTCTTCCCATCACTTTCAACGTTACCAATGAGTCATAAATTTGATCTTTTTACGTAATCCCATCATTCTCAGAGGTTCTGTTCATTTTTTAAAATTATTTTTTCTTTATTTTTCTCTGACTGAGTTAGTCTGGAGAGCAAGTCTTCAAGCTCTGAGATTGTTTCCTCAGCTTGGTGTATTTTGCTGTTAATACTTGTGATTGCATTATGAAATTTTTGTGGTGTGTTTTTCAGCTGTATCAGATCAGTTTGGTTCTTTCTTATGATGGCTGTTTTGTCTATCAGCTTTTATATCATTTTATTGTAATCCTTAGATTCCTTGAATTAAGTTTTAACTTTCTTCTGAATATCAATAATCTTTATTCCTATCCATATTCTGCATTCTATTTCTGTCATTTCAGCCATTTCAGCCTGGCTAAGTACCCTTGCTGGGGAACTAGTGTGGTCTTTTGGGATTAGAAGACACTCTGGCTTTTTGAGCTGCCAGAGTTATTGCACTGATTCTTTCTCATCTATGGTGGGATGATTTCCTTTAACTATGGTGTAATTTGAGTAGCCAGTAGACTTCTTTTCTGGATGTTTTTAGAGGGCTGGGGGTTTTTGCAGGGGGTTTGTAGCTGAGTTCTCACCCTTGGTTTCACAAGGGAGTACATTATCAAAGGATTTTTGGTGTTGAAGTTTGGGCTGTGATCCAGTAGATAAGCTAAATGGCCAGTTGGTAGGCTCTTGTTCAGCCACATGGCTCCTCTATATTTCCTCATGAATGCAGCTGTACTCTTTCTCAGTGCTCTGAGAGTGTGGGCTCCTCTCCCACTCAAGTGCTAGCTGCAGATCTTTACTTGACTCTTCTGGGCTGCACTTTGCAGCCCTGGGGCGAGCTCAGGCTTTATGTTTTCACCCCAGCTTGGAGGCAGCAGGGGAAGGGATCTTGGCAGTGGTTGTGGCAGAGGACTTTTCACCTATCTCATGGGGCTCTATCCCAGAGAGATTCAGAGCTGCTATTAATCAGTGTGATCAGCCTGGGGTGGAACTGCTGTGCTGTGGGCCCAACCCAGGGGCAGCTGTGCCTTGTGACCAGTGAGGGTTGTGGGGGAAAGGGGGATGGGGGAAACAGACTGGCCTCTCTCCTTAGGACAACTGCAGCTTGCTGGAGTCATGGTTAAAGCACCCAGTGTCTTTGCTACTTCCCCAATCCAGGGGCAGCAAAGGCAGTATCGCTGCAGTGGCAGTGGCAGAGGGGCTTTCAGTTGCCTCTGGGAGCTCCCTCTCAGAGATACACAGAGCCATTGCTACTGGAAATGTTCAGCCAGGGATGGGGTGGCTGTGCTGCTGGCTCAAGCTGGGGCCTTCACTTGGTGAGAAGCAGGGGGTGGAAGGCTCACAGGGAGGAGTGACTGGACTCTTGTCTATGGTGACTGTGTCATGCTGGACATAGTCTTTGTTTTTATGTGTTTTTGTTTTTTCTCAGACTGAGGGCAGCAGTGGCAGAACCACTGTCGTGGCAGTGGCAGAGGGGCTGTTGGTCACTCTAAGATCCCTTTTCCAGGGAAACATAGAGCCTCTACCTGTGGATATACTCAGCCATGCATGGGATGGCTGTTCTGTGGTCCCAAGCCGGGGGCTCAGTCTGGTGAAGAGTGGGGATTGAGGGCTTGCAGGGAAGAGAGACTGGGCTCCTCTCTGCATGGTGGCTGTTGTGTGTGGGAAATGCCAGCATAGCAACCAGGTCCTTTGTTCCTTCCCCATCCTGAGGGTGGTTAGGGTGGTACTACTGCAGTTCCAGTGGCAGACGGGCTGTGGGTTGTCTCTGTGATTTCCTCCTCAGTGAAATGTAGAACCGCCTCCGACTAAAGTGTTGAGGTGGGGCCAGAGTGGTTGTGCTAGAGTCCGAGGTCCAGGGTCCCACTCAGTGAGGAGAAGTTGGAACGAGGACTCAGGTGGAAAAGAGTCTGGCCACTTCTCTGTGGGGCAGCTGTGCTGCACTGGGGAGCTGTATCAGTCTCAAATCACCACGCACCTTCTAGAACCTGAGGGCAGCAGCAATTAGGGCTGCAGGGCAGCAAAAATAGTGGCTTGCATCTCCCTCTGGGAGCTCCGTCCCAGGGAAGTCAGAGCTGCTACTGGTCTGAAAGCCCAGGCAGTAGGTGGCTGGAGTCCCAGGCCAGTGGGCCTTATCCTGCAAGGTGAAACCTGAAGTTCATCACTGCTCAGCCTCATGAAATTTGCCTCTTTCCCGGAGACGTGCAAGGGAGCCTGACCTCCCCCACTGCCAGAGCTGCAGTGGCTAATGCCAGGATGCCTGGGGATCCAAGGCTCCTAGGACTCCATGTGTGCATGAGTGACTTCTCTTACCAGACTCCACAGAGCTCTCGGTGTCAGTCTGGAGGCCCCTGTGGGGTGGGCTCACAGGGGGATCTCCTGAGCCCAGGGTTGCAAAAGTCCATGGTAGAAGTGTGGGTTCCTGGGGACTGTCACTCACTCATCATTTTTCCGAGGTATGGGGGCCTCCTCTGGCTCTATGCCATCCCAGGTGGGTGGTTGTCTTGTCTCATTCCTCTCTTTCATTCGTGGGTTGTTTCCTTGATGAATCGCAATGTGTCCACCTGAATGTTCCAGTTAAAGGTCTAGGGTTTACTCACCACTGTTTCTTCTGTCCGTGAGAGCAGTGCACGCTAGCTCCTTCTAGTCAGCCATCTTGGCTCTCCCCCATATTTAAATTCTAATTCAACAATAGGGATTAGAGGATATTTTCTGGGTTTATGAATCCACTGTGTTTATATAGGGGTCTTTCTCTAACTCAGTACTCTAAATTTTTACAAGGTTCTCACCTATGAATTCAAAGTTTAACCTGATAGCATAAAATATAAAATTACTCCTTACTGTCTCCAGCGGGTCTGGATATCTAAACAACCTCAAAATTGCAGAAGAGTAAAAGATATTATTTTGTAACCCACAAAGTGCTGAGAGATCCATCTAGAAATTATGCCCCCAGACTAAAAATTTCCAGCTATGCCCACAAATCATAGACAAAAGGCCATGTGGTATTTGTCCATTTTAAACACCACAGTATACAATTACCACAGTTAAGTTTCAGCATAATTTTTTGGGCGAGTACAAATTCCACTTTTCAGACATCTACAGAAGTAAGATTATGAAGTTCTATTAAGAGGAAGTATCCAATAGATTCTTTATTGGCACACTAGACAGCTTGTCAATGTGTTTTTTGAAAACTCACCTAAGAAACAATGAAAGGATTAAATAAATCCCAGATGGGAGCAGAGTCAATCCTTTCAGAGCAGTCTCAAGGGCCTGATTTTCTAAATGAAATCTTGCCAAGTTTAAAATATCATTGTTCCCATCTTGGGCTAGCTTTGGAAAAAAACATCTTCCACAGGGCAGAGAACTGCCTCCCCTAGGGAAGCTTTTAGAGGATAAAGGGGGATTAACATGTCCACTTCATGTGGACATCTACAAATTTCTCTCATTTACGTATCTCCTCCAGCTGTCTAGCTGCTTGCTGATTATGTGCACTATCAAAAATCAGAAAGAATGTGGATTATCTACAAGGACAGAGCCTCACAAACAGGTTTTAAATTTTATTCCCTGCTTTAGATAGTAAGATTCAAATGAAGTAACTCAAAATGGTTCATTCATGACCCTCTTTTCAAAATGGTCATGAGATAAGACGAGAACCTGAAGAAGCTCCAAGAATCTTTGGATTCCTTAGGTGAGGAAGAAAATTCTTCTTAGTCTTCATGAACTCAAATCAACCTCAGAATTCCATACAGTGTTAAGGAAACATAAAGGGAGTCTAAAAATGTTCTAAAAATATAAGCAAAATATGGTATTAGCTGATTGATTGTTGTCCCAATTACAATTAAATAAAAAATAATGACATGGAAGGCTTTGAGAGCAATGTCAAAGCCTCTCTGCTTCGCCTTCACACCAGTGGGTAGTGGTTTGTTAAGAGACAACAACACAAAGACAGCAAAATGGAAAATTGATTCCATCTTACGAAGCTTGAACACCAGGTTCCAAACTTTAAAGCATTGGATTGGTGCATCCAGTGGGAAAACACAAATATTAAAATGTTTTAGAAAAGTAAAAGATAAAGAAATATCACATAGCTTATGTTATTTGGCCATAAGCATTTAATTGTTTTAACTTTTCAATTGATTTTATGTTGTTTTTGCAGGTACATATATTCTCTGAGATCTACTTTCCCTATACTGGGTGCTCCTCTTTCCACACTTAACCCCCTCCTCCATTTTGCAGACTCTATCAGTTTGCTCAGGCTGCCAAGGCAAAATGATTTTGACAACAGAACTTTATTTTCTCAGAGTTCTGGAGGCTGGAGTCCAGGATCAAAGTGTCAGCAGAGTTGGATTCTCCTGAGGTCCCTGTCCTTAGCTTGCAGACAGCCACCCTCTTGTTGCCTCTTCACATGGCCGCCTTTTGTGCATGCATGTTCCTGGTGTCTCTTTCACTTCCTAAAAGGACACCAGTCATATTGGATTAAGTTCCCACTCTAAGGGCCTCATTTTAACTTAAACTCCTCTTTAAAGACCTTACCATTAAATACAGTGACATTCTGAGATATTGGGGGTTAAGACATCAAATTGTGAATTTTGCAGACACATGATTTAGCTCATAACACAGACCATGAGTACAGAGGATTTATTTCTCCCTATCTTGACAACAACAGCATCTTCATGTAAGGTGTCCTTCTCAACTCTAAGAAATGTCCTTGTTGAAGCTTTGTTTGAATGTCTATCAACAACACAATCACTTGTCAAATCTTCACAATCTGACTTGAAGCAACACTGTATAAATAAAATACCTCTTTCCAAAACTGTCAATAAACTTCTTCAGCCAAAATCAAAGGCCATTTTTTTCATTCTATCTTTCCTGGTTCAGTCTGTAGCACTGCACACCATCACTGCCACCTCTGATTGAAAATATGATCCTTCCTTAATGACCATGGCTTTATACTCCACAGAACTCTTTGTTATTCCTTCTCCTAATTTTGCTTCTCTGAGGTCCAGATTCACTCGTCTGGCCTGTTCCTTCCCCATTAATCTTAAGAAAATCTTGTCCCTTTAAGTAACTCAATCATCGCCTTTTTCACAAGTGACCCTGCAGTGACATCTCCAGACTTGAATTGCCTCAGAACTTGGGTCTTTTACATCCAACTTGAAGCTCTTCATCTTCAATTTTCTCAACTGGAACTCAGCATATGCAACATCACATTCCTCTTTCATTCAAACTAGCGCCCTTTCTTGCACTCTTTCTCTGCTTCCCTGTAGGACACTCAGCTCAAAGCCTGGCATTACCACTGGTCACTCATTAATGTATTATCCAAGTATTTACTGAACCTCTGCTGGGAAGCAGACAATGTGCTAACCAAGGCAGATATCTGTGAATGAAACGTGCATAGTTCTCAGCTTTGCAATTGCTCTTGGTCCAGGCAAACACCTCTCTCTTTGATGCTCCATAGCCTGTCACTAAATTCTATAAATCCTCCTTCTAAACATCATGCAGGCTCATCTCTACTTTTTAAAAATTTCTTGCTGCCAAAATCAATGTCTCGTTTCTCAATACATCAGTTTTTATCACACTGAGATTGCTGTAATAACCTCTAAACTGATCCTATGCCCCTAATTTCCATTTTACTTGATCCTTACCACCCAATCTCTGTAGAATATCACGGCAATACTAACCTTTAACTACTAGTATTATCACTGTCACTTCCTGCAGAAAATCATCAGTGATTGTGCTTGCCCTCTTAAAAATAAAATCCAAACTTCAGATCTGGGGAAATGGGAAGAAACATGTAGGTGTGAGTTATTATTTTATTACTTAAAAGCTTTATGTTCCCAGGAAAGTCACTTACCATCTCTGGGCCTGTTTCCCTAGTTGAAATATTAGTATTAAAATTGGTAACTAGCTCATGAATTATTTAAATTATAATTCAAGGCCAGATGCAATAGCTCACACCTGTAATCCTAGCACTCACTTTAGGAGGCCGAGGCAGGCAGATCACCTGAGCTCAGAAGTTTGAGACGAGGCTGGGCAACATGGTAAAACCCCATGTCTACCAAAAATCTAAAAATTAGCTGGGCATGGTGCATGTTCCTGTAGTGTCAGCTACTTTGGAAGTTGAGTTGGGAGGGTTTGAGCCTGGGAGGTGGAGGGTGCAGTAACCCGAGATCGCAGGACTGCACTCCAGCCTGGGAGATAGAGCCAGATCTTATCTAAAATTAAATAAATAAATAAATAAATAAATAAATAATTCAACAGTGATGCTTAGAGGATATTTTCCAAACTTCAGAATGTACTGTATTTATGTAGGAGTCTTTCTCTAACTCAACACTCTGAATTTTTACAAGATTCTCACTTATAAATTCAAAGTTCTACTTGGTATTATAAAATATAAAATTACTCCTTACTTTCCCCAGTGGGCCTGGATAATATCTCAACAATCTCAAATTTGCTGGGGAGTTTGTAACCCCAAAAGTGCTAGGAGATCCATCTTGAAGTTTCACATCTGGCCTAGAATTTCCAGGTATGCCCACAAATTATAGACAAAAGGCAAAATGGTATTTGTCCATTTTAAACATATAGTGTGCATAGCTCACAGGGTTGTTATGAAGGATACTGGCACACACTATTGCTACTGCCACCACCACCTGGTCTATCAGCTAATGTTTATGAAGTACCTAATATGCCAAGCACTGTGATTATTATTGCTCATTTAATCTTCAGTCTGTACACTAACTGTGTGACCTTGGGGCAAGTTTCTTAACCATTCAATGGCTCAGGTGTTTTTATTTTCAAAACTAGGTGTTATAAAGAATGAATGTGATTTATGCAAAAATTACAGTGCCTGGCACAGAGTCAGTTCTCAGAAATGGCACTATGACTCTTACTCAGGACTACTCATTGTAACTCTTTGATAGAAACTATAAAAATAAGGGTCTCACAAGTGTAGCCATCTCCTACTTTCTAAGCTGGATTGGTGACCTGTCAGCAAGAAGGAATTGTGTCTTATATTGGTTTATTTTCTTAACAGGAGCAAACAACATAGAAAACCATTCCTCAATAAATGACAAAGGATGAATCACTAGGTAAAACTGTTATCTATAAAAGTACACATACTTTATATGAAATTATGCTCCAGAAAATTTCCTAGAGTGGCTTTTCTTCTCTGGTTTATATTACACTTGGCCTTTTTCCTTACATAACATAGTGAAATTATTTAATTCTAGTCTTATTATTGTAGTGATAAAGATCATCTAAGCTTATTTAAAACCATAAATATTCCTCTTATCACCCCTCCCAAGAGAAAATTAGCATTTTAGGAGAAAAATAAACCTATAGGGAAAAAAACCCCTCGGTTTTGTTCCAAGAATGTCTTGTAAAGATTTAGATTCTACTTGAATTCAGTACATAACCAGAGATTCCATATGGGTTAATGAGTACCAGAATTAAAGCTAATTAAGATTCTGTCTCTTTTTCAGAAAATAAAATGGATTCAGCATAATTCAGTCTTCCAAATCTTTTATTGATATAATTACTAAATGCAAATATTTATGAATTGCACAGGCAGTGTTCAGTATTATTTAAAATAGCAAAGAGCTATTGCTGCAGCAAAGGAAAGAAGGGAATAGAACATCAAAAGCTTCCCACAGATCATTTGCTCACCATGTTTATGTGAGAAATAATCAGAATATGAGGTGTGCCCCTATTAATGGACTCATCACTCTGAAGTGGTTCCAAGGTCAACATGTTCACATTGCTTTTCAGCTGAATAGAAAATGTAATAAAAGAATGTTTTTGTCTATCCCATTTTACACACACACGTGCACATACGTATATATCGCCTTAGAAAAAATATATATCTTTTGAATAAATACGGGTCCTTTCTGCCCTGGATAACATTCTTTTCCTCAAATTAACGAAAAGAGAACTGAATATATTTCTTTAAAAGGGAACTGAATTTATTCCTTTCCTCTTTCAGTATCTTTCAAAGAACTATATCCTTGTGATATTTTTGTCAACAAATTATAAAGCTGAAATTCTTGTCAGTAATTCTTCAGTTTTATTTCCCCGTGTTAACTTCTAATTAACCAAATTTAAAATTAAACTTCTTATGCGAACCTCTATGTAGACACCTACAATGTAAAACAGATCATAGCAATAGTGCTCAAATCAAAGCTTCCTTTGGAGTGGGAGTGCTGAACTGTCGCTACTCTCCCCCACCACAACCCACCCCCACGTCCAGTCAGGAAGAATCCCTATGGAACCCTGGGGACCATAGAACCCCACTTAAATACCTTCAAGTTTGAAACTATATTTTTCTGGTTGTTGAACACAACCTTCAAAGTTATGATGTCATTTGGTAGAGTCTGAGAGGTAAATTACAAATTATACAGTTGAACTTCATCCCTTTGCCAATATCCTGCACTTCAGCTGACATTAGCTCTGTTGGAAAGCCACAGCCCTCTGCTGGTATGTGTGTACCCTGCAGCCAGCTAATCCTCCCTAAATAGTTTCTGTAATTACTGATCATAAGTGATCACTCCCTTTTCGTGGACTTGTGCAGGTTGTTTTTAGACTCTCCAAAGTCAACCTTTTCATTTATCTTTATTCTTAATGCCATTTATTAAACTTGGCCCCTATTTCAATTTATTCAGGTCACTTGAGACCATATTTCAGCCACCGAGGATATTCATTTACCCTGTAACCTAATTTCATTTACTAGATTGATGAGGTTAACTTCTTTAACATAGAGCACATCCCACGTCCCACATCCCATCTTATGCCTACTGAATCATAATCTCCAATGGCACATCCAAACAACTATTTTTTTACATTCTTCTCAGATGACTCAGATCCACTCCTAAATACAAACCACTTCTAGAAGTCTTAATAATACAAGTAGTTGGTGGCAGTGAATAGGTCAGGACCAAGGACAGAGACCATCAACACTCCAGTTGATTTTAATCCATAATTTATACTGGATAATTCAACCAATTAAGAATTCACTGACTCTATCCTCTTCTAACTTACTTTTACTCTTGGGTAACTTCATCTAAACTCTTACTTGCATCCAGATATAACTGTTTACAATGTTTTTGACTATTCGAAGCCAAATTTTAAAAAAAGAAATAGCAAAATTGATACTTCTAGTATGACTTCTTCTTTCTCCATGAGCTCATAAGCACTCTATCTATTTGAGTATTTGTCCTACAATTTGGCTGTGAATTGACATTAAGCTCCTGAACCTATATGTTGTTGTATCCACTTATCTCATTACCCCACCTTTTTAAAAGCATCACCAATATCTGAGCAAATTGAAAATCTCTCTTAATACCTTGCACAAAAGTGAAATTTATTCAGAATAAGATAAATGAACTGATTTATATTTCTGCCTTTCCATCTTTATGAAGCTTCAATATTTTTAGAAGTGGTATGTTTTATATTTCTAGACCAGTGGCCACTCTCTTTGACAGGATAAATAGAAAACATGAGTTTGGTGTAGGAAAGATTTTGCAGATAGTAACTCCAGTATTATTGTTAGTCAATACTATTTGTTAATATTTTCTCACCCTTCTACATCAGGGGATCTGCATCGTCAGGGGTAGCAGGGACAATAGAAGTAATAAGGTTGTGGTGATAAATTTCCTTTTCATACTTAATATTCTTCCTCATTATCATGCACAATTTTATAATTATGCAAGCAATGAATCCTTTTGGGAGGTTATAAAAAGAGTCTGGGCAGAAGGAAATGGTATTATATGAGTCTTATAGCACTTTCACTGTAACCTGAAAGTATGAACATTCTAGGGTTGTGTTCTTAGTATCTAGACAGTACCTGGCACTAGTGAGATTCGAGTAATATTTCAATGAATAACCAAATAAATTACCACATGAGTAAAGAACAGCTCATCTCATTTAATCCAAGTAATTACCCCATGAATTAGTTATCTTTCTTTATCTGACAGAGAAGAAAACGAGGATCAGAGATGTTTAGTGACTTGCCTAAGATCACACAGAGTCAATGTCAGAGCAACAACCCAAACCTACGTGTTTCAGCTGCCAGATCATGAATACATTTCCTCTTGTTCTAAACTGAGTTATCACCAGTATTGAGTTTGCTTCGTGGTTCAGCCACCTACCAGCTATAGATCTTGAGAAAGTCTCAGAAGCTCTCAGAGACAATTCTTCTCACTTAAAAGGAAGAAATATATGTTACCAGCCTTGCTGATCCTGAAAGGTGGTTTTAACATGCAAGAGAGATTATGCATAAATTGTGAAGTACAGTCAAACCTGAGGAATTATTATTATTTTTTCTGAAATCTTCCCTAGAAGAAAACAATTAATTTAAAAGGCTGATAACATTAAGAGGCTGATATTTTCTACTGAAACATATGCCGGGCAAAGTAAAAAATTTTAAAATGACAGCACCAAATAGCAATAAGGTAAGTGGTAATTATGGGAAATAATGCTGGCTTCCAATAGTAAGGTACACAAGAACATTATTCTAAATGGTACAAAACCCAAAAGTACTATTTGCTACCATGTAGATTATTTGCATAAGAATATTACAGACATTCTACTTACTACAGTTCAGTCTCCATATTCCTGCAATTGTTTGGATAATTCTAGTGGTGGTGGCAGTCTCCTTCCTCAGGAATCATTTAGATAATGGTTTTTGCTCTCCATGAAATTTTTTCTTATTATATGTCTAGTAAAAGACTGAAGGTATAGAGCAATTTTAGAATCAAGGTACTAAAAGGAACAGATTTTGGAAAGTAGGATCAACATATTGGCATCTTTGGATAGAGGCTGAGATCTCTGCTCATTATTTCAGTGTCAGCATGAAAGGCCTCTTCTCATGGAAGCCTTTCCTAATACCCACCCTAATAAAGTTAGGTTAGGCCTCCCTGTCAGCATGCAGTACTTTCACCCTATAGCATTAATCACAACTGTGATTATACAGTCATTGCTATATAATTATTCAGTGTTAGTCCACCAGACTCTAAGATCCTTGAAGATAAAGGTTACTTTACTTGCTCACTTTTCTTTTCCTAGGGCTTAGTGTTGGGCTTGGCAACATGGTAGGCTCCATTTTTTTTTCTTAATAAACCCATCCATGAAGCTAGAATAGAGAGATTATTGTACTATTTATCTTAGGAAACCTGTTTCCTAACATGGTGCCTGTCACTTAGTGGTTGCTCATATGAGAAAAAGACAGTTAAAACTTCCTGTTTGGGTCAGGATAGGCTTGAATATACTGCAGTAGCAAAACAAAAACAAAAGCAAAAACAAACAAACAACAACAACAAAACACACCAAATCTGATTAGTTTTAAAACAACAGAGGTTTATTTCTCACTCATGTTGTATGTCCATCACATGCTAGGCTAGTTTTTCTTCACGCACACATTCAGAGACACAGAGTGAGCATGGCTTCACCATCTGAACATCTCTGGTTATGGCAGGAGGGGGAAGATGGCAGGGAGATAATGCACCAGCCCTTAAATGGTCCTGTATGAAGGAGCATGTATCACTCTCACATTTTATTGGCCATAACTGGCCAATTGGCTACACCTAAAACCAAAGGGATAGAGAATGGAATTCCTTCTATAATTAATTAAATAATTGCATATGGGCAAACATTAAAAATATTTAATCTATCCTCAAAAATATTCTAATAATATTAGCTATTTTTTCAGGAGTTGCCCCATAAGGCCACCAATTTCTTATTTTACAGGACAATACAATGTTTGTGTATACTCATGCATATATATATATGTGTGTAGAAATATGTATATATATATTTGTAGAAATATTTGACTGAAGTCTTAAGTTAATTAGCACCCTATAATAACTATAACTGCAATCACAGCTATCATCTGTATGTACTATGCGGCCCATATCACCCTCACAATAATCTTATGAGGAGGTAATATAAACTGAACACCTGTTGTGTTGGCTTTATATCCCCCCCTCCTTTTTTTTTTTTTTTTTTGGAGACAGAGTCTCGCTCTGTCACCCAGGCTGGAGCGCAGTGGTGCAATCTCTGCTCACTGCAAGCTCCGCCTCCCGGGTTCACACCATTCTCTTGCCTCAGCCTCCTGAGTAGCTGCGACTACAGGAGCCCGCCACCATGCCCAGCTAATTTTTTGTATTTTTTTTTAGTAGAGATGGGGTTTCACCATGTACCTTGTTGGCCAGGATGGTCTTGATCTACTGACCTTGTGATCCACCCACCTTGGCCTCCCAAAGTGCTGGGATTACAGGCGTGAGCCACCGAGCCTGGCCTATATCCATTTTTCCTTCTCCTGGTAAGACCACTCTAAGCTACCTTCAGGGAACCACAATTCCTTCATTGCACACCATCCTGCAGGTGTAATTTTAACAGAAACTTACCTTGCCCTGATCAAGATGGGCATATAACCCAGCATAGGCCATTGAGACTCTTGGAGATTTTCAAGATTCTGAATCTCCTGGATATTTCCAAATCACTAAGAAATGAAATGTAAAAGATAGTTGCAACTGTATACCTCAGTAGTGACATTATAATATAGTCATTAATTTATTCCGATATTTATCGATTGTCCATTACGTGCAGGAAGCCATCTGGTATTTCAGCAATGTACCAAATACATGTATCTCCTGCCTTCATGGAGTTTACATTCTAATGATTAAACAGACAATAGACGCAAACACACACACATCATGGGTGATCTTGGATAGCAATAAGTGTTATGGACAAGAATGTAAGGAGTTAGAAAATATGGTGAAAAGATATATAGGGGGAATATCTTAGGTAGTGCAGTCAGTAATGCTCCTTAAGGGGGCACTCTGCATCTGAATGAAGTGAGGAAGTCAGCTATGTGAATATCAGTGGCCAGACAGTGTTCTAGGCCAAGGGGAGTTAGAAAATACCAAGACCCTAAGATGGAAATGAACTAGTATGTTCAAAGAACATCAAGGAGGTTAATGTGCCAAGCAAGGGGTGGAATGCTACGTAAGGAGTTTGGAGATGTAGCTAGTGTCCAGATGATATTGTGTCTTATAGGCCAAGATCAAGACACTGGGTTTTACTTTTAACGTAATAGAAAGTCATTAGAGGGAGCAAGAAGGCTAGACATGCTTTAATTTTATTTTTGAAATAATTCCTCTGGCTGTCATGTGCAGCACAGCTTTGAGACAGGAACAATGGTTGAAACAGGGAGAAGAGAAAATAAGTCATCACAATGGTCCAGTTAAGATAGGAGGGCTCTTGGTTGGCAGTCCATTGTGGGAGGTGAGCAGTGGTCAGAATCAGGGTATAAGTTTGAAGGGATCATGGGAAGAATTTGCTGATGGACTGAACATGGTGTGTGAGAAAAAGAGAGTGAAGATGTCTCCGAGATTTTGGGCTACAATAACTGGGTGAAAGGGTGTATGTTTACAAGAATAGAGGCTGCTGGAGTTTGGAGAGATAATTACATATTTTATTTTGTAAATATTAATCTGAGACACTTATGATCCATTTTGGTGGAGATGTCACACAGAAGTTTGATGCATAAGTCTAGATTTTCAGGAGAAAAGCAGTGGCTGTGATGTATGTTTGAGAATCAGATGAGACTGGCTATAAATCGCCTCTTGATAAACCACTAGGGCTGCTTGATTCTGATTCTTTCTGAGTCTATTTCTTTAGATTTTTATTGAACCTGCAAGCTACCCATAACTTCAAATAAATTCTTACATTTACCAAAGTTATTTTATGTTGTTTATAGCCAAAGACACTAATGAATGTTATTATTATTTCCACCATATCAATATGGAGACTGAGGTTCAGAGATGTTAGGAAACTTGACTAGAATCACAAAGATAATAAGGGGCAGAGCTGGGACTTGAGGCCAGATCTGTTTGTAAGATACCTCCTGTTTAAAGTCAGAATACTACAGAGCTGCTGCCTGCATTGTCTCCTTAACAAGAAAGCTCCAAAAGTCTGGGGCCATGGAGTACTGCTCAAAGTGACCTCACAGTGGCAAGAAAAGGCAGGAGAGAGAGGCACAGACTTCAAATGGAAAAGGGCATCTCTCTGGGAGTGCTAGCAGTTGCCAACCTTAAATTTCAGGAGGCATCTCAAAGTAACAGAGAATTTGCTTTTTATTTTCTGGTAGCACAGTGTGATTTTACACTGAGCCTTTGTTGCAATGTGCAAACAACTCAACTCTTGGTTAAGTTCTCCTAACGGTAGTGTGGTTGGGTTGATAAGGTGAGGGGAAGCTGTTATTCTGTGAGTGGTACAGAAATTTAATTCACATTCAAATTCTCTCATGCAGGTAAAGTCTCCTGTTTGGAGAATCTGGTCAGATTTATCTACATGATATCAAAAACATGGTCCTGTGAATTCCTTATTTAAGGTCAGCCTCCCCTTAGGTCCTTACCTAGAAAGAGGAAGGTGCTTCTCTTGCTCACTCCCATGCTCCCCAGAGCCCAGCACAGTTTCTGGTACTCAGTAGAAGTTTAATACACATATTTTGAAAAAATACATGGAAAATATTTAAATTTCTTAATAAAAAGTAAAACGTTTCAACAATACTTAGTATCATTAAAAAATAATGGAAGACTATTAATTGGTATTATAAGAATTTTACTCTAGAGACTCAGGGAAGAAGAGGATTTTAAAGTGGAAGAGGCGGATTTTAAAGTGCTTATGTTCAACAGTTCTAATGTCAGACTGCCTGGGTTACTATCCTAGCTCAGCCACAAACTAGCTATGCCAGTTCAGGAGAGAATCTTAACTAGGATTAGTTTCCTTATCTATAAAATGAGGACAATAGTAGAACCTACCTTAGAGTTCTGTTTTGAGGATTAAGATAATACATGTGAAATATCTAGATGAGTGCATAGAACATAGTATGTGTTAATTAAACTTCAGTTCTAATTAATGTTGCAGTCCCTCCACGCAACTGAACAATGTCCTCATTCTTAGGTTTTTTTTTTTCATGTATTATGAGGATATATAGAATAATAGCTCCCTAAAGATGTTCATGTTCTAATCCCTGAAAGCTGTGAACCTGTTACCTTACATGGCAAAACTGAGTTTGCCGATGTGATTAAGTAAAGGATCTTGAGATGAGAGATGATTCTGGCTTATCCAGGTGGACTCAATGTTATCACCTGTCCTTATTAGAAGAAGCAGGAAGTCAGAGCTAGAGAAGGGGATGTGATGACAAAAGCAGAGATTGGAGCCATGCAAGGAAGGGGCCATGAGCCAAGAAGTGCAGGCAGCCTCTAGAACCTGGAAAATGCAAAGAAATAGATTCTCCCTTAGAGTCTCCAAAAGGATCACAGCCCCGTGAACACCTGCATTTTAGGATTCTGGCCTCCAGAACTGTAAAATAATTAATTTGTGTTGTTTTAAGCCACTAAGTTTGTGGTAATTTGTTACAGCACACACAGGAAATGAATTCATCATTCAACAGCCATTTGTTGATTGCTTCCTAGGTGTAACAAGATGTGTAACACCCAGTGCCCAATCTCAAGGAGCTTACCATTGAATGTGGCACCCTATACTGCAAAAAGCTGTCATAGCACAGATTTTACGCGAATGAATCACTCCTCAACCCTCAATTCTGTTTATTTGCAAGAAAAGATTTTCCTTTTTCTTTAGTACAACTTTTTCCTACACTATAAGATGACAATTAAATGCTACTCCTTCCCGGAAAAATGTGGCTGTGTCACAAAGTGAATGGAGATGTCAGGTTGCCAATACATTCAGTCATAATGAAGTATAGGGAAGTTTTAATTCATGTAAGCATAATCTCCTTAGATGCTAATCAAAATGCAGATCCCTGGGCCTCAAATAGACTAATTGAATCTGAATTTTAGGAGTAAGGCCCAAGAATATGCATTTTATAAAGCCCACAGGTGATTCATGTACACACTTAATAGTTAAATCTCCTGAGTCTCAGAACCTAGAAAACTCCTACCTCCCTCTCCCCTGAACAGACACACAGACACCTATGCTCTGCCAATGAGAATCCAGCAGGCAGGGAATGGGGATTCTTGTGGCCTGGTAGATGAGTTAAAAGAAGGAACTCAGTGGGGAAATGCTTTATCTAGTTGTCCAAAAGACCTGATGGATAAAAGCTACATAAAAATGTGACGTCCTTAGCTACTGAGGGAAACCAAAGACTCATGGCTAGCTGAGATGGAAGAAAAGCAGCATCACTGAAGGGTAAAAACCATTCGAATGTCAGGACATTGATTATTCTTCAAAAGAGAGAAAAAAAGAGAGAGAAAGGCCATGCTCCAGGGCACAAATGGAGATTCCTGAGATGTTGGTAAGGGGACGTCTGGGGTGGGAGGGGTCTCTGGTCTCAAGCAGGGATAGTGTGAGCACCAGAGCAGCTGTGGAGCTCACCTTACACGTACAGCGATGAACAGGGATAGCAAATGGGCCCCAGGACTCTGATAAAGCTGAGAAACCCAACTCCAATTCCAGGTATGTGAGAAGCTAGGGCACTAATGTTTAGCATTAAGTAAAGGATCACAAAGAGTAACAAAGATTTGTAATAATTATTGTCATCATCTGTGGAGCATTCAGCATTTTTCATGTGAGGAATGGAAGGCTAAGAGTGGTTAAATATGTCGCCCAAGTTCATATAACTAGAAGAAACAGGCAAGATTACAGCCTGGATATTTTGCTTCTAGAGCCAGCCTGCTTAACTTCTGTATTGTAATACTGGACTTCAGATTTGCTCACATATATTGACTTATTGCTTTGTTTTATTTGCCTTCATCGTTGAGAAAAATTCTTCCTTTTCCATTTCTAAAGCTGCCTATAAGTTTGTGTCAGGGAAATATGTTTCACATTCAATAAACATTAACTGAGTACCTAGTATGTGCCAGGAACATATAGACATGGGGACCGGAAAGGTGAGTGTGACCATTTGGCTTTCTTAGTTTCATAGGAAAAGAGCAATGATGACAATAATAAATGCAATGAGTTATTTGAGGGCACAGAGAACTGAGGAGGGCACTGACCCAGTCTGGGATTCAGGGAAGACACCACTGCTGACTGACCTTGAGCAAATTGTTTAATCTGTCTCTCTGTTTTATTCCCTCATCTGTAACAGAGGTAATGACAACAGAATCTTAATAGGGTCATTGTGAGGATTAACTAAGATAGAATTTGTGAAGCACTTACCATACTGTCTAACACATAATGAGTGTTTAATAAATGCCATGATATTGGTGGACACCTTGAATAAAGGCCCAAGGAACACCATAGAAGTTGTCCAAGTAGACTGTGGTGGTTAACACATTCTTGATGCCTTCTGATCCCAGGATTATTTGGTAAGATAAGCTCCAATCAAGCTTCCTCACCCCAGGTACTGTACTAACTGCTGGAAAGTACAGCGAACATGGCCTTCATGCCAAGTTGATGGAGCTTCTGGACTTCCACAAAGGACAGACAGTGAAAAAAAATTTAAAGTATAAGTAGTAAGAGGAGAAGAATGAGCCATCTTAGGATGAACAACATGATGTCTTATTCCCTGAGGAGATGAGCTTGAGCTAAGGCCAAGGATGAGTAGGAGGGAATGTGGAATTCCAAAGACTGAAAAGGGGCAGAGAAGATCACAGGCAGAGAAACCACATCATATCTGCACTAAAGACTCTGAAGCAGATGTGAGTTTCCAAGACACTCATAATCAAACAATACCAACACAGGGTTACAGCTGTAACAAGTGCTGTTAAGAGAACGTGTGCAATGAGGAACTGATAAGTTATTTTCCAGCTCAGACATGGTGGATGAGTCAAAGTTAACTAGGTGGAGAGCAAAGGGGAGAGGGAGAGGGAGGCCCAGGCACTGGCAAAGGCTGTGTGGCAGAGAAGGGGGCTGAGCACTGGCTGGGGGGGCCAGAGTACTGAAGCACTGGGAGGTGACGGAGAATGGGAGGGCATGGAGGATGAAAACGAAAGCAGGGACCGGTGCATCAGAAGTTATAGGGAAGATTCAGAACCTTTAAGATTTCTGAAAGTGGTAGGAGTCATTTGGGATTTCATGCAGGTGAATAGTATGTTCAAAATTGCATTTTCAAAGGATAACTCTGGCTGGTGAGTGTGAAATGTGAAGTAGGACCATGAGGACGTGGAACAATCAGTGGGAAAGCCATTACCAATGGCACTTACCCTAGCTCTGGAAATCTGAATGACCTGGAAGTTGGGGTGTTGGGTCCTTCAGTAGCCTCTAGTAGATGCTGGTCTTAATCTCACTGCAGCAGACTCTGATGTCAAACATTGGGTGAAATCGAATCAATTGCCCTGGGACTTTTTTTTTTTTTTTTGACAGGGTCTCACTCTGTCACCCAGGCTGGAGTGCAGTGGCATGATCTTGGCTCACCGCAACCTCCACCTCCAAGGCTGAAGCCATTCTCTGCCCTCAGCCTCCTGAATAGCTGGGACTACAGGTGTGTGCCACCATGCCCGGCTAATTTTTGTATTTTTAGTAGAGACGGGGTTTTACCATGTTGGCCAGGCTGGTTTTGAACTCCTGACATCAAATGATCCACCTGCCTTGGCCTCCCAAAGTGCTGGGATTATAGGCATGAGCCACCATTCCTGGCCTGCTCTGGGACTTTAGGTAAGATACTCTTCATTTGTTGAACTTCTGTTTCTTTATTTGCAAAAGGCAAAGCATACGTACTCCCCAGCTTTGCTACAAAGATCAAATTAGATAATACATGTGAAAGTGCTCAACAAATTCTGATAGTGGTTACTATAAAGATGCATGTCAGTAGCTCATAAAGCAGGCTCTATTCTGCCTGAAGATGCAAATGATCATTTCTGCAGTATTTTCTACACTCAGAAGACATTTGAACAAGAATAATGATGAAAAGCAAGAGTTGATATAGTATTTACTATGTCAGGCGTCTTTGTAAGAACACAACATACATTAATATATTTAATTCTCAAAATAACCCTCTGTTACATGCACACTTCACTTCTCCCTTTATCTACTCCCTTTGCCTTGTGAGTTTGAAGTTCTTCCTACTAAGGGATCCAAGGATACTTCTCATGTGCTTCCACTTGCCCTTGTTATGTCTTTGCCATCACCATGAGAAGAGCATCTTTACTAGTCTGTTGGTTCAAAGAGGACAAGGGACTTGCAAAGCAAACTCTAACCTGCAGTTAGGTTTGACATTCATGATGAATTATAAAGGCTTTGCCCACACAGCCCTAAAGTGGAGGTTTGGAAATTAGCCAGCAGTTGGATCATGATGTGGACGGATCCACTGGATGATTCAGGAAAGCAAACCCTTACCCTGCAGTTAGGGTTTGCTTTACAGAGCCAGCCCAGCAAAGCTCAGAGTGGTCCACTGAAATCCCAGTTGCCCCTTATTTATGCAAGCAATAGCAAATGATCATTGTTTTGATGTTCTGAATTTTAAGGTGGCTTGTTATGCAGCATTTTGTGGTAATCACTAATGAATGTACTCTATAAGACAGTTATTATTATTAATGCTCATGTTATTTGTGAGGAAACTCAAGCATAGAGAGGTTCTTCAGCAACTTGTTTAAGTTCTCTGGCAGCTTAATAAGTGTCAGAGCTGGGATATGAACCCAGACAGCCAGATTTCAGAATCTGTGTTTCTCCCTTTCATACATACAGCCTCCTAAGGAAACCAAGTCCTTCACATTTAAAGCATTAGTTGATCCAAAAGCAACACAAAGCTTGAAGTGCAAATAAATGAAAAACAAGTATCTGACAGCACTATATTTTTGTGCATTAAAATTCACACAAAAATTGGATATCATCTCACAAAGAAAATGTCTGTGCATGGAATCTTATCATATCATCACTCCTAACATTAAGAAGCCTGCTTCATTTGCCTAGCTGGAGGTGTTAACAGCTGAAAACGATGTAAAACTTAAGTTTTATAAGTGGAGGGGACAGTTTGCTTAAAGTGGCACTTGCAAGAGGAGGATCGGAATCATCAGTGAGTCAGGCAGGACTGTGACTGCCTAGGACCTGAATCATCCGACTGATCTGTCCACATCACGATTCAACTACTGGCTAATTCCCGAATCTCCACTTTAGGGCTGTGTGGACAAAGCCTTTTTAATTCATCATGAATGCCCCAAAAGCCCAGAATGTGATGCTTAAAACATAGTAGGTGTCAAGCCAAAGTCAGAGTTTCCAATTTAGCAGGTGGCCTGTGGCATCACTCATTCTAGGCAGCTTCACTAGATCCCCCTCCCTGTGGAAGAAGATAAATAAGGGAGATCCATCCCATTCCTAGGAAAGACATTGTAATTACTGTGGGCTGATAGCAACCCCTTACTCCTCTGAATTCCTGTAACACTCTATTTGTGTTTTTCTTACAAAATTATCCTCTCCTGTTTATCAGTGTATCACCAGTGCCTTGCACACTGCCTGGCACTTGGCAGATGCCAAGCAACTCTGTGTTAATGAATGAGCAAGTAGTCTGTACTGAGAGACAAAGAACCTGGAATGGAGTTGCTCTCCAGATTGCAGTGTCTTGTAAAGATTCTCCACCATCTTTACATAATATATACAATTATTATTTGTCAATTAAAATAAAGTTAAAAAGACAAAGTGATATGGTTTAGCTCTGTCCCCACTCAAATCTCATGTTGAATTATGGCTCCCATAATTCCCACATGTCATGGGAGGGACCCGGTGGGAGGTAATTGAATCATGGGGGCAGGTCTTTCCGGTGCTGTTCTCATGATAGTGAATAAGTCTTAGGAGATATGATGGTTTAACAAAGGGGAGCTCCCCTACACATGCTTTCTTGTCTGCCACCATGCAAGACATCCCTTTGTTCTTCCTTTGTCTTCCCCCGTGATTGTGAAGCCTCTTCAGCCATGTGGAACTGTGAGTCAATTAAACCTCTTTCCTTTATAGATTACCCAGTCTCGGGTATTTATTTATTAGCAGCATGAAATGGACTAATACATAAAGGATTCTCCATTGTTTCTGCAAACCTAGGTGCCTGAAGTATATTTGGGTCTTGTTCATCAATGTCCCCTTTTTTCTATTTGCTTCCCAGTTGCCTTTTAACAAATTCTCTGTTTACATCAGTTAGCTGGAACTGAATTCTGTTGCTTGTAGACATAGAACCTTAACAGATAAATAAGTGTTTTCCCAAGAGGTGATCTGTGGACTACTTGCATCTGAACCATCGAGCTTTATGATACTGATCCACAGTCCTCACTATAGGCCTCTAAATCAGATTTTCCAGCCGAATCTGCCGGTTTGAAAAGCTCCTCAGGAGATTCTTTTATTCACTTCGAGAACTGGGTGAGAGGATTTTCAAGAATCCTTCCCACATTAAAATTCTA
Organism: Homo sapiens; assembly: GCF_000001405.40. Taxonomy (NCBI): domain Eukaryota; kingdom Metazoa; phylum Chordata; class Mammalia; order Primates; family Hominidae; genus Homo; species Homo sapiens. Next base: position 63,352,254 of record NC_000003.12, on the reverse strand, counting down.
AAATTGTACAGGAAAAAAAAAGAACAGCTCCTTGCAAGCCTTCAAGTCTTGATGATCAACTCCTGCTCACCTCTTTGGCCGCATTTCCTATCCCTCTCCCCTCAGTGCACACCACACCCCAGCTTTACTGGCATTCTCTCTGTTTCCACCCCAGGACCTTTGGACTTACTGTCCTCTCAGCCTGGCACTCCCTCCAAGGTCTTCACAGGGCTGGCTTCTTCCTTTCCTTCAGGTCGGCTCCCCAGAGAGCAGGTTTCATATTTTCCATCCCACATTGCCCCACAGCACCCATGCTGCCGATCCTAGCATCTTAGCAGTTCTCACTGTATGAGTCGATTATCATTCATTCTTTAGCAGTTCTCAGTATCTGAGTCAATTATCATTCATTCTTTCACTACTTCTTTTATCTCTCCCCCACTTAGAACTTCTTAAGTTCCAGGACAGGAAGAATGGGCTTTATCTTGTCACCACTCCATCCCCGTTGCCTGGAACTTTACTTGTGACATAGCAGGCAGGTTCTTAGCAAATATTATTCAGTAAATGAAATCTATAAATCTTAGATAATCTTTGAACGTTATCCTACATATGCTATTACTATAAAAGCAGTCTGAGAGTAATAAAACCAAATGTCACATTTACCTTCAGGAATTTGTCATCTCAGATAACATTCCTCAGTGTTATCACCCACTGCTCCCAAATTTGATCTCTATTGCCTGAAAAACTAAAAAGAGCTACTGTTTTAATTTCAATTTCCTTGTCTAAGGAAAACCTGGCCTAAATTTTCTTAAAGCAACAAAGAACCAAGAATCTTTGCTTCTTGGAAACGGGAAAGCGAGCTAGAATGATTCCCTACTAGGGTGCACTCACACTTGATTTGAAAAGCACACGTACCCTCTACTGGAAGTATGCAGTATTGCAACTTGAACTCAAACTGTCAAACACATTAAGCAGGGAATGTCAAATGTCCTGTTACCCCTGAAACTGGATGAAGTAAGCAGAGGAAAAGAGCAACACAACAACAAATAAATGAGCAGTACTTATGGTGCTTATCTGTTCTGAGGGTTAAATCGGCCAAGATCAATTGGGCGGATCACTCAGAATTCTGGCTTCTGAGATGTTCAGTGCATTTCCTCCTGTAAAACCAACGAAGATCAGGGACAACTGTTCACTTTAGGACAGTCTACTACGTAAATAGGACTAACTAGAGAAAAAAAATGCAAGAAAGCATAATGTCTGATAAGGGGCACACAGTCAAGAGAGTGAGGATATGACCTAAATGGAACCCAACTGAGGGTCAGATTCCTCATTGGTAAAACAAGGAAAGGATTTAGAATAAGTAACCATAAAGGAGCTGCACCTTGAACAGAGGTCGAGAAGTCACTAACTGATGGGCTCGGGGGCCAATTCAAGCTATAGACATGATTTGGCCCAACTATTAATTGGGAGGGACAAGGGTTCTCCAGTTTGCTACAGCATGTTTGTCTGTCTCCCCTGCACATACATGTATATTTCTGATTGTGGTGTCCATAGCAAGTGCAAGTGTCATTTCCATTTAGCACACTGCTGATTTTCTAACAGCCAGCCTGCTTTATGCACTCATTTTATTTGCCTGTTCCCTGCAGGCATTTGACTTACACTTTTGCCTAGTCCCTTTGGCTGTTTTGCATAATAGTGCAGTGTCTCTTCTCTTCACTGCAAAGTGCATGTGTGCATATGCACGCACACACACACTACACACACATACACAGGCATACACACACAGCTTTAGCAATATGGCTTTTCTTTCTCCTCCTATCACGATATAGTCTGAAGTCCCACTTGCAAAAAAAATATGAAGAAGACAGAGCTGTTCATCACTTGATCTCAATCCCCAGCACAGGGCTTGTAGCAGGTCCAATGAGAGTGAGATGTTGGTGTCTGGCAGCTGCCTGGGTCTCTATGAGTCATCTTTTCTATAAAGGCTGTATATATAGGGAATAGTCTCCCCTATAGAGTTAATAATTGTGTTTGTATGTGTGTGTGTGTGTGTGTGTGTGTGTGTAGAATAATATTAACCTCTACCTGTTTTCCCTTCCCCTTAATATTTGAAAATACTGTGTATAATTATAAGTGTGAAAATGTGTTCCTATTACTAAGATTCCTTTCCTAAAATGTCGTAGATGAGACAGTATAATGTAAGATCATGATATGTTAGCTCTTCTTATCAGTTAGCTTTAGTTTAAAGAGACTGCAAAAGACCTGCATTTTAGAAATACAATGCCAGGATATTAAGAAAAGTTATATTTAAATTTTGATTACCTTAAATGTACATGGACAACTCAGTGGATTACCTTATTTTTTGCATTTGCCTTTGTTAAAAAGACAAAAATAAAAGAAAGCAAATGAAACCAAAAGACAAGAATCAAAATTAAGTTCAAAACGGCAGTCTGGTACTCAGACTAGGTACAGCTGTACCTTCTACGCTTTCGCCACCTACTGGGCAAAGGGAGTTGATGCTCAAAATGAGTAGAAGGAACTTGGATTCTCCAGATAACAGAAAACCCTAAAGACTCCTCCAAAAAACAAATTTTATAAATTCAGTAAAGTGTCAGGATGCAAAATCAACATACACAAAATCAGTGGCATTTCGATGCACCAATAACAATAAAGCTTAGAACAAAATCGAGAAGGCAGTCCCATTTACAATAGCTACAAAAACAATAAAATATCTCGGAATATATTTAATCAAGGAGGTGAAAGATCCCTACAAAGAAAATTATAAAAGAAATAATTTTAAAATGATGAAAGAAATTGTAGATGTCACAAACAAATGGCAAAACATCTCTTGATTATGGATTGAAAGAATTAATGTTGTTGGCCAGGCGCGGTGGCTCGCGCCTGTAATTCCAGGACTTTGGGAGGCCGAGGTGGGCGGATCACAAGGTCAGGAGTTAGAGACCAGCCTGACCAACATGGTGAAACCCGTCTCTACTAAAAATACAAAAATTAGCCGGGCGTGGTGGCGCGTGCCTGTAATCTCAGCTACTCAGGAGGCTGAGGCAGGATAATTGCTTGAACTCGGGAGGTGGAGGTTGCAGTGAGCCAAGATCTTGCCACTGCACTCCAGTCTGGGTGATAGAGAGAGACTCCATCTCAAAAAAAAAAAATTAATGTTGTTAAAATTATCATACTGCCCAAAGCAATCTATAGATTTAATGCAGTCCTTATCAAACTACTCAATGTCATTTTTCACAGATCTATTCATATGGAACTAAAAAGAGACCAAAAGTCAAAGCAATCCTAAGCAAAATTAACAAAGCTAGAGGCATCACATTAGCTGACCTCAAATTATACTACAATGTTACAGTAACCAAAACAGCATAGACATATAGATCAATGGAACAGAATAGAGAACCCAGAAAAGAAACTACATATCTACAGTCATCTGATTTTTGACAAAGTCACAAAAAAGACATACTGGAGAAAGAATGTCCTTTTCAATAAATGGTGCTGAGAAAAATTGGATTACCACATGCAGAAGAATAAAATTGGATATCTATCTCTCACCCTATAAAAAACGAATTGAAGATGGATCAAATACTTAAATGTAAAACCTGAAACTATAAAAGTAGAGGAAGAAAACCTAGAGAAAGCTCTTCTGGCCATTGGTCTAGGCAAAGAATTAATAAACTAAGATGTCAAAAGCACAAGTAACAAAAACAAAAAATAAAGGGGACTTAATTAAACTAAAAAGCTGCTTCACAGCAAAAGAAATAAGCAACAGAGTGAACACACAACTTGGAAAATGGGAGAAAATATTTGCAAACTATGCAACCAACAGGTAACTGATATCCAGAATTTACAAGGAACCCAAACAACTCAAAAAAAACAACAACAAATAACCCCATTAAAAAGTGGGCAAAGCATATGACTAGACATTTCTCAAAAGAAGACATGTAAATGGTCAACAAGCATATGAAAAAATGCTCAACATCAACTAATCATCAGAGAAATGAAAATTAAAACCATGGTGCGATATCATTCTTACACCAGTCAGAATGGCTATTAAAAAGTCAATAAAATAACATGTTGGTTAGGACATGGAAAAAAGGGACCACATACAATGTTGGTGGGAATGTAAATTAGTACAACCTCTATGGAAAACAGAATGGATATTTCTCAAAGAACTAAAAATAGAACCACCATTCAATCCAGCAATTGAAATCATTACATCAAAAAGATACCTGTACTCAGATACCTGTATCATGTACCAGCACTATTCACAATAGCAAAGATAGGGATTCAACTTAAGTGTCCAGCAACAGATGCTTGGATTAAGAAAATGTGATATATACATACACACACACACACACACACACACACACACACACACACACACAATGGAATACTATTCAGCCATACACACGCAGACACACACACAATGGAATACTATTCAGCCATAAAAAGAATAAAATCATGTCTTTTGCAGCAACATGAGTGGAACTGGAGGCCATTATCTTAAGTGAAACAACTCAGAAACAGTCAAATACCACGTTTTTACTTGTAATTGGAAACTATATGATGTGTACACCGGGACATAGAATGTGGAATAACAGACTTTGGAGACTTGGAAGGCTGGAAGGGTGGAGGGTGAGGGATGAGAAATTATTTAATAGGTACAATGTACACTATCCAGGTAATGGTTACCCTGAAAGCCCAGACTTCAGCACGACATAATATATCCATGTAACAAAACTGTACTTGTATACCTTAAATTTATACAAATGTTTTTAAAAGAACAAAGATTGGCATATATTTAGCAATAGTATATGAAAAAGAAAAGGATGAGTGTTGAATTCAGACAAAGAATAAACAGGTTTTTATAAACCATCTCTAATGGTTCAAAAGTAGCCTACCTCCTACTAAAAATCACATAGAAAATTCTAGAATTTATCAATAGCAACCATACGAAAATGTTTTTCAAGCACAATCTTTGCATTCGTTATTGCCAAATCACACCACTAATCTATTACCTGCAAGTCTGAATAAGAAAAGAGTAATCATCAGTTAAGAAAATAGTTGTTTAAGAAAATGGATTACTTAGGGTCATTTAGAAACTTTTAAAATAATTGATATAAACTAGGTGAAGTACTTACTCTGTCCCAAACATTGCATTAGTTACATTATCTCAGTTAATTTTTCTCAATTTTGTGAGGTAAGCCCTAGTATTATTTTTATTCTGCAGATGAGGAAACTGAAGTCTAGATAGATTTAGCACAGTATATGGCTGCACGAAAGACTGTTTCCTTCCATAAAATTATTCCTTAAATAAAAGGAAATAATCTTATACTCATATCCATAGAATATCTGTCAACTTATAGATTACTCCATCGCCCAGTGCCATTTGGGGAAGACACAATATTTCTGAAATAACCTCAATTAATCCTACTTAAATGTTTATTAAGGCAAGCCGACAGAGTTGGTAAAAAGAGAGGCAAATAAATTAGCTGGGTGTGGTGGCTCATGCCTGTAATCCCAGCACTTTGGGAGGCCGAGGTGGGTGGATCACGAGGTCAGGAGATCAAGACTGTCTTGGCTAACATGGTGAAACCCCATCTCTACTAAAAATACAAAAAATTAGCTGGGCATGGTGGTGGACACCTGTAATCCCAGCTACTCAGGAGGCTGCGGCAGAAGAATCGCTTGAACCCAGGAGGCGGAGGTTTCAGTGAGCCGAGACCACGCCACTGCACTCCAGCCTCAGTAACAGAGCAAGACTCCATCTCAAAACAAAAAAATGAAAAAATAAATGGAGTATGCATTTCATCATACTTTTCATTAGTACAACTTCTCAGTTGCAAGGAACAAATACAGTTATAAATAATCTTTAAAAATTATTTTTAGAAAGTAAAACAGCGCATACTTCAACAGTGGTTTATATAAACATAAATCTACCAAAAAAATGAAAAAAATTGTCATAATAGTATATGATTGTGTATTTGTGACTTGGGTAAAAATTCCAGTAACAGGATCACAGGAAGACTGAAAAGTTCTGCATGTAAAAAGTGAAGAGCTTTTAAAACTGTGTTAGATGACTCCAAAATGGCTCTAATGATAAAAACAAAATTGATGTATGAAGAGTTTGAATAAAATAGTTCCATGGTTGGGCACGGTGGCTCACACCTGTAATCCTAGCATTTTGGGAGGCTGAGACAGAAGGATCATTTGAGGTCAGGAGTTTGAGATCAGCCAGGCCAACATGGTGAAACCCCAACTCCACTAAAAATACAAAAATTAGCCAGACATGGTGGCGCATGCCTGTAATCCCAGCTACTTGAGAAGCTGAGGCAGGGGAATCGCTTGAACTTGGGAGATGGAGGTTGCAGTGAGCTGAGATTGCGCCACTGCACTCCAGTCTGGGCAACAGAACAAGAGTCCATCTCAAAAAAAAAAAAGTTCCAGAAAATTCAATGTTAGACGAAAGCAACATTTCAAAATTGTTATTTTAGGGTATGCATCTTTAAATATATATAAATTTGTCCCTAAAGATCCACTTCTCACCTTTCTCTCCCTCCCTTCCCCTCTCCTCAGGAAGCTGCCTGGCTTTGGCTTGGCTCTGGTTGGGGTTGGAGTCAGCCAATGCGAGACCAGCAGGAGAAGAGAGGCTAGGCGAGAGGGAGAAAGTGAGGTCCCAGCTTCTTTCCCTGCAAGGTCACCTCAGCCAGGCTCTGCCCCTCACTGGAGGTCACCCCTCTTGTCATGACAATTTTCTTCCTTCCTTGCAAGTTCCTGTGAGGGCTTCTTCTCTTCTGCAGCCCGACAGGCCCAGGGATGGAGACAGCCCTGCTGCTGCTAATGAAACTGACTATGCAAAATTATGACGGTCAGAGAAATCTAACAGAGCTGACTCCATATTGCTTCTAACCTCACAAGCTACCTTTGCTCATTCCTGGCCATAGGCCAAGTTAACTATGGAAGGAATGCTATTTATGATTTAATCTCAAAGCAAGGATGATACTAGCCCCTTCCCAAAACTACCCTCGCCTTGTTCTGAGACTAAAACCACCTTTGTAAAACTAATGAAAGGTCACGAGATTAAAATTATGTGAGAGCATGAATTCTGCTAAAACCTAGGCATAGTTAAATGATAACAAGTCATTGTTTACTGCTCAAGAGTCGCATGGGGTGGTCACAAGATTTGTAATTTGCCTAATTGTCCCTTTAGATAACATCAGTATTCTAAGACCTAAGACTAGTATTTGAGATACTTTTCAGACTTTTTCATTCTGGAAACCCAACTGACTCCACCCAGACCCATTACACATACCAAGAAACTGGCTTATCTGGTCTGGTGGCCCCTACCCAGGCAGGGAGTCAGCTCAAGAAGATAGCTTTGATCCCCTACAATTTCATGCTGAACCCAACCAATCACCATTCCCCCCATTCACCAGCCCCCTGCCCATCCTTGAAAAGCCCTAGCCTCGGAGCTCTGTGGGGAGGCTGATTTGTGCAGTAAACTCCCTTCTTTCCACTTGGCCGGCTCTGCATTTATTAAACTCTCTTCACAGTAATACTGCTGTCTCAATGAATCGACTCTATCTGTGCAGTGGGCAAAAACAACCCACCAGGCAGTTACACAAATCCCAGGTTATTGCACTACCTCTTGTTGGTTCCCTTACACACTAACTACTCTTATTAATCTGTAAAAAAAAAAAAAAAAAAAAATCTTTTTTGAATATGCACCTGTTTCTCACAGGGATTTTAATACATTAAATAAGGAATTGAATTTAATTAAATATTTTAAGTAGACATTTTACAATTTCTCCTATATTTCTAAAACTTTATAAATAGAAAACCTCTTTGTTCCTGGACCTTTATATTAAAATTAAGAAAAAAAAGCAGCACTTCTGAAATTTGTATCCAGAGCTTTCTGACTTGTGAGCTCTAGGGCTGCCTCCTTCCTAATCATAAGATAGGTAGGAGAGAAGAAGTGCAGCAGACAACTGGGTCAAATGGAAAACTGTGTATTCTGTTTGTAAAGGGCTATTGATACTTTGGGTCTTCTTTTTTTAATGCCAGGCTTATTATTATAAGCACATTCTGCTGAACACAGAGGTTTGGTTATTACCTTTTATCAAAATGTCAGGAGGGCAGATTTTAAACTGAGCTAGACAATGTGAAAGAACATTCTTCCCATCCACAGTCTTTGAAACTGATTGCAAATGAACCGCCTCTGAACAGCATATGAGCGAGGCTGAGAGCTCTCCTAATGATGTACATCTGTGAGGCTTCACTCGGGGGTTTGGCTGCATTTACATCACTATAAACTGCAATTACAGCTCAAGCCGTTTCCGGCATAGACACAGAGAATACGAATTGCAACAGCAGGTTTCCTGCCTTGGATTTCTGCCAGGAGCCTGAGTCACCGTCCCAGACATCTGTAGCACATTAAACTGTACCCTTGTTATCTCTCAGCACTTTGAATAATCGCCCAAACCTCTGACAAAACAAATGGTCAAAGCCTTCTCAAGAAACCCTTTAAAGTTAGGCAGGGAATCATGAGCCTGCAGAAAACAACTTCTAGGGTAATTTATACTGTCGAAGAAAAGCCACAATAGAGCAGAGATGGTTTTTGATAGTCTGAATGTTGTCTAAACTTCATGGACTTAGATGGTCTGAAAAAGAGGTAGCTGCGTTGGAAGCTCAACAAAAAAAGGAGGGTTGTACCCAGTCCTTACCAGGAGTTCAGTCCAGCAGGGCAAACATGGATAGAGGCAGGACCTCCAAACAATGTCCTCACTCTGCCTCCTTCTCTCCACCAGTGCCATGCCCCTGGGATGCACACCACCACCCTCTTACAGAGAACACTGCAAAAACTTCATAACATGACTTCATAATGTTATCTTCATAATATGTTCCTCGGCTCTCCTAGAATCCATTGT